>NC_000005.10:91018897-91321928 GCF_000001405.40 Homo sapiens | reverse complement strand
AAGGTCTTAGTTTTAGAAACAGTTTCTATTCTGATACTGCATCCTTATACTGGGCTTCCCTGACCAACTGTCTAAAATACTGATACCCTAAAAATAGGCATGTAGACCAATGGAACGGAATAGAGAACCCAGAAATAAAGCCAAGTACTTATAGTCAACTTATCTTCGACAAAGCAAACAAAAACAAAGCGGGCAAAGGACATCCCATACAACATGTGATGCTGAGATAATTGTCATGCCCCATGTAGAAGAATGAAACTGAATCCTCATCTCTCACCTTATACAAAAATTAAGATGGATTGAAGACTTTAAGATCTGAAACCATACAAATTCTAGAAAATAACATCAGAAAAACTTTTCTAGACATTGGCTTAGGCAAAGAGTTCATGACCAAGAACCCAAAAGCAAATGCAACAATAAAAACAAAGATAAATAGATGAGAACTAATTAAACTAAAATGCTTCTGCACAGCAAAAGAAATAGCAGAGTAAACAGACAATCCAGAGTGGGAGAAAATCTTCACAAACTACGCATTCCAACAAGGACTAATATCCAGGCTCTATAAAGAACTCAAACTAACCAGCAAGAAAAAAACAAATAAAGTGGGCACAGGACATGAATAGACAATACTCAAAAGAAGATATATAAATGGCCGGCCAGACATGGTGGCTCACGCCTGTAATCCCAGCACTTTGGGAGGCCAAGGCAGGCAGGTCACCTGAGATCAGGAGTTCGAGACCAGCCTGACCAACATGGAAAAACCCTGTCTCTACTAAAAACACAAAATTAGCCAGGCGTGTTGGTGCATGCCTGTAGTCCCAGCTACTCGGGAGGCTGAGGCAGGAGAATTACTTGAACCCGGGAGGTGGAGGTTGTGGTGAGCTGACATCACACCATTGCACTCCAGCCTGGGCAACAAGAGCAAAACTCCGTCTCAAAAAAAAAAAAAAGAAAAGAAGATATATAAATGGCCAAAAAACATGAAAAAAAATGCTCAACCTCACTAATTACAGAGAAATGCAAATTAAAACCACAATAGTATACCACCTTAGTCCTGTAAAAATAGCCATAATTTAAAAATAAAACAATAAGAGGTCGGACGTGGTGGCTCATGCCTGTAATCCCAGCACTTTGGGAGGCTGAGGGGGATGGATTACCTGAGGTCAAGAGTTTGAGACTAGCCTGACCAACATGGAGAAATTCCATCTCTACTGAAAACACAAAATTAGCCGGGCATGGTGGTTCATACTTGTAATCCCAGCTACTCGGGAGGCTGAGGCAGGAGAATCGCTTGAACCTGGGAGGCAGAAGTTGCGGTGAGCCATGATGGCGCCATTGCGTGCCAGCCTGGGCAACAAGAGCAAAACTCTGTCTCAAATAAAATAAAATAAATAAAAATTTTTAAAAAATAGATGTTGAGCCAGGTGTGGTGGCTCATGCCCCTAATCCCAGCACTTTGGGAGGCTAAGGTGAGCAGATCACTTGAGCTCAGGAGTTCAAGGCCAGCACGGCCAACAAAGTAAGACCCTATCTCTAAAAAAACAAACAAACAAACAAACAAACAAAAAGTTGACCTGGATGGGATGTGGTGAAAAGGGGACACTTTTACACTGCTGAACGGATGTAAACTAGTACAACCACTATGGAAAGCAGTACAGAGATTCCTTAAAGAACTAAAAATAGAACTACCATTTGATCCAGCAATCCCACTACTAGGTATCTACCCAAAGGAAAATAAGTCATTATATAAAAAAGACACTTGCGTACATGTGTTTATAGCAGCATAATTCACAATTGCAAAGATATGGAACCAACCAAAATGCCTATAAACCAAAGACTGGATAAAGAAAATGTGGTATATATACACCATGAAATACTACTCAACCATAAAAAGGAATAAAATAATGGCATACAGCAACCTGGATGGAATTGGAGATGATTATTCTAAGTGAAATAACTCAGGAATGGAAAACTAAACATTGTATGTTCTCACCCATAAGTGG
Organism: Homo sapiens; assembly: GCF_000001405.40. NCBI lineage: Eukaryota > Metazoa > Chordata > Mammalia > Primates > Hominidae > Homo > Homo sapiens. The sequence goes on along the minus strand of NC_000005.10, from coordinate 91,319,925 downwards.
GAGGTAAGCTATGAGTATGCAAACGCATAAGGATGATATAATGAGCTTTGAGGACTTGAGGGGAAGGGTGGGAGGGAGGTGAGAAATAAAGACTACATATTGGGTACAGTGTACAGCACTCGGGTGATAGGTACACCAAAATCTCAGAAATCAGCACTAAAGAACTTATCCATGTAACCAAAAACCACTTGTTTCTCAAAAACTGTTGAAATAAAATATAAAATAAAATAAAATAAAATAAAAATAGGACATTATTTTAAAATTAAAAAAAAATAATTATACCCCACTTCACAATCCAGTTTCACACAAATGCATACACATACTGCTTTACTCTTCTTTATAGCATATAACTCAGCCTGAAATTATATAATTCGTTCATTGCACAATTCCATCAATAAGATTCAAGTTCTCTGTTCTACTTTTCCCCACTTCTCACTAGTGCACTTGACCAGTCTTAAAATAAAAAAATAAAAATAGGCCGGGCACGGTGGCTCACGCCTGTAATCCCAGCACTTTGGGAGGCCAAGGCGTGCTGATTACTTGTGGTCAGGAGTTTGAGACCAGCCTAGACAACATGGTGAAACTCCATTTCTACTAAAAATACAAATATTAGCTGGGCGTGGTGGCGGGCGCCTGTAATTTCAGCTACTGGGGAGACCGAGGCCCAAGAATTGATTGAACTTGGCAGGCAGAGGTTGTACTCCAGCCTGGGTGACAGAGCCAGAACTTGTCTCAAAAACAAGTAATTAATTAATTAAAAATTAAAAAATTAAAGTAAGTTCTCTACCTTGTTCACCCTTCCTGTGCCTAGAACTTAGGAGGTGCACAATAAATATTTGCTAATTCACACACACACACACACACACACACACACACAGACACACACACACAGACACAGACACACACACACACATACAGTATTTGGCAGCGGAAAGAGATTATCACGGTGATTCTAAAAATCCGTAGCACTCATAGGAGTATCTGTTGACCCAAATTTTCTTTTCTTTTCTTTTTTTTTTTTGAGAAGGAGTTTCGCTCTTGTTGCCCACGCTGGAGTACAATAGCACGATCTGGGCTCACCACAATCTCCGCCTCCCCACAATCTCCGCCTCCCCAGTTCAAGCGATTTTTCTGCCTCAGCTTCCCAAGCAGCTGGGCTTACAGGCATGTGACACCATGCCTAGCTAATTTTTGTATTTTTAGTAGAGACAGGGTTTCTCTATATTGTTCAGGCTGGTCTTGAATTCCCGACCTCATGTGATCCACCTGCCTCGGCCTCCCAAAGTGCTGGGATTACAAGAATGGGCCACTGCGCTTGGCCAGGTTGATACAAATTTTCTAAAGATAAATGTTAACCATCTTTTTCTTTTTTCCATATTGTTAGTAGAGATGGGGTTTTGTCATGTTGGCCAGGCTGGTCTCAAACTGCTGACCTCAAGGGATCTGCCCCCCTTGGCCTCCTAAAGTGCTGGGATTATATGTGGGAACCACAGTGCCCGACCGCCATCTATTAAAAAAAAAAAACAGCTTCAGAAATATCATGACATTCAATTCAGGAAGTCTACATGTAGGGCTGAATAGGAGATTCAAATAAATATTAATTTACAAAACTGTCTTCGTAGCATTATATAGTAATGGGAAATACAAGGTTTGGCTAAATATATTATGAAGCCATAAAAGAATAAATTGTTATAGCCAAAGAAATTGTTAGAACAATTAAATAGCTATAGAAAAGGGTGTGTCATCTATTATTAAATTTGAAAAGTAGTTAACAAACTAGCATGATCAGTATTCCTTATAAAAGTAAAATTCTGATGGCCGGGCACAGTGACACACTCCTATAATGCCAGCACTTTGGGAGGCTGAGGCAGGCAGATCGCTTGAGCTCAGGAATTCGAGACCAGCCTAGGCAACATGGTGAAACCCCATCTCTACAAAATAAAAACAAAACAAAACAATTCAGCTGGGCGTGGTGGCACACACCTGTAGTCCCAGCTACTCAGCTACTCAGGAGGCTGAAATGGGAGGATCACTTGAGCACAGGGAGATCAAGACCACAGTGAGCCCAGATCGCGGCCTGCACTCCAGCCTGGGTGACAGAGTGAGACCCTGCTTCAAACAACAACAACAAAACAACAACAAAGACCTCGCCCCCAACTTCACCTTCCCACCTACCCTCACCTCCAACTCCAAAAACAAACAAACAAACAACTTTGTAAAGTGTGTACTCCAGAATACCTACCATTGTTATTCCTTGGTTGTGAGATTATATGTTTCAGAGTTTCTTCTATGTGTGTGTGTTTTTTGTTTTTTTTTTTTTTTTTGAGACAGAGTCTCACTCTATTGCCCAGACTGGAGTCCAATGGTGTGAGCCACCGTGCCCAGCCTTACATATGTATTTTTAAATGTTTACAGTAACCTAATGAAACAACATGTTGTTTTACTTTGTTTCATTTTAAAATACTGCTTAAAATTATTATAAGTAAACCAAAGTGGATTTCCTAAGGACTCATAGCTACAGAATATCTCAAAGCAGAAAAAGTAAAACTTGCAAGTGAATTAGAATCACAAAAAGTCTGAATATTTTCTGTTTTCATTGTTGTTACCCAAACATTTATCTCAAGTGGAAATATTTCCCTCTGGGCTCCAAAAGAGATTTGTAAAATTACTACTGCCTGCCAAAAGAAATTAATATTGCAAATAGTAATTAAACTCTGGGGGGTAAATAAAAAACCACAATTCACAATTATCCTTGAGTGGAATCTGCAAAGGTTGGAGGTAAGTGGAGAGCTCCTCTTTCAAAGTCAAATCAAGTCAATAGTGTTAAGCACCACAGTGTGGACAGGACCCACTGGACTAAACTCTGAGGAAACACAAAATGTGTGACCCAAAGTCCTTGTTCGCCAGAGACAATACTTATGTAGCCAAGGAAATTCCTGTTAGAAAACGGTTTGCAGTGAGTAGGAAGGATGGTGTAGAGGTGAATAGTGGGGTTATGGATAGTGTGGATTGTCATTCCTTTGATCTGAACCAGGGGTTGCAAAAACATAATCCGAAATTTGAATCAGCCCTTGCAGACAAGTTAAAGCATTTATAATGCTTAAAAGTGTGTTAGAAACCAGCTGGGTGTGGTGGCTTATACCTGTAATCCCAGCACTTTGGGCGAGTGGATCACTTGAGGTCAGGAGTTCGAGACCAGCCTGGCCAACATGGTAAAACCCCATCGCTACCAAAAAGAATAAAAAATTAGCCAGGTGTGGCAGTGTGCACCTGTAATCCCAGCCACTCAGGAGGCTGAGGCAGGAGAATCGCTTCAACCTGGGAGGCAGTGAGCCGAGACCATGCCACTGCACTCCAGCCTGAGTGACAGAGCGAGACTCCATCTCAAACAAACAAAAAAGTTAGAAACCTATTTAGCTTATTTCGGGCATAGCACAGAGCAGCTAGTCCAAATCACAAATTTAAGTTTTCTGTTCCTATAGGTATAGTTTTTGAGTCTCGTATCTAAGCTATCCTTGAATCCCTACTTGAAAGTTGACCAACATTTGTCAAACAAAAAAATCTAGAGAATACTGCTCTTTAATGACCAACATGAAAGTACTGTGCTACTAAATTTTATATTTATTTATTTATTTACTTATATTGAGACAGGGTCTCTTTCTGTCACCCAGGCTGGAGTGCAGTGGTATGATCATGGCTCACCACAGCCTCCATCTCCTGGGCTTAGGTCATCTTCCAGCCTCAGCCTCCCATGTAGCTGGGAACACAGGTGCATGCCACCATATCCAGCTAATTTTTTGATATTTTTGTAAGGACAGGGGTGTCACTCTTGCCTGAGCTGGTCTTAAACTCCTGAGCTCAAGAGATCCTCCCACCTCGGCCTCCCAAAGTGCTAGGATTATAGGTGTGAGCCACCATACCCAGCCTACTAAATTTTAATAATGGTAACTTCTGCAATTTTCAGGAAATAGCTACTAGGTAGGATTTCCTCCTAGGCCACTTTTCTCTTTTCTTTTTTTCCCCCTTCCCTTTCCCCTTCTTCTCCTTCCCCTTTTTCCTCTTCCCCTTCCCCTTCTTCTCCTTTCAGAAGGAGTCTCGCTCCATCACCCAGGCTAGAGTGCAGTGGGGTGATCTGGGCTCTCTGCAACCTCCATCTCCCAGGTTCAAGCGATTCTACTGCCTCAGCCTCCGAGTAGCTGGGATTATAGGAGTGCACCAACACATCTGGATTTTTTGGATTTTTTGTAGAGACAGGGTTTCACCATGTTAGGTCAGACTGGTCTCCAACTCCTGATCTCAAGTGATCTGCATGCTCCGGCCTCCCAAAGTACCGGGATTATAGGAGTGAGCCACCACACCTGGCCTCTAGGCCACGTTCTTAAAGCTTTGTCCTGTCACCATTTATCTGCCAGGGACAAAAACAAAGAAACAAACAGAAGTAAGCCGATATCAAGTAGAAAAAAAAGCAAAACAAGTTAAGATTCTATTATGCTAGGAAGGTAGGTATAGATAAGTTCCTATAGGACCCTAATGGTCAGGATATTGAATTTCGACTTTATCCTGAAGACAATAGGGAGTCTTTGATATGGAGACAGACTAGAAATGTAAAATCAGTCTCTACATTTCAGAAACAAGGCTGAGTGCCGTGGCTCATGCCTAGAATCCCAGCACTTTGGAAGGCCGAGGCGAGCGGATCACTTGAGGTCAGCAGTTTGAGATCAGCCTGGCCAACATGGCGAAACTTCGTTTCTACTAAAAATACAAATAGCCAGGTGTGGTGGCAGGCGTCTGTAATCCCCGGTACTCAGGAAGCTGAAGCAAGAGAATTGCTTGAACCCAGGAGGCAGAGGTTGCACTGAGCCAAGATCACACCATTGCACTCCAGCCTGGGCAACAGAGTGAGACTCAGTCTCAGTAACAAAATCTAGGCTGGGCGTGGTAGCTCACGCCTGTAATCCCAGCACTTTGGGAGGCTGAGGTGGGCGGATCACCTAAGGTCAGGAGTTCCGGAGCAGCCTGGGCAACATGGTGAAACCCCGTCTCTACTAAAAATGCAAAAATTAGCTGGGTGTGGTGGCATGCGCCTGTAGTCCCAGCTACCAGGGGAGGCTGAGGCAGGAGCATCACTTGAACCCGGGAGGTGGAGGTTGCGGTGAGCCAAGATCACACCACTGTACTCCAGCCTGGCTACAGAGTGAGACTCCATCTCAAAAAAGAAAAAAAAAAAAGAAAATCTATTGACAAGATTGACAAGAGTTCATTTTAAAGATGATTCTCTACACTTGGAGCATGGGATCTTGCCTGTCAGCAATTTTCAGCCGTCTCCAGATTAGTAACTGTGACTTGCCACCCTGGTTGATGGGCTGGCAGGAAGGAGTGTGTCATATCAGAGATTGCCACAGACACCCAGGGCAATGTGATTTGTCACTTAAAGAGGACGGCAGATCAAGAGCATCTCATCCTCCGGCTGCTGAGTCATCCTGCTCTGGCAGTTATTTAAACAGAAGGCTCCAGGAGACATACAATCAACACTCCACTCAGACAATGCCCAGACCTCCAGAAACCATGTGTCAAGCTCGGATTGCCTTAGACAGGTGCAATTTAAGAACAGCTTTCATCCTCTTTTCTCTCATATTGTCACACTATGTGTTCTGACTTCTGGCTCCTTTCCTCACAAGAAGCTCACCCAGCTGGAACTCTTATGGGACCTTGGCACCAGAGACCACAAATTCCTCTTTGAAGTTTTCTAACAGCAACAATGGTATTTCTGACTTGGCTTTCTTGTATTTCTCTCACGTTAACAAAATTGGTTCAGCATCTACCATGGGCTACATGCTGAGCTACAGGTAAGGTTTGGCTAAAGGATGAATAAGAACCCCTCCTTGTCTTCAGGAGTTTGTCTAGCAGAGGAGTCTGTCATGTAATCAGGAAACTCCAGTACACAACGTGATAGCTCTAAGACAGGTATATACAAGATGATGTTCTGGACCTTAACTGTTTGGGGAGTACTACTGCCTTTGTCTAAAAGCCATCACCCTTTTTATATGCCATTTGGGAGGAACTGGGGGGACGTGGGAGGCTTCAAAGGGTTATGGGAGGATGGACATTTTAAAAGGGCTTTTCTTTTCTTTTTTTTTTTTTGAGACAGAGTTTCGCTCTGTCGCCCAGGCTGGAGTGCAGTGGCGCGCGATCTCGGTTCACTGCAAGCTCCACCTCCCGGGTTCACGCCATTCTCCTGCCTCAGCCTCCTGAGTAGCTGGGACTACAGGCGCCCGCCACCACACCCAGGTAATTTTTTGCATTTTTAGTAGAGACGGGGTTTCACCGTGTTAGCCAGGATGGTCTCGTTCTCCTGACCTCATGATTCACCCGCCTTGGCCTTCCAAAATGCTGGGATTACAGGCGTGAGCCACTGTGCCCTGCCAAAGGCCTTTTCAAATCTAACGATGTACTCACATTTCCACCTGTCTGCCAGCCCTTGTCCAGTTTGACCTGGGCACTCACTGCTGCTCTGGTGGTGAGTACTGCTGATGGTTCTTTTCCCTGCCCATCCTTGAGGTGCTCGCTTCAATATGTCAAATGAGGACTCTCATTACATTTGGCTGTCATACATCAGCCACAACTGTCCTGCCCAGAAGAGCTGGCCTTGGCTTTAAAGCCTACATCCTGGCTGACCTTCTTTACTGCTTTATTAAGGAATCCAACTTGCTGTTTGCTATCACATGTGCTATACATGCTGTTGATGAAACTGCTAAAGGGGCTGAATGTGACTGACGTCTTTGGAAGGATGAGACTTAGCGTGCCTGTACAGTTGTGTCCAAATGCTGTCCTCATCTCCCAATGAAAAGGTATTGTAAATAAAGAGAAAGATCAGAGGCTTATTTTAAACACTAAATATGAGCTAGGAGCTGTCCTAGACACTATGTAAAAGTTTTATTTAGTTCTCACTGTAATGTTGGCCTTATGTTAGCATCCCATTTTTCAGACTGAGGAAATTATGGCTCAGAGAGGTTAAGAGACTTATTGAAGGTCACACAGCTCCACAAACTTTGGTGTAGATTGAACGTGTACATGGGTCTATGTGACTTTGAATCTTGCATTCTTTACATTATTGGAATATTTCACAGAAGGAAAATGACATATTAACATGGCAATAAGATTTCTGGTTCCAGTCTGGTTACTGGTCTTCCAAGAGTGTTATAGGATGTATAGCCTGAGCTCTGAAGCTTTGTTCTGAAGCATGCTATCAATATGAACAAATTGGTATGGAAGGAAGCCACAAATTATATACTAAAATCTAGTTCATCAGAGGAAAATATAGTTAAATACATTTACATTCCCAGAACTGTTAATATTGAAGAATAAAACACACAGTGGGAAAGAGACGAAGAGAAAATACGCCTGTTTTTATGACTTGTTGATATCTACAGGGTTTTTCCTTAAGCCTCACAACAATTTACAGCATTGCCAGCAGCATTCAGTACATTCAGAACAGGATAATTTCACCCGCAGCTGAACTAGGGCCATGCCTGGGACAGACAGAGAATGGCCTTCCAGCAGACATGCCAAGAAGCAAGCCAGGGTCAGTGAGTGAAGAGGAGGGCAGGCCCATTTGAAGCAACACAGTTTATGTAAGTGTGATCTAACTGCTTTCACTGGAAATGGGTCAGACTCCAGTTGAGAGAACCAGGGGCCTGAATGACCCCAGCAAAATCACTGTGGCAATTCTTTCAATCACCTCTGAGAATATGGCCCTGTGACGACATAATGACGTTTGGATTAATTCCAGTCGGCTGTGTTTTCCCCTCCTTTCTTGCCTCCCCGTAGTTGATTTGCCAAATTTTTTTTGTTTGCTTAAATACGCGGAACTAAACAGGATACATTATATGACAGTCTGTGATAAATTTACCACTGGGAATAGGGAAAAAGTATGGGATAAAGAAATAGGTATTTTTCGCCTCTCACAGCTGTGATTCAGTTCTGACTCAAAAGGAAGTGTGCCACCTACTGAATCACAGAAACCACTTCCTGTGGCTGTTTGGTTTATTCTGGAGGAGCATCAGGCCAAGTGCTGCCCTGCCCTGACCCTGACTGGCTCTTCAGAGCCAAGGCATTCACAGCTTGAGGTGGTTTGGCCTCAGACTCTTGAGAACATTGCATATTAAATTACAAGTGTTTCGTTTCCTAGCAAGGAGTCTTTAGCAACATGAAAACGAACGTGTGTTATTTGCAAACCAAGTATATCATTACTGAACCTGAATATCCTTACTTTTTCATAAGGTACGTATTCCGGATGACCACTCTTAAGATCTGAATGTACACTGGTTCTGTTTTTCCTGAGGGGAACTTGGGCAGTCTGCAGGGTGGCATTTACCAGCTGAGGGACTTCAAGAGCACCCTTTAATCAGTGTGGCAGCACTCAACTTGTATTCACTCACTCAGAGTATTTTTGAGCATGTACTTATTGCCATGTGCTGTGCTAGGTAGGGGTAGAGGGTACAGTGGTGAACAAGACCCCACAGCTCCTGACCTCATGGCTCATGTGTTCTACACCATAAGGGAATCAAGCTGTGTCTCCCGGGGCAGGGGCCTTCCTCTGTTCACCATGCAGCCCCAGCATCTAGCACCTGGCGTTGCATAAAGGAGGCTCTAAATCAAGCTTGTCCAACCCAAGGCCCACGGGCCACATGTGGCCCAGGATGGCTTTGAATGCAGCCAAACACAAATTTGTAAACTTTCTTAAAACATTATAAGATTTGTGTGTATGTGTTTTAGTCCATCAGCTATTGTTAGTGTTCATGTATTTTATGTGTGGCCCAAGACAATTCTTCTATGTGGCCCAAGGAAACCAAAGATTGAACACTCCTGCTCTAAATACTTGTTTGTTGAATAGATACATGAAAAGAAAGAAGGAGAGAAGGAAGAAAGGAGGGCGGAAGGAAAGGAAGAAGGGAGAGAAGAAGAGAAGAAAGAAGCAGAGAAAGGAAGAGAAAAGAAATTACGGCCAGTGCGGTGGCTCACGCCTGTAATCCTAGCACTTTGGGAGGCCTAAGCGGGCTGATCACCTGAGGTCAGGAGTTCGTAAGCCAGCCTGGCCAACATGGTGAAACCCTATCTCTACTAAAAATACAAAAATCAGCAGGGCATGGTGGTGCGTGCCTGTAATCCCAGCTACCTGGGAGGCTGAGGTAGGAGAATCGCTGGAACCCGAGAGGCGGAGGCTGCAGTGAGTTGAGATCATGTCACTGCACTCCAGGCTGGGCAACAGAGTGAGACTCTGTCTCAGAAAAAAAAAAAAAGAAAGAAAGAAAGAAAGAAAGTTACCATTAGTTTTTTGTTGTATTTGCAAGCAAAGACAAAAGCACCAAGGTACTTGTTTCCTTCTGTAATTAGAGTTTCAAATAGACTAAAAGTTTCTGCTCTTAGGTGGGTCTAGAGACTCTCCAGTACCTCAGGACCTCAGGACACATGGGGTCTCTTGGTTGTTTTCTTTTCATTGTTGTTGTTTATTTTATTTTTGTTTTTATTTTTTAACTTTAAAACAATTTTTTGTAGATGAATATGCTTACATATGTTTGGGGGTTTTTTTGAGACAGGGTCTTGCTCTGTTGCCCAGGCTGGAGAGCGGTGGTTTAACCACAGCTCACTGCAGCCTCGACCTCCCAAGGTAGGGACTGCAGGTGTGTACACTGGGGTGCACCACCACACCCAGCTAATTTTTAAATTTTTTTTTGTAGATATTGTCTCACTCTGTTGGCCAGACTGGTCTTGAAATCCTGGGCTCGAGCAATTCTCCTGCCTCGGCCTCGTAACGCGTTAGGATTACAAGCGTGAACACCGCACCTGGCCAGCATGTGGTCTCTTAACCAGAGGAGGCCTCTTCTGAACTAGGTAGAGGTCCTGAGAATTGATTCTGAGAGTAAAAGGCTCTTTGTTCTCCTCAGAGTAGATTAGAATCCCTAATGATAGAGCATCTATTATTCCTCTAGTGGTCCATGCCCAACAGATTCATCCAAGAATAGATGAAGATCTTTGTAATGTTGTGCAAGTAATCTAATCACCCCACAGAAGAGCTGTGACTTAAATTATCCCAGAGTCGGCCCACCTGTTTTCATAAAGATCAATGTAACTTGTAAATTTCTTCAGTTCTCCTCACCTATCATCATTTGACTAACAAAACCCAGAAAACTAGGCTAGTTATGGTGGCCTATGCATATAATCCCAACTCTTTGAGAGGCCAGGGTGGGTGGATTGCTTGAGTCCAGGAATTCGAGACCAGCCTGGGCAACAAAGGGAGACCCTGCCTATATCCCAGCTATGCAGGAGGCGAGGCCAGAGGATTGCCTGAGCCTCAGAGGTTGAGGCTGTAGTGAGCCATGATTGCCCCACTACACTCCAGCCTGGATGACAGAGTGAGACCCTGCCTTAAAAATAATAATAATAGTAATAATATTTCATAAAGATACAGGAAACTAGATTATAATTGACATTTTCAAAGTGAAATACTGTCTAGAATGGTGCTTGGCCAACAGTAAGCTTTTTGTAAGTGGAAGTCATTACTACTACTATTTCTTTCATTATTATTACCATTACTACTTTTTTTTACAAAAAAAAAACCCTGGACAACACACTGAAACCATTACTACTTCTACTACTATAACTTAGGTTGCACCTGATAGAGCCAGCAATTTTTCCAAGGTATGACAATGGCCATATGTTTAATGATATAATTCTATGGCTCAGTGTATCTCAGCCTTTTTAAACCCTGCTCTTCTTTTGACAATTGTAAAAATCTTAAACTGACCTCCAGTTGAAATCCTCTGTCAAGAAGATATTGTCGGCCAGGGGCGGTGGCTCACACCTGTAATCCCAGCACTTTTGGAGGCCGAGGTGGGAGGATCACTTGAGGTTAGGAGTTCAAGACCAGCCTGGCCAACATAGTGAAACCCCATCTCTACTAAAAATACAAAAATTAGGCAGGCATGGTGGTGTGTGCCTGTAATCCCAGCTACTCAGGAGGCTGAGGTAGGAGAATTGCTTGAACCTGGCAGGGCAGAGGTTGCAGCAAGCCGAGATCACGCCACTGCTCTCCAGCCTGGGTGAGACTGTCTCAAAAAAAAAAAAAAAAAAGAAAGAAAGTAAGAAAAAGAAGAAATCCCAATCTCTTCTTTTATGTGGATTCTTCCTCACTTGAATAATACTTTTCTTCCCCAGTATTCTCCATATTATCCCAGAGTCAGCCCCTCTGTTTTTGTAAAGATCTACGTAACCTCCTCTAAGTTTCCCAGTTCTCCTCACCTATCATATCATTTGGCTCAACAAAGGGCAGGAAGCTAGATTCTAATTGATATTTTGAGGCCGGGAGCAGTGGCTCATGCCTGTAATCACAGCACTTTGGGAGGCTGAGGCGGGCAGATCACTGGAGGTCAGGAGTTCGAGACCAGCCTGGCCAATATGGTGAAACCTCGTCTCTACTAAAAATACAAAAAATTAGCCAGGCTTGGTGGCTTGTACCTGTAATCCCAGCTACTCAGGAGGCTGAGGCAGGAGAATAGCTTAAACCTGGGAGGAAGAGGTTGCAGTGAGCCGAGATTGCTCAATTGCACCCCAGCCTGGGTGACAGAGCAAAACTCCATCTCAAAAACAAACAAACGAACAAACCTGATATTTTCAAAATTGAGGCAATTATAACAGCTATTTAGCCAAGCATTATGATAGCAATAATAGCAAGAAAATAAATTAGTTAACAAATGAGTCTCAGAAGCCCAATGATTTTTATTTTATTTTTATTTTTTGAACTTTTATTTTAGAATCAGGGGATACATGTGCAGGTTTGTTACCCGGGTATATTGCATGATGCTGAGTTTTGGAGTATGCATGAATCCAACCTGTCATCCAGGTAGTGAGTATAGTACCCAACAGATAGTTTTTTTAACATTTACTTCACTCCCTTCCCCAATCTTGTATTCCCCTGTGTCTACTGTTCCCATTTTTATGACTGTGCCAACAATAATTTTTTTTCTTTTTTCTTTAAATAGAGATGGGGGTCTCTATTTAAAGAGCCTCCCAAAGTGCTAGGATTACAGGTGTGATCCATTGCACCTGGCCCATGCCAACAATATTTGAAACCCTTATCTGCGTGTACAAGTTTGCTACTGGTTTTGTTTTGCTCATTAATACATCCCAAGCATCTATACCTGGCTTGTAGTACCAGCATGTAGTAGGTGCTTAATAAATATTTATTGAATAAATAAATTAGTTTGACATTAGTTTAACATCTCAAGTAAAACAAAATACCATTCAATTAATTCTCTTCTTCTACTTTTTTCTTTTAAGAGAGACAAATAGTCACACATACATCAGCAGGAGAGGATACAATTTCCTGTGTTTAAGTTTTTATGAGTTACTTTAGTTCAAATGTCACAGAAAATTATATTGAACTCTTGACCAATCTATCTATTTTTTCCATTGGAGTATTGACCCAAATAAGAAATAGCATAAAGGAAAAATTATTTTTTGGCAGAAAAATATTCTCTCTAAATTCTTGTGTGTTTTGTTTTGATTTTTTCCTTAGTGACTGGAGGCCAGTTTCAATCCACTGAAGCACAGATTCCAAATTTTCAATCTGGTTTTCTTGAGTAGTGACTGAGTGCCAAAAATGAAGCAATGACACAACATCACCATCAAGACACTCCCCAGCACGCACACACATGCCAGAGTCCAACACCAAGATACTCCCCAGCACGCACACACACGCCAGAGTCCAGGCCATATTCGGGTGGCTTGCAAGCTTCTTCCCCCCAAGTATTTACTCTCAAAATAATGGTTTTTGTTTTGTTTTGGTTTGGTTTGGTTTGTTTTTTTCCAAATACATTTCTTCCCTATATCTTTAACCAATTCTCATAAAATTTTGTCTAATACACTGGTCAGTGTATTCCAGACCCTAAAAGATAACATAATGAAACTATCTATGACTAAAAGGTAATCAGGATCTTCTACTTATCCTTTTTTCCTCCCTCTTAAACTTTAATTTTGATACATTTGGGAGTGAAATGATGACAATAAATGCAAAGTAATTATTGAAGAAACAGTAATTTTGTATTAGCTTACTGAAAAAAAAAAAAAAGATAACCAAATATATTTTGGCAGCCCCAAACGAGTCACATGTGAAATGCAGTGGGAGAGCAGTGTCCTGAAGGAAAAGGTGGCCTGCTGGACAGCCAAGAGAACAAACATCCACTGCAAGTAATATGAGCTCTAAGTTTGGACTAGGCCTATGTCTGCTCTGAGACTTGGGGCAATTCACTTAATCAGAGCCTTAATCAGCTACGGACTAGCAATATCCATACCCGCTACTTATTTTGTAAATCTCCTTTCTAAAGTTAACTCTATTTATTGTTCCATAATCCCATAAATTCTAGAATCTTTTCCTGTTATAGCCAAGTTGTCTATCATTGACAGAGATATTCACCTGGTTGTTTTGGCTTCTCTAATCCTCCTGGTGAGAACACCTCCAAGGGAGCTTTCAGTGGCATTTAAGGTCACTTGTGCTCTTGGTCCTAGAAACTGCCTTGATAGTGGTTTTAGCTCACATGAGGTAAGTCTTTATTATATGCCCAACCTCTTTATGCATTACTTCATTTAATTGTATACTAATCCTTTGTCATAGGTTATCAGAGTGTTTGATTATAAGTTACAGGAAGAAAAAAAAAAACAAACTCCAATTGACTAAAACAATGGGGCATTTTTTGACTCACATAACAGAGAGTCTAGAGAGAAGGCACCTTCAGGTTTGGCTGATGAATCCTGTATCTCTGCCTTGTCTCCAGGCCCCCAGGTTCTGCCTCTGTCCTGACATCCAGTGTTGGATTCCTCTTCACATCAACTCCTCTCTGTAGGTTGGGCCATCAGACCCTACCTCCTTATTTATGTTGAGCAAAGGAGAGAGAATGCCTCTACAAACAATGAAAAAAGTGAAAAAAAAAATCTTTCTCCTCCTTATAACTTTAGTTAGCTTAACTTTAGTCAGTTGCTTAGCTACTAAACAGTAGCTATTGGGAGGTGGGAAGGAATACTATTGTGTAATCAACTAAGGCTCATACAGAGGATTAGGGTTATCTGAATTGATTTGAATTAATTAGAATTTACTCTCAGAGCTGTGGCAATTCCTTGAACCACACTGATTGCTATAAAGTGGAAGAGGAATAGATTGAATTTTGGGGAGTCAACTACAATGTGTACTACAGGTAAATACTATGAATTTCCAATTCACAGATGAGAAAACTGAGGCATGTGGTGGGAGGGAGGTTATGTAATTTGCCCAGTGTCACAGTTGAACCTAGGCAAAGGCCTATCTCCAGGTCTAAACAATTCAGTGGCCTCCTGTGTACATTTCTGTCTCTCCTTTTTTATCCACTGTGTCACCGAGGCTGGATTGCAGTGGCTCGATCATGGAGATCATGGCTTTCTGTAGCCTTGAACTCCTGGGCTCAAGTGATCCTCCTGCCTCAGCTTCCTGAGTGGCTGGGACTACAGGCTTGACAACACACCCGGCTATCCCGTGTATATTTCTTGAGGGCTTATGATATATAAGAGAAACTCCAAAATAAGAGGACGGTGTGCTAAGGGGAAGACCAAAGCACTATCAAGAGGTAGATTCAATCGTACCCCTTCTATTTACTAGTTGTGTGACTCTTTTGAAAATGAGAATAATAGGCCAGGCTCGGTGGCTCCTGCCTGTAATCCCAGCACTTTGGGAGGCTGAGGCAGGTAGATCACCTGAGGTTAGAAGTTCAAGACCAGCCTAGCCAACATGGCAAAACCCCATCTCTATTAAAAATACAAAAATTAGCCGGGAATGGCAGCATGTGCCTGTAGTTCCGGCTACTCAGGAGGCTGAGGCAGGAGAATCACTTGAACCCAGGAGGCAGAGGTTGCAGTGAGCCGAGATTGCGCTACTGCACTTCAGCCTGGGTGACAGCGAGACTCCATCTCAAAAAAAAAAAAAAAGGAAGAAAAGAAAAGAAAATGGGAATAATAAAACTTACTTACTGGAGCAGTAGCAAAGATTAAAATTTAGACCATGCAGAAGAATGTTTTTCAAAATGACATGACCTGGTAATAGGATAGAAATGCAAATTCCTGTTACTGCACCAGACCCACCAAATAAGAAACTCTGGGGATGGGACCCAGGACTAAGTACTTTAATAAGCACTCCAGGTGATTCTAATGATTGTTAAAGTTTGAGAACCACTGGTCTAACACATTGCCTGGTACATAAGCTCTTATTTTGTTGTTATTGTTCTAAGGACAATGTGTGTATTGACTTCTATTTCCAGGAGTTCATGACTTGGAGAACTAGGGAAAGGAAGACAAAAATTCTTTAATGCAGAACGATACTGATTGATAAATACCTGAATATAATACAGGTTAAATGTGCTTTGAAGATTTATAAAAGGTTGAATTTATTTCCAGCAAGATGACTCTCAGAAGCCTTTATAGATTAGAGAAGAAATGGAAAGGGGTAAAAATAATTAGGAACTATAAAGCAGGGCAGACAAGTTTTCAATGGTTACTGCCAATGTGTATACAGAAAGTTAGCTTGGCCAGGCAAAGTGGCTCATGCTTGTAATATCAGCACTTTGGGAGGCCAAGGCGGGCAGGTCACCTGAGATCAGGAGTTTGAGACCAGCCTGACCAACATGGTGAAACTCTATCTCTACTAAAAATACACAATTAGCCCAGCATGGTAGAGCATGCCTGTAATCCCAGCTACTCAGGAGGCTGAGGCAGGAGAATCGCTTGTACTTGGGAGGCAAAGGCTGCAGTGAGCTGAGATCGTGCCATTGCACTCCATCCTGGGAAACAAGGGTGAAACTCCGTCTCCAGAAAAAAAAAAGTTACCTTGAAATATATCAATACAAACAAATAAATTAGATATTTCATATTGTACAGGAACAAAACCCATCAGAAGATGTCAGAAGATAAGGATTTTTGTCCTGATGCTACACTTACCAGCTGTCCCTCAGTGTTCTACTTCTTAAAAAAAGAGAGGTTGGTCCTGATCCCTGGTTCTTAACCAGGGGAAAATGAAGTGGGGCCAGGGCATGTGCAGACTTAAAAATTACACAGGGGAATGTAGGCACGATCTGTTTAAGAAATACTGGACTAAATGGTCTCTAATCTGTGATTGTAGATTAAAGAATAATCTACAATCTACACCGTGTTGGCCAGGCACGGTGGCTCACACCTGTAATTCCAGCACTTTGGGAGGCTGAGGTGTGTGGATCACATGAGGTCAGGAGTTCGAGACCAGCCTCACCAATGTGGCAAAACCCCCTCTCTACTAAAAATACGGAAAATTAGCTGGGTGTGGTGGTGCATGTCTGTAGTCCCAGCTACTCGGGAGGCTAAGGCATGAGAATTGCTTGAACCTGGGAGGTGGAGGTTGCAGTGAGCCAAAATCACGCCACTGCACTCCAGCCTGGGTGACAGAGTGAGACTCTGTCTCAAAAAAAAAGAAAAAATAAATAATCAAATGTAAAGTTAGCACATAAAGGAGGCATGTACATATTATTAAAATCTATATGACTACCTCTCCTTTTTCATTTTTGGCTCAATATCTGTATCTGAACACCTAATTAATGAAAGGAAAACATTTGTAATATGTAGCAACTAAAATGTCACCTTCTCTGTGGGGATCACAAAGTCCTTGGCAATCACTTCCATACCAGACAAGTGAGTATTGTCCTTCTCCTTTTCCAGATGGATAAACAGAGGCAACCCGAGGATAAAGGCCTTGCTCAGTGTCACACATTTCAGTCACTAAATAAGACACAATGGATGCCAGTATTCTCATCCCCTCACAAATAAAGAGCCTTCAAGCTCTTGCAGTCAACAAGAACTTTTGGAATGATTTCACTGCCTGAAAAGGCAGATACATAGGTGACACCCACAAATAGGAAGAAAATCAACCTGAACCTGAGTGTGTGGGCTCACTGACTCTAAGCAGTAGAGACAGAAGAAAAAGTTTTAGCAAAGAAGGGTTCTGAAAGAAAATAAATATAGCTCGTTATCAAGTGCTGTTTTTACACAGTAAAACATGGGCAAAATTACTCTTCTTTAAGTAGTAATTCTTATCTCTTGATTAAGTCACCTACTCATTCATTTAATAAATACATACTGATTGTTTTCTATGTGTTGAGCACTCATCTCTGTATTGGAAATATAATAATGACCAAAGTTGACAATAGTAATAACAATAATAGCTAATATAGCAGGCACTAATAATTATTTGTTGAGTAATATGTCAAAATTCAGTGTGAACAGCATTCTATTTGGGGCTGCATCCACTGACTATAACACAGCTAATCTATCTGAAATGTTCCAGCTTTGGGCCTCTCTAACAGAAGAAGCTGTTGTTGGGCCTGCCTCTAGTTGGCGATGCATCCACCAATGAGAATGAATTTATGATCGACCACTCTTCCTGTAAAGGCCGCTGGAACTGACAGCATTGTGATTTTCTTTTACTGTTAGTTTTAAATTACTAGAACCAACTCAATTACTAGAACGAACTTTACTTCTTTGTTTCCTACTTATCAAAACAGTAAAAACAACAAGTAAAAGAAATGCCATCTTAATATTGTTTTGATGACAAAACAGTATTCCTTTTAGTTGTGCTTCAAATGGAATAAGATGCAAACAGGCTTGGTATGGTGGCTCACCCCTGTAATCCCAGCCCTTTGGGAGGCCAAGGTGGAAGGATTGCTTGAGGCCATGAGTTTGAGACCAGCCTGCGCAACATAGCAAGACCGTGTCTCTACAAAAAATAAAAAATTAGCTGAGTGTAGTGGTGTGTGCTTGTGGTCCCAGCTACTTTTGAGGCTGAGGAGGGAGAATCTCTTGAGCCCAGAAGGTCGAAGTTGCAGTGAGCCGTGATCGTGCCATTGCTCTCCAGCTTGGACAACAAAGCAAGACCCTATGTCAAAAAATAAATAAATAAAAGACATAAACATATCTGAGATTAACTTTCAGTGGTAAATTTGTTCCATATATGATTTTTAAGGTTAAATGCTTTGGAAGCTTTAAAAACCATTTCAGCCCTTTTAAATGCCAACTTACACTGATGATGCTCTCAGATGTTAGGAAATCTTTTGAGCAGAAAATGGAAGTGGGGGTGTTGAGGCAGGGAGGAGAGTGATGCAATATTCCTTAGTGTCATCCTGTGATTTCACAATTTGTTTTTCAATCTGTTTGGACTTTCAAAAGGGAAGACTCTCATATGTCAACAAGCCCATGAACTGAAGCTTAAAACACTGGAAACAACAACTGTAGAGTTTCAAGTATATGTACATTTATGTATTCATGTTCCTTGATGGGAATGCTGGCTGGTGTGAATGTTCAATCTCCTGAGAAATGTAAATTTTTCTCTGACAGATTTATTAGCTTGCTGTATCTGAGCACATGAGCAAAAACAATGCCTAATAAGAAAACTTTCTCTCTCCTTCAAAGTCAAACTTGGGAGAAATGAAGGGAAATCGAGTTTTCTTTGCTTGACAGTGTTCAACATTCTTGTAGTCAGTGTGCTCATGAAGATTGCAAACTTTTTTTTTTTTTTAGAGCAGCTAGGACTACAGGCGCGCACCACCACACCCAGCTAATTTGTGTATTTTTAGTAGAGATGGGGTTTTAACTATGTTGGCCAAGCTTGTCTCAAACTCCTGACCTCAAGTGATCCATTCGACAGCTCTTTCTTTTTTTTTTTTTTTTTTGAGACAAAGTCTCGCTCTGTCACCCAGGCTGGAGTGCAGTGGTATGATCTCAGCTCACTGCAACCTCCGCCTCCTGGGTTCAAGCAATTCTCATGCCTTAGCCTCCCGAATAGCTGGGACTACAGGTGTGTGCCACCACGCCCAGCTAATTTTTGTATTTTTAGTAGAGACAGGGTTTCATCATGTTGTCCAGGCTGGTCTCAAACTCCTGACCTCAAGTGGTCCGCCCGCCTCGGCCTCCCAAAGTGCTGGGATTACAGGTGTGAGCCACCACGCCTGGCCATCTGGCAGTTCTTTATAGCAGTACGAAAATGGACTAATACACCCCATCTCTCCCAAAATAAAAAAAGTAGATAGGTGTGGTGGCACGCACCTGTAGTTTCAGCTGCTCAAGAGGCTGAGGTGGGGGGATAGCTTGATCCGGGCAGGCAGAAGTTGCAGTGAGCTGAGATTGGACCACTGCACTCCAACCTGGGTAACAGAACAACAACCCATCTCAAAAAAAAAAAAAAATAACTGGGGATTAGATTGAAAAGATATAAAAATAAAGCTATTAATCTCTTACAGTCCCAGATATAAAGTATATGCTCTCATGTTATGAAAAGGTCAATATAATTATGAATAAGAAAAAAGATTATTGTTCTTTTATGTTCACCAGTCTGAGCACCTATGATGAGCACCTATGAGAATCTCTGCTGGTACTTACCAGTTAGCCCACTCACTGTCTCCAAGATTCTGTATGTTTTCCACCCTCTGTTGAGAGCATTTCTGGTACAGTGTACATAGTTAAGTAATAATAGTCAAGGAGAAAAGAAAATAAAGTTCTGACGTGGCATTAAGAATAGCAGCAATAAGACCAGGCGTGGTGGCTCATGCCTGTAATCCCAGCATTTTGGGAGGTCGAGGTGGGTGGATTGCCTGAGGTCAGGAGTTCAAGATCAGCCTGGTCAACATGGTGAAACCCCATCTCTACTAAAAATACAAAAATTAGCTGGGTATGGTGGCGCATGCCTGTAGTCCCAGCTACTCAGGAGGCTGAGGCAGGAGAATTGCTTGAACCTGGGAGGCCGAAGTTGCAGTGAGCCAAGATTTTGCCACTGCATTCCAGCCTGGGCAACAGAGTGAGACTCCTTCTCAAAAAAAAAAAAAAAAGAAAAGAAAAGAAAAGAAGAAGAATAGCAGCAATAAAATAGAGGAAATGACTGGCTCTGAGGCAGATTGTTTAAATAAAATATGTGTGGTGGCTCACTCCTGAATCCCAGCACTTTGGGAGGCCAAGGTGGGTAGATCACTTGAGGCCAGGAGTTCAAGACCAGCCTGGCCAACATGGCAAAACCCTGTCTCTGCTAAAAATACAAAAATTATCTGGGCATAGTGGCATGTGCCTATAATCCCAGTTACTCGGGAGGCTGAGGCAGGAGAATCACTTGAACCAGAAAGGTGGAGGTTGCAGTGAGCCGAGATTGTGGCACTACACTCCAGCCTGGGCAACAGAGCAAGACTCTTTCCCAAAAATAAATAAATAGGCTGGGCGTGGTGGTTCACGCCTGTATTGCCAGTACTTTGGGAGGCCAAGGAGGGCAGATCACTTGAGGTCAGGAGTTCAAGAGCAGCCTGAGCAACATGGTGAAACCCTGTCTCTACTAAAAATACAAACTTAGCCAGGCGTGGTGGCACATGCCTGTAGTCCCCCCTACTTGGGAGGCTGAGTCAAGAGAATCACTTGAACTCGGGAGATGGAAGTTACAGTGAGCTGAGATGGCACCACTGCACTCCAGCCTGGGTGACAGAGTAAGACCCTGTCTCTGCTTTTTAAAAAGAAGAAGAAAAGAAAAAAAATGTACTGTATATTTCAAAATAGCTAAAAGAGAGGATTTTAAATATTTTTACCACAAAGAAAATGATAAATATTTGAGGTGATGTATATGCTAATTAACCTGATTTGATCATTCATATATGTGTGTGCGCATATATATATATATATATATATATATATATATATGGAAACAGCACACTTTACTCCATAAATATATACCTGTACAATTATTATTTGGCAATTAAAAATTAAAAAACTGGCCGGGTGTGGTGGCTCAGGCCTCTAATCCCAGCACTTTGGGAGGCCAAGGCAGGCAGATCACAAAGTCAGGAGATCAAGACCATCCTGGCTAACACGGTGAAACACTGTCTCTACTAAAAAATACAAAAAATTAGCCGGGCGTGGTGGTGGGTGCCTGTAGTCCCAGCTACTCGGGAGGCTGAGGCTGGAGAATGGCGTGAACCCGGGAGGCGGAGCTTGCAGTGAGCCGAGATTGTGCCACTACACTCCAGCCTGGGCAACAGAGCAAGATCCGTCTCAAAAAAATTAATTAATTAATTAAATAAAATAAAAATAAAAAACTATTTAAATAAGTAAATTAGCCAACTAAATACAAGTAATATAAATAGATTATATGGAAATAAAAGCCAAATTAAGTGTTTTATTGCCAGTTCCAGAAGCAAGCCTTTAAGACAATCTTTATTATTGTAGGACCCATAACACTATGCATTCTCTCAATATTCTGAGATTTTTCTCATCTTTACCATACTACATTGTATTAATGGGTGCAACAAATATGTTTATTTACTTCAAGTCATAGTCAACTTTTCCATATAGATTAAGAATTATCCTTTTTTTTTTTTTTCTGGGACCAGGTCTTGCTCTGTCCCCAGGGCTGATAGCTCACTGCAGCCTGGAACTCCTGGGCTCAAGTGATCCTCCTGCCTCAGCCTCTAGAGTAGCTAGAACTATGCCCAATCCTCCTGCCTTGGTCTCCCTAAGTGCTGCAATTACAGGTATGAACCACAACACCGGACCTAGATTATGAATTATTCTTGTATACAGCTATGGCCTTGTCAGAGGAGTTTGAACCAAAGCAACTCCATCTTGAATAGGAGCTGCGTAAAATGAGGCTAAACCTACTGGGCTGCATTCCCAGATGGTTAGGCATTCTAAGTCACAGCATGAGATAGGAGTTTGGCTCAAGATACAGGTCATAAAGACCTTGCTGATAAAACAGCTTGCAGTAAAGAAGCCAGCTAAATCCCACCAACATCAAGGTGGTGATGAGAGTGACCTCTGCTCATCCTCACTGCTACACTCCCACCAGAGCCATGACAGTTTACGAATACCATGGCAACATCAGGAAGTTACCCTATGTGGTGTAAAAAGGGGAGGCATGAATAATCCACCCCTTGTTTAGCATATCATCAAGAAATAACCATAAAAATGGGCAACCAGCAGCCATCAGGGCTGCTCTATGGAGTAGCCATTCTTTTATTCCTTTACTTTTTTTTTTTTTGAGATGCAGTCGCACTCTGTCACCCAGGCTGGAGTGCAGTGGCACAATCTTAGCTCACCGCAACCTCCGCCTCCTAGGTTCAGGCAATTCTCCTGCCTCAGCCTCCCGAGTAGCTGGGATTACAGGCATGCACCACCACGCCCACCTAATTTTTTTTATTTTTAGTAGAGATGGGGTTTCGCTGTGTTGGCCAGGCCGGTCTCGAACTCCTGACATCAGGTAATCCACCCGCCTCAGAGTCCCAAATTGCTGGGATTACAGGCATGAGTCACCCCACCCAGCCTTTTACTTTCTTAATAAGCTGACTTTCACTTTATAGATTTGCCTCAAATTCTTTTTGTGTGAGATCCAAGAACCCTCTCTTGGGGTCTGAATCATACCCCTTTCGGGTTACAGCCTATCACAGCATTTTTAATCCTATGCACTTAACACTTCTGTATAGAAAAAGAACATCACACTAGAATTTTGATGACAATAGATGACAATATGATGAATCTTATTATATGAAGTGTTAAACTTATTAGAGCAGATATGGTACTAAAAATAAAATCCCACCTCCTCTAAAGTTCTTCTAGTCTCCAAGGCCATCATTTTTCATAAATACTGCAATATTTCTTCTACATCTTGCTAGTCTAAAAGTATTAATACTCTTTGCAAAGTGCACAGCTCATTACTAGGTAGTAACTTAAGCAAAGGAAAAAAGCTGGCTGGATCAATGATTTGTCACCAAGGTCTGAATCACAGGAGTTTGGTCTCTGGTGTATCCTCTTGGTCCAGAAAGTAGGAGGTGGTGGTCCAGTGAGCCAGGAATTGCCTGGCAGCATCAACATCCTGGCTGTTACTTGGGATAGGTTGCATTTTTTGGCTTTTGCTCTTGAACCAAAAGTTCAAGTGTGAAAACCAGGACTGACGCTTCTCCTCTGCTGAAGCCAGGTTACCCCCAGTTCAGCCAGAAGTTAGCTTGAGGGTGGAGTGGCCCAGCATTCCAGGAGTGGCACATGTCAGCAGGAGCTGTGCCAGGGCTGTGTCCCAACCGCAGAGCTGGGCTTGCCACACATCCTTCACTTCATTAGTATAGTGGATTTCTGGGTGACTGGGCAGAGACACTATTGAGACAGAATTGAGATGTGATTTACATGCTGGGTCTATTATCTCAGCTTTGGGAGGCACATATTAGATGAAAGTCAGGCTGTGGCCTGCAGAAATTAGCCCCCGTCTCCACTGTACCTGGAAATGAACGCTTTTGTTTCATATTTCTTAAGAGTAAAGAGCTCATGTTTCTCTCTTTGCTTCTTTTTTCTTTTCTTTTCTTTTTGTTTTTGAAATGGAGTCTTGCTCTGTCGCCCAGGCTGGAATGCAATGGTGCAATCTCGGCTCAGTGCAATCTCCACCTCCCGAGTTCAAGTGATTCTCCTGCCTCAGCCTCCGGAGTAGCTGGGATTACAGGCACGCGCCACCAGGCCCCGCTAATTTTTGTATTTTTAGTAGAGACAGGTTTTCACCATGTTGGCCAGGCTGGTCTCCACCTCCTGACCTCAAGTGATCCACCCACCTCGGCCTCCGCAAGTGCTGGGATTACAGGCATGAGCCACTGTGCCCAGCCTCTCCCTTTGCTTCTTTTGCATAACCAAATACTTTCAGAGCAGTGGTTCCCACACTGCATCAGAAAGAGGCAAACACATCCCAATCTCCCCTTCTGACATAACCTATCCCCTTATAATGCAGGCATTTGATATTCTCTTTAATACAAATAAGTTTTTAGAAAACTACAATGATAGATGTAAATGGAAAAGAAAAGCATTTTTTTTCTCTCTACTCTCACACTCAACACAGAACACTTAAGCGAGGTGCAGTGGCTCACGCCTGTAATCCCAGTACTTTGGGAGGCCGAGACAGGCGGATCACCTGAGGTCAGGAGTTTGAGACCAGCCTCGCCAACATGGTGAAAACCTGTCTCTACTAAAAATATGAAAATTAGCCAGGTATGTTGGTGAGTGCCTGGAATCTCAGCTACTTGGGAGGCTGAGGTGGGAAAATTGCTTGAACCCAGGAGGCGGAGGTTGCAGGGAGCTGAGATTACACCACTGCACTCCAGCCTGGGCAACAGAGCTAGACTCCATCTCAAAATAAATAATAAAAAAAAAAGAATACTTATTTGACTAGACATGTAGGATTTTTGCCACACACCAAGTAATTTTCCAGCACATACCAACTGGGTGTCTTCTAATTCAATTAGGACACTGTCTACTTGGAGATAGTGTCAGATCTCACAGATTTGGGTCTCCATTTCATGAGACTGGTGCCTATTTCAAATGTCAATCACAAGTCCTAGGTTGTGACCTGTGCTTCTGGCCAACCTGCTATAAATCAGGGTCCCCACAGTCCCCCTAACGCCCCACTTTGGGTTCAATAATTTAGATAACACAGGGAAACACTTTACTTGTGTTTACTGGTTAATTATAAAGGATGTTACAAAGGATATAGGTGAATAGCCCAATGAAGTTATGGATAGGACAAGATATGGAGGAGGCAAGGTATCGGGGGACATGGAGCTTCCATGCCTTTTCTGGGCACACTGATCCCAGCACCTTCACATCTTCAGCAACCCAGAAGATCACCAAATCTTTTTATTCAATAATTTTTATAGAACTTGGCCGGGCGCGGTGGCACACACCTGTAATCCCAGCACTTTGGGAGGCCAAGACGTGCAAATTACTGAGCTCAGGAGTTCCAGACCAGCCTGGGCAACATGGCAAAACTCCCTCTCTACAAAAAATACAAAAAGTAGCCAGTGGCATATGCTGGTAGTCCCAGCTACTTGTGGGGCTGAGGCCAGAGGATTGCTTGAGCCCAGGAGGTTGAGGTGCCAATGCAAACACCTGGGTAACAGAGCATCCTTTTTTAAAAAAAAAAAATGGAGTCTCACTCTGTTGCCCAGGCTGGAGTGCAGTGGCGCGATCTCAGCTCACCGCAAACTCTGCCTCTAGGGTTCACGCCATTCTCCTGCCTCAGCCTCCCGAGTAGCTGGGACTACAGAGGCCCGCCATCACGCCCGGCTAATTTTTTGTATTTCTAGTAGAGACAGGGTTTCAACGTGTTAGCCAGGATGGTCTTGATCTCCTGACCTCGTGATCCACCTAGCTCGGCCTCCCAAAGTGCTGGGATTACAGGCGCGAGTCAGCACGCCTGGCCTCCGAGCATCTCTTAAGAAAAAGAAAAGAATTTTTATATTAGTAGATCTTTATCTCCAGCCTCTCCCCAACTTTCCTGGAGGTTGGAGGTTCCAAACCTCTAATCACTAGGTCTTTCTGCTGACCACTCCCATCCTGAGACTGCCCGAGGGGCCCCACCCTAATTCACCTCATTAGCATGAACTCAGGTGTTATCAAAGCTGCATATTGCAAATAACAAAAAAGCACTCCTGTCACTCCAGAAATTCCAAGTGTTTCAGGAGCTCTGTGACAGGAATCAGAGACATAGACCATGTATATTTCTTTTTTTGTTTGTTTTTGATATGGGATCTCACTTTGTCACCCAGGCTGGAGTGCAGTGGCGTGATCTTGGTGCACTGCAACCTGTACCTCCCTGGTTCAAGCAATTCTCCTGCCTCAGCCTCCCAAGCAGCTGGGATTACAAGCATGTGCAACCACACCCAGCTAATTTTTGTATTTTTCGTACAGATGGGGTTTTGCCATGTTGGCCAGGCTGGTCTCGAACTCCTGACCTCAGGTGATCCGCCCACCTGGGCCTCCCAAAGTGCTGGGATTACAGGCGCGAGCTACTGCATCCGGCTGACCATATATATTTTATATTATACCATAGACTATACTTATGGGGGAAAAAACTGAGTTGTAAAAATGAAGACAAAGTTCACCTCACCAATCGTTTTCACCTTCACTCTCTGGAGGTAATATTACACTGAATTTTTTGTTTTTTAAGAGACCAGGTCTTGCTCTGTCGCCCAGGCTGGAGTGCAGTGGCATGGTCATGGCTCACTGCAGCCTTGACCTCCTTGGCTAAGTGATCCTCCCACCTCAGCTTCCCAAGTAGCTGGGACAGGCGTGTGCTGCTGCGCCCAGCAAATTTTTTAAATTTTTGTAGAGACGGGGGCTTACTATGTTGCCTAGGCTGGTCTCAAACTTCTGGGCTCAAGTAATCCACCAGCCTCTGCCTCCCAAAGTGCTGGGATTATAGGCGTGAGCCACCATATCTGTTCTACTGTGAACATTTTAATGTGTTTTTTTGGACTTTTTCTAAATACATGCAAATATTATGTATGTAGGTATGTCTGAGTTTTTTGGGTTTTGTTTTGTTTTTACAAAAATGAGATTTCAATGTTCTCTTTACTTGTCAAAATGTGTGTGCAGATGACAGTTGGAAGAGATGCCAGATGTAAATTTACCTCCCTCCCCTCCCTCTGAGGCTTGCTTGCCCCATGCTGTGGTTCTGTGTGACCTCATGACAGGAGAGATTTCTGTGGCATTCAGGCAATGCAGCAGGGGTCTGGCCACTGACACAACAAACTTGTGGTTTTCAAATACAAGTCATACAGCCAAGACACAGGTGCTTGGGTTTCAGGGCCTGGCATAGTCCAGTGTCTGATTGATTTTTAACCAGCTAGTGAATAAATTTGTAATAAATGATCCAGCTGAAGATCTCAATGATTTAACTGCAATGAAATTGCAATGAAACTTCCCAGTGGCTAAAATTTTGTGGTTCACATTTGCACTGCTGTTAGCACAAAAGGTAATTATGATGTGTGTGAAAAATGGTAGTCTGATTAGTTGTTCACACACACAAAGGAGTGCTTTTCACACATCTTAATTGCTTTTCTGCTAAAGAAAGTGTAACTGCAAGTCATAAAATTATAACAGCCTCTAACACGTTAATTCCATTTCATCAGCGGATGATGTATCTTGAATTTTGGTGAAAAGTGACTTTAGAACTCATATTGATGAGGAAAGTTGAGGTTAAGATACTGCTCTCATAGAAGACAATTATAAAAAATTATAGTTCATACTCATAAATACACACGTCTCTGTACAGAAGTATCGTGAATTACTATTTTGGGATAGTGTCTTAGGTTTTACTTTCTTGCATTTCGTTACCCACATGGACCAGTAGATTAACAGAAAATATGGCCCCAGAAAGAAGGAGGATACAGGCTAAAGAAGTAAATCAAAGAACTCGATAGCTTTTCTGAAGGCTAAGGTAGAGAAAATCATCTTGAAATTCAACACTTAGAAGAGAAGAAAGGGTTTTAAAGCTGCATAAAACTAAGAAGAACCTGAAACAGGCAGAACACCAGAGTTTCTATCAGAGAGTAGGTAAAATGGCTAGTTTTTTCACCACTAAGAAAGGAGATAAAAGTTTCTCCAGCTTAAAGGAGGGAGGGATTAAAAGAGACCTGATTAGTGTCTACATGCTGCTTGCATCCCAGAGATGGGCAGCAGGAACCCCAAAAAGCTTTAAGAAGATGGAGAATATGGGGAGTTTTGTTTCTATTCTCATTGTATAGCCAGGGGAAACTGCAAGTCTTTCAGAGAAATGCCTTGTCCAGCACAGTGGATGAGGAAAGATCTGAGTGGGTGGAACTGAGAGGAGCCTCACCCCTATGTCAGAGGCAGAGGCGTTTAAACCATAGCAACTCCATCTTGAATAGGGGCTGGGTAAAATAAGGCTGAGAGCTGCTGGGCTGCATTCCCAGTAAGTTAGGCATTTTAAGACACAGGATGAGATAGGAGGTCATAAAGACCTTGTTGATAAAACAGCATGCGGTAAAGAAGCTGGCTAAATCCCACCAAAACCAAGATGGCAACAAAAGGGACCTCTGGTAGTCCTCACTGCTCATTATACGTTAATTATAATATATTAGCATGCTAAAAGACACTCCCACTAGCACCATGACACTTTACAAATGCCATGGCATTTACCATATATGGTCTAAAATGGGGAGGAGCCCACAGTTCCAGGAATTGCTCACCAGGTACCCAGAAAATTCATGAATAATCTACCCCTTGTTTAGCATATAATCAAGAAGTTACAGGAAGTATAAGCAGCTGCGCAGCCCATGTCTGGCTATGGAGTAGCTATTCTTTTATTTATTTACTTTCTTAATGAACTTCCTTTCACTTTACTCTATGGACTTGCCCCCAGTTCTTTCTTGCACAAGGTCCAAGAACCCTCTCTTGAGGTCTTGATGCGGACCTCTTTCCAGTAACACCTACGTAGGGCAGGAGGGCATCCATCAGATCCCACAGTTCTTAAGAGGAGCACCAGGGTAGCTGGGAGTAGCTAAGGGACCCAAAGGAGTTTGGGGTAGACTAAGGAGGTTACATCTACCTCTGCAGTGTATGGACTGTGACATGAGCGGTGGAGGCCAGTAGGGCCGAGTGGATTTGTTTCTACTTCAACAGGGACCGGCAAGGATAGGGAAGGATAGAAGGCAAAGGGCCCCTTCCCACCTGATATCAGAATGATATACATATCCTCACTCTACTCTTCCCCCTGCTATCCCATCCCCCAAAAAGGGGATGGAAGAAGGCAGAGAAAAGGTAATCTCGAGCTAAGTGAGAATTACCCAAAAGAGAATGAATTTTCAATCAGTAAAATGCAGTTTTCCACTGGCAGTGGAAACTACTGGACTCTAGAGTTAGGTTAAGGTCGGTGATAGAGGTACAGAGCTACATGCTAGGATACCTGAGTCTATGTCTGGACTATCCATGCCTGCTGTGTAGACACACACAGGTACCTGCACGACTAAATGTGTCTGTGTCTTTTTTTTTTTTTTTTTTTTTTGAGACAGAGTCTTGCTGTGTCGCCCAGGCTGGAGTACAGTGGTGCAATCTGGGCTCACTGCAATCTTCACCTCCTGGGTTCAAACAATTCTCCTGCCTCAGCCTCCTGAGTAGCTAGGATTACAGGTGCATGCCACCACGCCTGGCTACTTTATGTATATTTAGTAGAGATGGGATTTCACCACATTGGTCAGGCTGGTCTTCAACTCCTGACCTTGTGATCTGCCCGCCTCGGCCTCCCAAAATGCTGGGATTATAGGCGTGAGCCACTGTGCCCAGCCATCTGTGTCTTTTTAAAACATAAGCCTTGGAGGCAAACAGACCTAGCTTGAATCTTGGCTTATCCACTTAATAGCTGGATGGCTTTGGGCAAATTTCTTAATCCAAAATTCTGCTTTTGAAAACTGGTAATAAGAATAGTGCCTCAGAGGATTGTTATAAAGATTAAATGAGATACATAGTTCACCCAACGACCTGGCACATAGTAAGCCATTAATATATGTTATTTATCATGATCATGATTATTATAATTATAATTATAGAGTAGTAAATAATTATTATTATAATTTTATGTTTGCTCATTCTGACAGTGAGGCTGAACTGTTGACTGGCAGGATATAATTACCTGTTGTGCTTATGGCATGTCACATTCAGCTACCAAAATTGTACATGCACAGAGGCTAAGAAAACATTCATGACAGGTCTTTATTGTCAGTGTATAAGATGTATCCCCTTTTATATTTTTGTTTATATGTTTAATTCTTTATTTTTGAGAATTTGCCCTTAGGGAGGGATATGCACCTCTAGATTTGGGGAAATTTGAGGTAAAATTTCTTTTGAGCCAGAATAGAAACTTAAATTTTAAATGAGGAAAGTCTGTTCCCCAGCCCCACTTCTCATTACTTAGGTGGAACCAGGATGGGTGGGCTCAAGGACGTTTCTTTCCTCTTTGCCAAGGTCTTCAGAGGCACTGCACACTTGGTCCTTAACCTATCATCCGTTGAAGAGCACTGCTTCATGCTGGGCTTTCGTCCAAGGCTCCTGTAGGATGTCTGGTCCTGAGGTGGGCTTATTAATGCAACAGCACTTATATAGTAACCAAGCAGTTGTTATATTTGAACATTTCTGATAAGAGAGCAGTATCTACAGCAAAATCTCTGGGGCTTCCTTTTGATTCTCCAAGGTGCTTCTGGCCTAAGCATCTTAATGGTGGTTTGGCAATCCTGGTTCCACCCTCTATGCTAACAAGGTGCAAAGCCTGCAGTAGTCCCCATCCCCAGGTAATAAAAAACTCAGTCATAGTCTCCAGTGGTCTATGCTGTATTTGGAAGAAGGGCATAAAGTCTTTTCCTGATTTCTGAGTGGCCTCAAAAAAGCATCCAAAAAAAAAAGCATCTATCTGTATAAGGGAGATAATCATTCTGTGATAGTTCGCCTCAAGAGGTATTATATAAAGCTAAAGATTATAGGCTGAGGCCAGACATAGTTGCTCACACCTGTAATCCCAGCGCTTGGGAGGCCAAGATGGGAGGATGGTTTGAGGCCAGGAGTTGAAGGCCAGCCTGGGCAACATAGAAAGACCTTGACTTCACACAAAACAAACAAACAAAAACAAAAACAATACAGGTTGAAGGGCAAACTATGCAATGCTATGATTATCATTATTCAGATAATGGTTAACTGAATGTAAATGATTCATCATATGAATAAAACCATTAACTGCTTTGTGTGTTGTTTACTACAGCCATTCCCTATATCAATGTAAAGTCTGGATAGCAGCATCTTAACAGTGGACTTCTGAATTTTTATTTTTATTTTTATGTTTTATTTTGTAGAGATGGTCTCCCTATGTTGCTTAGGCTAGAGTGCAGTGGTTACTCACAGGCATGATCCCACTTCTAATCAGCGTGGGACTTTTTACCTGCTGTTTCCAATCTGGGTGGGTTCATTTCTCCTTAGGCCACTTGGTAGGCCCAGCTCCAGTATCGACACTGATGGGCATACATAAGGCATTACAGGCCAGAACTGGACCCAAGTGATCCTCCAACCTCAGTCTCTCAAGTAGATGAGACTACAGGTGCTTTCCACCATCGCTGGTAACTCCTAGATTTTATTCCAGATAGGTCTTTAATTCATTTGGGTCTCTGAGTCTTTCATTCCTGGGTCCTGAAACAAAGATCCTCCTTTTCCATTAGAAAGGAGGTTCTCTCCTACAAGGCATGCAGTTTAGAGGCAGGCGCAGGCTTAGCCAGATGAAAAAGGACAGATGCACATGGCTAAATGTCAGCTGAATTAGGCCTGCCCTGGTTCACACAGATCTTTTACGTAATCTGATTATCTTGTTGAAAAGAAAAGCTGTTTGTACATCAACATTTGGCAAGTATTAATAAGCATACTGTGTTTTCTTACAGTTATTAATATAATAAGAAGAAATGTTCCTTGGCAAGTACATATGGCATTAAGAGTATCCAAAATTCCTGTATTCTTCAAAACTTATCTAGAAATGTTAGTGAATCATTCTCCCCATCACATTTAACAAAAGCATATATTATGCACACTCGTGGAATAAACACATACATGGTTGTAAATAATCACTTTAAGGCAACTCTGATATTTGAAGCCATGGGAAAGAGTCTGGCCTTTTTTTTTCTATTACTTGTTTCCTCAGGGTCCATGGAAATGCTGAGGAATTGCTTAAGTTTTCATCTGCTGGGATGAATGCCAACTTTATGCTCTGGTCTGGCTGTAGAAAATCCCAGAGTAGATCTAAGAATATCTTGGTTGGGGGCAAATAATGAGGTCATCATTGTCATCATCCTTCCAGTGCAGATCCTGGCCTTCCATATTTTTTCTTTTCCACAGAGGGCTCTCAGGTAGGCTCTCATCACCTAATGGGTCAAGGCCTGCCTGGCTCCACAAGGTACCCCGCAAGGACATTTCTGGGGCTTATTCAAGGAAAGAACATAGGCAAAGATTGCCTCAAGTGCCCTAGAATTTCTCTCTTGACTTTGTTCCTTAAAGTAGAAAACAAACTTCTGTAGGCAGGAGGCTGTGGCAATTATTTTACGTAGTTCATGGGCTATAACTTCAGAGATTCTTCCCTGAGGAAAACTGGGTACTGTGGAGATTCAAATTGTAATCTGAACTCAAGATAGGGAGATATGTTTATTCTTCCTTGGAGATAGCGATGATGTGAATTGTGTCATTATTTCTTTTGGATTTGATTAAAAGGGAATATATTTTATATTCTTCTACTTTTCTCAATAACATCCCTATAAAGGCTGGTTCATATATTATAGTGATTGCCACCCCTCACACCCTGGTGTGTTCCTACATTTACGTTATTGAAATCCCTAACAACCTTCTCACCCACTTTTGCTTAGAACTGGTGAAGCACAGAGGTACGTCAGAAAATTTTTCTTTTTTTTCTTTTTCTTTCTTCTTCTTTTTTTAAATACAGGGTCTCACTCTGTTGCCCAGGCTGGAGTGCTCTGTTGCCCAGGTACATTTATGGCTCACTGTAGCCTCCCTACTGAGCTCAAGCCATCCTTGCTCCTCAGCTTCCTGAGTAGCTGGAACTACTGTAGGCATGCACCACCATACCTGGCTAATTTTTGTATTTTTTGTAGAGATGGGGTTTTGCCATATTGCCCAGGCTGGCCTCCAACTCCTGGTCTTAAGCAATTCTTCCACGTCAGCCTCCCATAGTGCTGGTATTGCAGGCATGAGCCACTGTGCCCAGACAGAAAAGTTTTCTAAACTAGAAAATAAACTCATTTATTTATTCAACAAACACAATCAACTACATTCACTGTTGAATTATACTCAATACGAATTAACTCACTGAAATCAACTAAAACAATCCCCTTCTGAATTTTTGTTGATAAAATAGATACCTGAAGCATATGATAAGGGAAAGAGAGCTAGTCTTGGAATCCAGTCCTACCTCTACCAATTCCTAGATGTGAAATTCTTGGTGAAATATTTAACTTTTCTCAGTTATAGTCTCTCTATAAAAATGAAGAGTGCAGAAATGAAGCAGAATAGTATAAGATCTCAAGCTTTGCAGTTGGACGGGCCTGGATTCCAATCCAGTTCTTTTCTGCTGCTTATTAGTTGAGTGTCCTTGGGAAAGTTACTTAAACTTCTTATTTCTCAGTTACTTTATCTGTGAAAATAGGAATGATACCACCTCACCTCACAAAGCTGTATTTCCAAGGATCAAATTTTAAAATGTTGACAAAGTGTTTAGTATCTATCTGGCTCATAACAGTATTCATTAAGCTGTGTTTTTAAAAAAAAAATCTGGGAAGAACTTTTGGGATCACAAAGTATAAACTCTTTTACTTTTCTTTGTGTGTGTGTTCGTGTGTCCCTACCCGTCCCTGCACCGACTCCTGTTACTTTTCAAAAGGAAAAACGGAGCCCGAGCAGCTAAGGATCTTGCCCACGGTCACTGAATTAGCAATGCTTGTGATGAACATTCCCAAAGCTTTTATGAGCTCTACGATCTGGAATAGGTCTCTTTGTGATCTGTTCTCCTACTTGCTAAATATATGAAATATTAAACTTCATAATCACAAAGTTTCTGTATCCATCTAAAAATGCCAAAGATTGCATTGCTATTTATTGAGCGCCAATGTTCAGAGAATGTTGCTACCTATTGTGGATGCTATAACATGCATGTAAGAATTTGTCTCTTGTCTCAAGAGTGCTTACAGTTTAGTTGGAGAGACATTTATATAGACACTTATGAGACATGTAAACCACTGACATAGCCACTTGACATGGCTGAAGTTCAAATGTCAAAAGGATAAGACATGAACAGCAATGTATGCCACAAGGTCCTGCAGAGGGTGAGATCCATTTGGCTTGAGGTGTTAGTGATCAGTCTTCAAAGAGAAAATAGGAGTTTTATCTGTGCATTAAGGCTGAGTTGGATTTGAATACAGAGACAGGAGAAGGGAAGTCATCATGTGCCTTGAACTAGTGCAAAAGTACAGAGGTAAAGATAGTCACCGTTAAGCGTCCCACGATTTAGTACTGAAAATTGCAGAGATTACTGAATGAATTTATTAAAGGAAATAATTCTGAGTCTGTCAATACAGTCATGCATTGCTTAATGATGGAGATACATTCTGAGAAACAAATCCATAGGTGATTTCATCATTGTGTGAACACCACAGAGTACACAGACCTAGATGGTATAGCCTACTATACACCTAGGCTATATAGTATAGCTGTGAAAGGAAAATAAAATCTTGGAATACTAAACTCACTATGCCAAAGGGAGAAGTTAAGCTTGGGAAAGAAGTCATGCAAAAACTGCCTTCCTTTTGCTCCTAAACAGCTGCAGCACAGAGGGCCACATAGCTCCCCACGTGGCCTCCCTCACAAACTGCTCACAATGAAATTCTTTGTGGGCCCAAGTCTTTATCCTAAAACAGAGTTCTGTGGAATCACATCCTGATAACGTAAATTAACAGTTTACCTTCACAGGTACTGGACAAATACAAGATTAGAAATCATCCCTCTGCCCACCCTGAGAAATATTCATGTTTGACTTCTGATATGGTCTGTGTCCCCACCCAAATTTCATCATGAATTCCTACCTGTTCTGGGAAGGGCCCTGTAGGAGGTAATTGAATCCTGAGGGCGGGTCTTTCCCATGCTGTTCTCGTGATAGTGAATAAGTCTCATGAGATCTGACAGTTTTAGAAGAGGGAATTTCCCTGCAAAAGCTCCTTTTTATGCCTGCTGCCATCCATGTAAGACATGACTTGCTCCTCCTTTCCTTCCGCTATGATTGTGAGGCTTCTCCAGCCATTGTGGAACTGTAAGTCCATTAAACTCTTTTTCCTGTATAAATTACCCAGTCTCAGGTATGTCTTTATCAGCAGCGTGAAAACAGACTAATACAATTTCTTTCTCTACTCTATGTTTATACTACATAAAATGCAGATTTACTTTGTGAGAGGAATGTATAATTGACTGTTGCTCTTTCCCCACCTGCCTGCTCTTTCTCCTTTAAAAACTGAAGTCCTAAAGACTCTTTGGAAAAAACACAGTCCACAGATTCTAGTGTAACTTGTGTCTCTTTTTCCTGGTGTGTCCTCAGTCTGAGTAAAATAAGCCTCTAAATTGATGAGATTTGTCTCACTTTTTGGTTTACATAGCCTATTGCTCCTAGGCTACAAAGCTATACAGCATGTTACTGTACTGAATACTATAGGCAATTGTAACACAGTTGTGTTTGTATCTCTAAACATATCTAAACATAGAAAAGGTAACACATTGTGCTACAACCTTACAATGACTATGATGTCACTAAAAAATTTTCAGCTGCATCATAATCTTATGGAACCATCATCATGTATGGAGTCTGTTGTTTCATTTACAAAGGAGTTGTGTTCTTTTGGTGGGGGGTAATTTTGAAACAAATATCTTTCTCTGTTTTTTGGGGTTTTGGGTATTGTTTTGTTTTGTTTTGTCTTGTTTTGAGTCAGGGTCTTACTCTGTCATCCAGGCTGGTGTGCTGTGGTGCTATCATAGCTCACTACAGCCTCAACCTCCTGGCCCCAGGAGATTCTCCTGCCCTGGCCTTCCAAAGTGTTAGGATTACAGGCATGAGCCACCGTGGTAGCTGAAATCCCTTTCTTTGAAGCACATTAGAGAATGAAAAAGAAAAGAGAGAAAAAAATAAGAGAAAGAATAAAAAGAAATTGCTGTGTCCTGAGTCATGTCCCTCCTGGTAAATAAAATTTATGGGAAGCCATTATTTTGGACTGAGGTCCCATAGTAGGGCCCAATAGACCAAACCACATAATCAAGCTAAAACCTTAAGGAAGCAGATAAATCCCCAAACACACCAGTTTTTCTTGAAAACAAGAGGTTCACTCACAGCCATCACTTGGAAAAGACCCAGTCAACTTGAGTCACCCTAATAAGGAAGTCCTTCTGCTTTAAACCTTATAAGAAAAGTAACCTGAAGTAACCTGATGTTAACCATTCTGCTTTTTTCTATATTTGTTTCCTTGTTCTCATATAAAAACTAACTGTTGCAATGAGTGCTGATCATGCCACTGTACTCCAGCCTGGACAACAGAGTGAGACCCTTTCTCAAAAAAAGCAAAAAACAAAAAAGTAACTGTTTTGCTAAACCCAGTAGAGCACTCATTATTTTATAGAATAAAATGCTGCCTGATTCTAGAATCCCAAATAAAAGCCAGTTTGATCTTTAAATTTGTTTTAATTTTGTCTTTTAACACCGTCAAAAGTCATATATTGAAGCCTAAAACCCGCCCCTTCTCTCTCTCCTCACCACCCTGTGTGTACACAAAGAAGAGATCATTTGAGCATCCACCTGCAAGCGAAGAGAAGAGGCTTTAGAATGAAACCTTCCTTGCTGGCACCCTGATCTTTCCAATCTCCAGAACTGTGAGAAGTATATCTCTATTGCTTAAGCCACACAGTCTGTGGTACTTTGTTATGGCAGCCCAAGCTGAGTAAGACAAATACTATTTCAAGAAAGTGACTTATTACTGGGTGCGGTGGCTCACACCTGTAATCCTAGCACGTTGGGGGTTGGAGACAGGCAGATACTTGAGATCAGGAGTTCAAGACCAGCCTGGCCAACATGGTGAAACCCCACCTCTACTAAAAATACAAAAAATTAGCTGGGGGTGGTGGTGTGTGCCTGTCCTAGCTACTTGGGAGGCTGAGGCAGGAGAATTACTTGAACCCAGGAGGCAGAGGTTGCAGTGAGCTGAGATCATGTCACTGCACTCCAGCCTGGACAACAGAGCAAGACCCCATCAAAAAAAAGAAAAAGAAAAAAAGAAAATGACTTAGTGACTTATCTCTTATGAGCTGCTTGGGGAAGTTGATGGGAGATTGGTCACTAACTTCTATCAACAGCTAAGCTCATCAGCCTTATATCTGGACAGAACCAAATTTCTGTCTCAGCTAAATAATGCATTCCTGTATGGCAAAGGGGCAATAGTACAATAGTATATCCTCTCTGCCCAGTGACTGCTATGGTACTTTGTCAAGGAGCTCTCTCCGAGGATGGGAGAAAAGCGTTCTTGCCTGGTTGTTTTGCATCACCTACCACTTTTCTGGCCAACTGATGATTGTAGGGCATTCCTTTTATTTAGATTTCCTTTATTTCTTTCATCTCTCCACTCATAATCAAAGAACATTAAGTACTTGCTCAGGTGTTTTAGACTCTTGTCTAAGGATCTTGCCCAAGGTCACTGTATTAGTCTGTTTTCACACTCTATATATAAAGAAATACTTGAGACTGAGTAATTTATAAGAAAAAAAAGAGGTTTAATTGACTCACAGTTTCACATGGCTGGGTGGGGGGCCTCAGGAAACTTACAATCATGGCAGAAAGTGAAGGGGAAGCGAGGACCTTTTTCAGAAAGTGGAACGAAAGAGAAGAATGAAGGAGGGGCTACCAAACACTTATAAAACCATCAGATCTCATGAGAACTCACTATCACGAGAACAGCATGG
Source organism: Homo sapiens (assembly GCF_000001405.40). Taxonomy (NCBI): domain Eukaryota; kingdom Metazoa; phylum Chordata; class Mammalia; order Primates; family Hominidae; genus Homo; species Homo sapiens. Next base: position 91,282,500 of record NC_000005.10, on the reverse strand, counting down.
GGGAAACTGACTCCATGGTCCAATCCCCTCCCTCCCTCGATACATGGGGATTACAGGTCCCTCCCTTGACACGTGGGGATTACAAATCGAGATGAGATTTGGGTGGGGACACAGAGCCAAACCATATCAGTCACTGAACCACTACGTTTGTGATGTACATTCCCAAAGCTTTTATTAGTTCTAGGATCTGGACAAAGTACCTGTACTACCTCTTTGTGATCTGATCAATAGTTTAGTCAAGTTCAATAATACTGATAACACAATACAAGCTTCGTTTACTGAGAAATTTTTTGCATGGAAATGTGCTAAACCTTTTATAGGCATCATCTCATTTAATCCTGCCTGCTTTGCAAACAGGTGAAATGGTGATTATAATCTCCATTATAGGCTTAGAGAAGCTAAGTATCAAGTCCAAGTTCACACCGTCATAAGATGAATTTGGGTTTTTGAACTGAAGTCTGACTTGGTAAATGCCAAGGCAATATCCATATGGATATGCTAAGAATAATGAATCAGAATCAGGCACAGTTTTTAAAACATCAAATGATGTATGTAATTACTTAAAATCTTAAATTTTTATGCAATAATTTGACTTTTTTTTTAAGGCTAGCGCATTAAGTATACCTCCCATTACAACTAGTTCAAGTATATGAGATTCCATTTCTGGTCCATATTACTCATTTTGCTTTCTTGGGCTCTGATCCTCTCTCGTATTTTCATGTTTCCTATTTGTATTTGTTTGGGGCTTTTCTCTCCTTTACAAAATTGGGTAGTCATGCTTCTCCAGTAACCTTGGTGAGTCAGTTCAACCTCTAATTACTTCAGTCTCCTTGCCTGCAAGAAAAGCAGTCAAACTACACGAACACTCTATTGTTTTGCATCATTTCACACGTACACAGGGATAAGGAGGGAAATAATTCTCCCAATGAAGCAGAACCACCGGTAACAGCTGGCACAACTTCTAAAGACCCAGTCTGTCTTGAAAAACAGCCGCAAATTGTCCCTAAATAATAATTACCCCACCTGTATCAGGACTATCTCACTGACTAGCTGCACTTCATGACACAATACCTGCTATTAACTCTCAGCATGGATATAAACATTGCCATAATATTTTTTAAAACCAACAATGTATCATTTGCACATTAGGACAACAGAATGTTAGTTAAGGCACAGAAAACACAAAGGCATGGCTACCCTGTTCTTTGGTGACTCCATATCTAATTATTACCACACATGTCTCCAGTCTTTAGACAAATTTAGTTATTATAAGGGTGGTTGGACAAATAGCAAAGATTTGATTTTCATTAACAAAGGGCACATCAGAACCGAGTTAATCCTTCCCAGTTACCCAACATTCAAAGCTTCTAGTGCAGTCACTTTCTAGTCATTTTAGAACCCAGAGCAGTGTGACGATTTGATGCTTAAGTTTCAACACGTTTTATTAATCCATTCTTCTTGTGCTTCATTTAAAATATTGGAAACTATAAAAAGATCAGCGTGTTAATCCTCTGCCAGGAAACGGGAAAAAAAAGTTAAAAACCTAACAACAACACGAAAAGAGCAAGAGCGCTGGAATCTCAGCTTTGAGGAAACACATGGGATGAAAGCATCCGCCCAAGCTCTAACCATTTGTCACATGGGACTCTTCCCCTCGGGGGTGAATCCTGGATGTCCCCAGGATGGAGCGAGGAGGTCGTGCGTGCGGGCGAGTGTGTGACTGCAGGGGGCCTTGGCGGCGCGAGGAGGCGACGCCGCCCCCTCCCTCAGGCGCAGGGAGGGTCTTCCAGGAAGCGGCGGATCTCTGCTGACTCCGCGGCTGCGGGCCCCGGGCTGCGGCCGCCCAGGCCGGCACGTAGCGCCGAGCGTGACTCAGCGCTGACTCATCCGACTCGCTGCCAGTGGATTTCCCCCGTCAGCTGCTCGCGCTACTCCTGTCGCCGGGAGCTCGCAGGACTTCGCAGATACCGCTGCCTCCTTAGTCTTTCCTGAATAGCAGAGCAGTCCTGTCGCTTTAAACAGAGCAAGGCAGCTTTCACTGCTTTTGAATCCCGACCGAGCGGGGCACTGCCGTGCTTTGTTTTCTTTGCCTTTAAGAGTGCAATAGTCCACTAATCAAATTCTTTCATCAAAAGAGTGTTGGGACAAATCCCTGACATCGTCCTTCCACTGTGATTTGGAGATGACCTCCACCCAGGTTTCACTTCCGTTGTACCCAGCTCTCGTCTTATTTTTGTCCCTCATTTTGTGAATTTATCCTCTCACTACGCTTGATAACTAACCTTGGCGCAAACCCACAACTGTGGTGACGCAAATCAGGTTGGAACTTGGCATCGTTGTGTGCGGGCAGTGAGGGACTTACTGTAAAAACTGGGGCCTTCATAAAGGCGTTCTTATTTGCAATCCTACTTGCTGATTAGATACCGTGCTCATTTTCTGTCTGCCACTCCCCTTTGAAAGTTCCTGAGACAGGCCGGGCGCGGTGGCTCACGCCTGTAATCCCATCACTCTGGGAGGCCGAGGCGGGCGGATCACGAGGTCAGGAGATCGAGACCGTCCTGGCTAACACGGTGAAACACCGCCTCTATTAAAAAATACAAAAAATTAGCCGGGCGTAGTGGTGGGCGCTTGTAGTCCCAGCTACTCGGGAGGCTGAGGCAGGAGAATGGCGTGAACCTGGGAGGCGGAGCTTGCAGTGAGTGCCACTGCACTCCAGCCTGGGCGACAGAGCGAGACTCCGTCTCAAAAAAAAAAAAAAAAAAAAAAAAAGAAAGAAAGAAAGCTCCTGAGACAGATTTAGATGGACTGCTAAAACCTGTCCATCTAAATGGACCGGTTTAGATGGACCGCTCCCGGTCGTGCTCATTTCTTCTTCCCCAGAGTTCAATCTGCAGCGCAGCAGCAGGGCAGCATTTCTCTAACTTTACCGTGGACCGCCTGCATCAAAAGCGCCGCGGTAAAAATGCAGATTCTTGAAGCTCACTTCAAATTACAGACTCAGAATGTCCTGGCTGGGTGGGGGCATGGAGGCACCTGTCTGAGGTCGGGGCCTAGAAATAATCCATCGTATTAACCAACTACCTATCAGTGATTCTTAGGTACATTTAGGTTTGACAACTATAGCAAGAGGGCGAGGATGTGAGACATTATACTGGGTAGACTCTAGGACTCCTTACGATATAGAACACTGTGTTCTAAAATTGATGTTTAAGTTTTGATGGAAGGAAAAAATATTTCCAAATTTGGTTTTATATATTATATTGTTTGCTTTAACTGTATATTTATATAGACAAATTTCTTTTCTTTTTTTTTTTTTTTCTTTAAAGAGAGAAGGCCGAGGCGGGTGGATCATGAGGTCAGGAGATCGAGACCATCCTGGCTAACAAGGTGAAACCCCGTCTCTACTAAAAATACAAAAAATTAGCCGGGCGCGGTGGCGGGCGCCTGTAGTCCCAGCTACTGGGGAGGCTGAGGCAGGAGAATGGCGTGAACCCGGGAAGCGGAGCTTGCAGTGAGCCGAGATTGCGCCACTGCAGTCCGCAGTCCGGCCTGGGCGACAGAGCGAGACTCCGTCTCAAAAAAAAAAAAAAAAAAAAAAAAAAAAAAAAAAAAAAAAAAGAGAGAGTCTTTCTGTGTTGCCCAGGCTGGCCTCGAACTCCTGGGCTCAAGGAACCCTTCCGCCTCAGCCTCTCCAGTAGTTAGGACTACAGGCGTGCACCACCACTCGGCTCTTTTTCTTTCTTCCTTTTTATTTTTATTTACTTATTTTGAGACATGGTCTCACTCTCTCGCCTAGGCTAAAGTGAAGTGGTGGGATCTTGGCTCACTTCAGCCTCACCCTCCCCAGAATCAGGTGATAGTCCCACCTCAGCCTCCCCAGGGGCTGGGGCTACAGGTGTGTGCCACCATGCCTGAATAATTTTTGTATTTTTTTAAGAGACAGGGTTTCACCATGTTGCCCAGGCTGGTCTCGAACTCCTGGGCTCAAGGGATCCGCCTGCCTCGGCCTCCCAAGGTGCTGGGATTACAAGGGTGTACCACCATACCTGGCCGGCTCTTTTTTTTTTTTTTTAATTAGAACTTTGTTTATAAAATAAAATCAAGTTTCTATAAATTTTCTTTATTTCAGAGTAATATTTTTCCAATCTGACTTTGTGTCAGAATTACCCAAAGAGTTATAGAAAAACTCTTAATTCCTTGACCAGCCCTCAGGCTTAAAGACACTATCTCTGAAAGTGAAGCCCCCCAAATAGGCATTTTTTTCTTTTTTGACATGGTCTTACCCTGCTGCCCAGGCTGAAGTGCAGTGGCATGATCACTGCTTGCTGCAGCCTCAGTCTCCCAAGGGTCAGGTGATCCTCCCACCTCAGCCTCCCAAGTAGCTGGGGCTACAGGCGTGTGCCACACCTGGCTAATTTTTGTATTTCTTGTAGAGATGGGGTTTTTCCATGCTCCCCAGGCTGGTCTCAAATTTCTGAGCTCAAGTGATCCGCCTACCTAGACCTCTTAAAGTACTGGAATTACAGGCATGAGCCACGACACCCAGCCAAAAATAGGCATTTTGAAATGCTTTCAAAGTTAGTCTTTGAACTTTTTCAAAGTCACCACTATTCCCAAGTAGTAACATCAGTAACTCCAGGGTAGTTGGCCTATATTGTTCCATTATGGTGCTCATTCATCTCTCAGTCTGCAGTGTTTCATTTGGAAATCACCATTTTAAAAATAAAATTATGCTAAAAAGGAATTTGATGAGATAAAAGGAAAAAGAGAAAAAAGTGACCACATAAAATATCAGCTCACTATTATATTCATAAATTCACTTATTTAGAAAACAAGGTTGAAATATTTGTATTCTAAATCTTTTGTGCAGGTGGGGAGAGGGAGTTGATTGGACAATAATCTTCAAGTGTATTTTGAAATTTTTAGGTCAGGTGTGGTGGCTCATGCCTGCAATCCCAACACTTTGGAAGGCCAAGGCGGGAGAGAGGATTGCTTGAGCCCAGGTGTTCAAGACCAGCCTGGGCAACATAGCAAGACACTGTCTCTAAAAGAAAGAAAGAAAAGTAATTGTTTTCCCCTTGGATATTTTGTTTACTTCTTTTCTTTTCCTTCCCTCCCCCTCCCCCTCCCCCTTCTCCTCCTCCTCCTCCTCCTCCTCATTCTTCTTTCTTCTTTAGGGGAGAGGCACAAGACACAAGTTCCATGAATACTTCTTTTCGTTCCACTGGGTTTTTCCATTTAATCTCTGCTAGCATTGTGGCAAAAAGCCAAAAATCCTAGATCTGAAACATGCCTGACAAAGACATCTCGGCTCACTGCAACCTCCACCTCCCAGGTTCAAGTGATTCTCTTGTCTCAGTCTCTAGAGTAGCTGGGATTGCAGGCGCACACCACCACGCCCAGCTAATTTATTTTTATTTTTATTTTTATTTTTTGAGACGGAGTCTCGCTCTGTTGCCCAGGCTGGAGGGCAGTGGTGTGATCTTGGCTCACCACAACCTCCGCCTCCTGGATTAAGAGATTCTCTTCCCTCAGCCCCCCGAGTAGCCGGGACTACAGGCACCATGCCCTGCTAAGTTTTGTACTTTTAGTAGAGACGGGGTTTCACTATGTTGGCCAGGCAGGTCTTGAACTCCTGACCTCATGATCTGCCTGCCTCAGCTTCCCAAAGTTCTGGGATTACAGGCATGAGCCACTGTGCCCGGCCAACGCCCAGCTAATTTTTAAAATTTAATTTAGTTTTATTTATTTATTTATTTTTTGAGACGGAGTCTCGCTCTGTCGCCCAGGCTGGAGTGCAGTGGCATGATCTCGGCTCACTGCAACCTCCGCCTCCCTTCCCAGATTCAAGTGATTCTCCTGCCTCAGCCTCTCAAGTAGCTGGGACGCGCAGCTAATTTTTGTATTTTTAGTAGAGTCGGGGTTTCATCATGTTCGCCAGGCTTGTCTCAAACTCTTGACCTCAAGTGATCCACCCGCCTCAGCCTCCCAAAGTGCTGGGATTGCAGGTGTGAGCTCCCGCACTGGGCCTGGTTGACTTTTTTATAGCCTTGCTTCTCCAAGCTTGGTCCTTGGTCCAGCATCACCTGGGAACAGACTCTCAGACCCCGTCCATAACTACCAAATCAGAATGTGCTTGTTAGCAAGATCCCCAGGTGATGTGTGTGTATTAAAATTCAGGAACCACTCTTACAGTAATTGTAAGAGTTACAATCTAAGGCTGGTGCAGGAAGAAAGAAGAAGAAACGAGTCTGGTTGTGGAGGGGACATGTATTAGTTTCCTAGGGTTGCAATAACAAAATACCACAAACTGGGTGATTAAAACAATAGAAATTTATTCTCTCACAGTTCTGGAAACCAGAGTCCAAAGTGAAGAAGTCGGCAGAGCCATGTTCCTTCTGAAACTCTGGGTAGAATCCTTCCTTGTATCTTCCTAGCTTCCAGGGGTGACCATGGGTACTTGCAGCTCCTGGGTTTGTAGCTGTATTACTTCAGCCTTTGCTCCTGTGGTCACATGGCATTCTCCCTGAGTGCCTGTCTTTTACGTCGTCTTCTTATAAGGACACCAGTTATGTTGGATTAGGGCCCAGTGAATACACTGTAAATTGATTATATCTGCAAAGGTCCTATTTTCAGATAAGGTCACATGGACAGGTACTTGGGTATAGGATGTCAGTAAATTACTTTGGGGGAACACAAGTTATCCCATAATAGGGAGATGTGGAGATTTTATTACCAATAAGTTGAAATGCATTATGTGAAAAATAACTTAAAAAATAAGCATTATTTTAAAATAAGCTGATCACATTTTATTTTTAAATTTTATTTATTTATTATTTATTTTTGAAACAGAGTCTCACTCTGTTGCCCAGGCTGGAGTGCAGTGGCACGATCTCGGCTCACTGCAACCTCTGCCTCCTGAATTCAAGTGATTCTCCTGCTTCAGCCTCCCAAGTAGCTGGGATTACAGGTGCATGCCACCATGCCTGGCTAATTTTTTGTTTGTTTGTTTGTTTGTATTTTTAGTAGAGACAGGGTTTCACCATGTTGGCCAGGCTAATCTCGAACTCCTGACCTCAAGTGATCCATCTGCCTTGGCCTCCCAAAGTGCTGGGATTACAGGTGTGATCCACTGCGCCCAGCCTCAAGGGCAACTTAGCATCTCTTATAACATCATGCCAAGTTGAAAGTAAGAACTCAGTAGTTATTAATAATAATAGTCAAAGCTATGGCATACCTCTGGACAAGCATACAAAATCTCACATGTTTAAATCTACCTATGGTACAAGGCAAGACAAATTTCTACCACAAAGGGTTAGTTTGACCATAGAAAGTAAGCTCTAAAAAAAAGGGAAAAATCAGGGCTTGGTGGCTCACGCCTGTAATCCCAGCTACTTGAGAGGCTAAGTAAGGCAGGGTGAATTGCTCAAACCCAGGAGGTGGAGGTTGCAGTGAGCTGAGATCGTACCACTGCACTCCAGCCTGAGTAACAGAGCAAGACTCTGTCTCAGGGAAAAAAAAAAAAAGTGAAAAAAAAAATTATAGCTAAAATTATAATCACATTGACAGATAAACCAAAAATATCATAGGACCAGGGCAAAAAAGAGAAGGGAATCCTTATAATCCCAGGAAAGGATAAGAGTAGGACCAGAGGGGCAGCTTCAAGGTAGTAATGTCATTTTATTTTATTTTTTTTCTGGTTAAATAAAATGTTTTATTATAATAAATCTCACCTGTTTCTTCTTTTTTTTTTTTTATATTATACTTTAAGTTTTAGGGTACATGTGCACATTGTGCAGGTTAGTTACATATGTATACATGTGCCATGCTGGTGCGCTGCACCCACTAACTCGTCATCTAGCATTAGGTATATCTCCCAATGCTATCCCTCCCCCCTCCCCCCACCCCACCACAGTCCCCAGAGTGTGATATTCCCCTTCCTGTGTCCATGTGATCTCATTGTTCAATTCCCACCTATGAGTGAGAATATGCGGTGTTTGGTTTTTTGTTCTTGCGATAGTTTACTGAGAATGATGGTTTCCAGTCTCATCCATGTCCCTACAAAGGACATGAACTCATCATTTTTTATGGCTGCATAGTATTCCATGGTGTATATGTGCCACATTTTCTTAATCCAGTCTATCATTGTTGGACATTTGGGTTGGTTCCAAGTCTTTGCTATTGTGAATAATGCCGCAATAAACATACGTGTGCATGTGTCTTTATAGCAGCATGATTTATAGTCATTTGGGTATATACCCAGTAATGGGATGGCTGGGTCAAATGGTATTTCTAGTTCTAGATCCCTGAGGAATCGCCACACTGACTTCCACAATGGTTGAACTAGTTTACAGTCCCACCAACAGTGTAAAAGTGTTCCTATTTCTCCACATCCTCTCCAGCACCTGTTGTTTCCTGACTTTTTAATGATTGCCATTCTAACAATGCCATCCCCATCAAGCTACCAATGACTTTCTTCACAGAATTGGAAAAAACTACTTTAAAGTTCATATGGAACCAAAAAAGAGCCCGCATCGCCAAGTCAATCCTAAGCCAAAAGAACAAAGCTGGAGGCATCACACTACCTGACTTCAAACTATACTACAAGGCTACAGTAACCAAAACAGCATGGTACTGGTACCAAAACAGAGATATAGATCAATGGAACAGAACAGAGCCCTCAGAAATAACGCCGCGTACCTACAACTATCTGATCTTTGACAAACCTGAGAAAAACAAGCAATGGGGAAAGGATTCCCTATTTAATAAATGGTGCTGGGAAAACTGGCTAGCCATATGTAGAAAGCTGAAACTGGATCCCTTCCTTACACCTTATACAAAAATCAATTCAAGATGGATTAAAGATTTAAACGTTAGACCTAAAACCATAAAAACCCTAGAAGAAAACCTAGGCATTACCATTCAGGACATAGGCGTGGGCAAGGACTTCATGTCCAAAACACCAAAAGCAATGGCAACAAAAGCCAAAATTGACAAATGGGATCTAATTAAACTAAAGAGCTTCTGCACAGCAAAAGAAACTACCATCAGAGTGAACAGGCAACCTACAATATGGGAGAAAATTATTGCAACCTACTCATCTGACAAAGGGCTAATATCCAGAATCTACAATGAACTCAAACAAATTTACAAGTAATGTCATTTTAAAAGCCCTTGACAGTTTGTAGTAGGAATCTCTTTTTGTCTGCCCAGCATTAATTCTCCCTCTTTCCTTTGAGAAGCCTCAGGTCATCCTGGCCAACATTTCTGTGTAGAACTCTCAGCCACAGTGTTTGCCTTCCCCTCGTCCCTTCCCCCAAGGTTGAAACACAGGGCTATTTTTGTCCTAGCCATCTGAATATGGAGTATAGTCTCAAAAATGAAGAAGGTGGTTGAAGCTGAGTCATTTTAGTGGTAGTGATCAGAGACACCAACCAGATATTTTGTTTGTTTTACCACTGAGAATCCCAGAGCAACCCTAGTTGCTATCCTCCACAAGTCCCCCTTGGTTTTTTGTTTGTTTTGTTTCTTTTTTTTTTCTTGGGACAGAGTCTTACTCTGTCACCCAGGGTAGAGTGACAACCTCTGCCTCCAGGGTTCAAGCAATTCTCCTGCCTCAGCGTCACAAGTAGCTGAGATTACAGGTGCCCACCACCATGCCTGGTAAAGTTTTGTATTTTTAGAAGAGATGGGGTTTCACCATGTTGGCCAGGCTGGTCTCAAACTCCTGAGCTCAGGTGATCCGCCCACCTAGTCCCCATTGTTTAGTTATTTCTTTTGTTTGAAATGCTACCTAGTATCTTTCCAAATGTTATTTTATTAAAAAAATTTAGGTGTCAATGTTTAACTTGTATATTGTTATTTTTAGTTAATTATAACTTACTTTAAATTATTTTTAATGGGCCCAGAGCTAGCCTCAGTTGATTTCTATTGCTTACAAAGAAACCTAAGCAACAAAGATACTGATGGAGAGAACACATACTGCTCACCCACTAAGACACCTGAAATAGTAGTCTGCATTCATGATAAATAAAATATGCACTCTTGAAATATAATGAAGCTTTTTTCAGTTTGTTTCAATGGATTTTACCATTATTGTCCTATATATTTTTTACATTTTTATTTACTTATTTATTTATTTTAGAGATGGAGGGTCTCACTGTGTTGCCCAGGCTGGAGTGCAGTGGCTATTCACAGGTGCAATTATGGCACATTACAGCCTTGAACTTCTGCACTCAAGCTAGCCACCTGCCTCAGCCTCCTTAGTAGCTGGGACTACAGACATGCACCACTGCATCCAGCTAGCCCTGTATTTCAAGCTGAGTCATTTTTCCTTTCTAACTACCCAAATTGCCAGTGGGTGAAAATGAGAAAATCTCTATTATTATGCTACTTGAAGACACCAATAATCTTTTAAACCTTTTTTTTTTTTTTGAGACAGGGTCTTGCTCTGTTGCCCAGGCTGAAGTGCAGTGGTACAAACATGGCTCACCACAGCCTTGACCTCCTGGGCTCAAGCAATCCTCCTGCCTTAGCCTCCCAAATAGCTGGAAGCACAGGCACACACCACCATGCCCAGCTAATTTTATTTATTTATTTATTTATTTATTTATTTATTTATTTATTTAAGATGGAGTCTCGTTCTGTCTCCCAGGCTAGAGTGCAGTGGCTCAGTCTTGGCTCAATGCAACCTCCGCCTCCTGGGTTCAAGTGATTCTCCCACCTCAGCCTCCTGAGTAGCTGGGATTTCAGGTGCGTGCCACCACACCCAGGTAATTTTTGTATTTTTAGTAGAGACAGGGTTTTGCCATGTTGGCTGGGCTGGTCTCGAACTCCTGACCACAGGTGATCCACCCGCCTTGGCCTTACCCAAAGTGCTGGAATTACAGGTGTGAGCCACTTCACCTGGCCTATTTACTTATTCTTTTGTAGAGATGGGGTCTTACCATGTTGCCCAGGCTGGTCTTGAACTCCTGGGCTCAAGCGATCCCCTCATCTAGGCCTCCTCAAATGCTGGGATTACAGGCATGAGCTACTGCACCTGGCCCCAATAATCTTTATGTTGTCTCCAAATGGTTTTCATGATAATTGTGATATTAAGATTAATAACAAGTGCTCCAAGGTTCCTCATTAGAGCGAGTTTACCAAGGGTCTAATTGGCATAATAGAAACAGAGTCATTGTTATGCCAGGCTAAATGTGATCTTTTTTCTGCAAGCAAAGAAATAATATTAGCCTAAAGCTTTCATATTGACTAACACTAATTGTGTGTGCTTTGAGTTCTCCTGATAAAATTTAGCATTTATTTATTTATTATTCAGTCTCTGTAGAGATGGTCAAAATTTGCTAATGCTGGAGTCTGGGCTCAGTGGCTCACACCTGTAATCCTAGCACTTCGGGAGGCCAAAGTGGGAGGATCGCTTGAGCCCAGGATTTCGAGACCAGCTTGGGCCGCATGGTAAACCCTATCTCTACAAAAAATATGAAAATTATTCGGGCATGGTGTTAGGTGTTTGTAGTCCCAGCTACTTGGGAGGCTAAAGTGGGAGGATCACCTGAGCCTGGGAGGTTGAGGTTGTGGTGAGCTGTGACTATACCACTGCACTCCAGCCTGGGTGACAGAGTCAGACCATTTCTTAAACAAACAAACAAAAAATTGCCAATACTGACTATATCGCAAGTCATTACAGTGAAGTATTGGGAACAGTTTTCAATTAATAATAATTGCACATTGGATAAACTGCATTGGCTACCATACTGCCACTGCTCAAAGCTTCCTGATAAAATTTAATTTGACCAAGGTATATCAGCTTCTCAGAATCCTTACTGCTTACTCTTGTAAGTCTCCCTCTCTTGACATGCTTGCATCAATGGCTGCATGGTGGATACGGTTTCATTTCACTGGAGTGTAGGGGGCATATAAGGAAAGTAAATCCAAAATGGTAACTGATTTTGAGATTACAGTGAATCATGAATGCCATGATAAGGACTCCACACTTACACAGAATGCGTTAATGGATTTTGACCAAAGTAAGGGAAATGACATTTTTTAGTGCATATTATGTGCCTGCAACTACATTCAACCAAATTCATTGGTTTCCTGCATACGATAGGTGAGGATTGAGCTCTCTTATACCACCTATGACTTTAAGTAAAATACTTAAGACTCAACCAATTAAAAAAAAAATCAATGACAATGTGAATACCTACTTCGTTGGAAGAGGGTATGCACACCTGTCTTTCTCTTTACCTGTCTTTTCTCTTTGTACCTGTTAAATTCTGTCATCTGTGTGTCCCTTGACCTTATTGAGGTTGATGACATTTATATAATTAACTGTTTTGAGATTTGTCTATAGGTTGACAATGAAAGTAAAAAAAGTCTTACCATTTGCATTATTAAGACTGGGCTGAGAGCAGTGGCTTATGCCTGTAATCCCAGCATTTTGGGAGGCCGAGGTGGGCGGATCACTTGAGGCCGGGGGTTCAAGACCAGCCTGGCCAACATGATGAAATCCCATCTCTGCTAAAAAATGCAAAAATTAGCTGGGCATGGTGACGCACACTTGTAATCCCAGCTACTTGAGAAACTGAGGTGGGAGGATTGTTTGAACCTGGGAGGCAGAGGTTGCAGTGAGCCCAGATTGCGCTACTGCACTCCAGCCTGGGTGACAGAGCAAGACTCTGTCTAAAAAGGGAAAAAAAAAAAAAAAAAAAAAAAAAAAGACTGTATGGGCTGGGCTTGGTGGCTCACGCCTATAATCCTAGCACTTTGGGAGGCCGAGATGGGTGGACTGCTTGAGCTCAGGAGTTCGAGACCAGCCCGGGCAACCTGGCAAAACCCCAGCTCTACAAAAAATTAGCACACCTGTAGAACTGGCTACTTTAGGGACTGAGGTGGGAGGATTGTTTGAGCCCAGGAGGTGGATGCTGCAGTGAGCTGAGATCACACCAGTGCACTCCAGCGTGGGAGACAAAGTGGATCCTGTCTCAAAAAAAAAAAAGAAAGAAAGAAAAGAAAAAGACTGTATGAATACTCTTCATGGCAGAGAAAATAATGTAGTATTGTGTGGAGAAACCACAAACTGTTTCTCCTCTGCCACAACAATCAACACTTCTGACTGAGTGTGGGGGAGGGGTTTCCCCACACAACAAGCAAGCAATCATTTCTGCAGTGGATACCAGCTGCATGTCCTCTAATTCAATTCTGACACTATCTACCTGGAGATAGTGTCAGATCCCATAGGCTGAGGCCTACGTCCCCAAAACTGCCCCTCTTCCCCACTTCCGATGCCAGTCACAAGCCCCAGCTTGTTCTACCTGTGTTTCTGATCAGCCAGCTATAAACTGGGGATCCCACAACCTCCTCCTGGGTTTAGCTACTTGCTAGAGCAGCTTAGAGAACTTGGGGAAACATTTATGTTGTTTACTGGTTTATTATGAGGGATATTACAAAGGATACAGATGAAGAGATGCATAGGGTAAGGCCTGGGGGAATGGGAGCAGAGCTTCCATGCCCACCCTGAGGTCACCACCCTGTAGAACATCCACGTGTTCAGCTATCCAGAAGCTCTGTGAATCCTGCTCTCTTGGGTCTTTGGTGGAGACTACATTGGACTGGCATGATTGCTAGCTATGTAGAAATGTGATTGGACACAAAAGCATGATCTCATGGTAATGAGCTGAGTGGGAAAACTCAGCGAGGCCTGTCTGTTTAGATTTTTCTTGGCCTTTCTGTGCAGCATTTTTTCCTCCAGGGTATATGGGGCATGACTTCTTCTGAAAAGCAGGGGAAGATTAGGGTCCTTCCTTGGTGACAAAAAGGAACAGGTGAAAGAAGGGCAGGAGAAGGCCAGGAGCAGTAGCTCACGCCTGGAATCCCAGCACTTTGGGAGGCCAAGCGAGTGGAGTTTAGCCCAGGAGTTTGAGACCAGCCTGGCCAACATGGTGAAACCCTGTCTCTATTAAAAATACAAAACAATTAGCCAGACATGGTGGTGCATGCCTGTAGTCCCATCTACTCGGGAGGCTGAGGCAGGAGAATCGCTTGAACCTGGGAGGCAGAGGTTGCGGTGAGCAGAGATCGCGCCACTGCACTCCAGCCTGGATGATACAGCGAGACTCTTTCTCAAAAAAAAAAAAAAAAAAAAAAAAGAAGGGCAGGAGAAGATGAAAGAAAAAGGTTCTGTTTTCTGAGGCTTGCTTCTGAGGCCTTAAGTGCCCCAACATTATAACAAAATATTAAAACAAAAGCTATGGGAATTATGAGCCAGGAACTGTGGATTAAAATCAATATATGTATATATTATATCACAAGTATAATTGCATGTCCTTTTCTGAAATCTATTATTTTTCCTAGAGTTTCTAATTAAAAAAATTTTTTATTATTGCCCATAATTTCTTCCAAAATTCTCAAACGTACTACTTGGTCTATGGAAACTTTTCTTTCTAGGAGACCTCCAGCCTCTGGTGTACCTCTGGCCTCTTTGAACTGATTGCTTTCTAGCCCTGTTGAACAGCTATTACTTTGAGACTTCTGTACATTGCAATATTAGGTTGGAGCCACTGTCTTGTAGATCCCATATCTTCATTCCTTGACTTATTCCCTCTACTCTCAAGTATCTTTAAAGAGAAAATGCCTGAAAGATAAACTTACTAATTCTTGCGTATCTAAATTTTTTTTGTTTTTACATTTAATTGACTTTATTTATTTCTTTATATTTATTTATTATTTATTTATTTTGAGACAGAGTTTTGCTCTTGTTGCCCAGACTGGAGTGCAATGGCGCAATGTTGGCTCACCACAACCTCCGCCTCCTGGGTTCAAGCGATTCTCCTGCCTCTGCCTCCCGAGTAGCTGGGATTACAGGCATGTGCCACCACGCCTGGTTAATTTTGTATTTTTAGTAGAGACGGAGTTTCTCCATGTCTGTCAGGCTGGTCTCGAACTCCTGACCTTAGGTAATCCACCAGCCTCAGCCTCCCAAAGTGCTGGGATTAACAGGCATGATCCACCACACCTGGCCCATTTCATTGATATTTAAGCTGTCTAGAACTCTTGATTGAAATCATTTTCCTTCAAAAACCAACAGCATTGCTTCATTGTCTTAACAGTATTGCAGATGAGAAGTCAGGTGAAAGCCTGAATTTTTATTATTTTTTCCACTCTAACCTTTGAATTTCTTCTCTTTATTCTTCTTCTTTTTTTTTTTTTTCAAAGAGGGGGTCTTGCTGTGCTGCCTAATCTGGTCTTGAACTCCTGGGCTCAAATGATCCTCCTATCCTGGCCTCCCAAAATGTTGAGATTACAGGCATGAGCCACTGCACCCATACTTCTTTATTCTATTTTTGTTTTAAGTGAAAGCAAGTTTATTAGGAAAGTAAAGGAATAAAAGAATGGCTACTCTACAGGCAGAGCAGCCTATTCTTTATTTTTAGTTTAGCTATTCCTAGCTTTCTGTAATTTTAGGGTATTGTTTTTACTTATGGGTATTCCATTTATTCTGCTCATCATTTAGCAGAAACTTTCAGTTGGAAAATTCATGGCTCTTCAATAGAATTTCTCTGATAAACTTATTAGAGCTTTATCAGAGAAAAAGATGAAGAAATAGGTGTGTAAATACATTTTCAGGTTGTAAAGCTAGGATTTATAGGCACAAGCTAAACAATCTATCCACTTTTAACAATTTATGAAGATAATTAAAAGACACATATAGAGCATTCCAAAACTAAATGTAGCAATCTACTGGTGAAAAATTCCTAGTTTTCTTTCAATCCAATGTCCTAATTCCTTAAATGTAAAAGAGCAAATTTCAAATATACAATACATCTCATTCTTACTCACTACATCTAAACACAGGTGAAAACAAAACAAAACAAAACAAAACAAAGCAAACTCCCCGCAACAATGGTATCTACAACTCTTCATAAGGCTTATATCCTTACTAAAATATTGTGGTTCATGCAGTTCACTTTCTATTAATAGAACAGCCTGATGACTCATTTTGCACATTTAGAGTGTAATGAGGATTTCCAGATCTGCAGTACCTGTGATGACCATAAATACCTCCTTCAAATTAAAACACATTTTTTAAAAAATAGTTCTTTGAAATATTATTTTGAAAAAGATAAAGTATGATTTAGGTACAGTAATTTTTATGCATTTTAGTGCATAGTTTTGTAAGCTTTGACAAACGCATACAGTCATGTAACCACCACCACAATCAAAATACCAAGTAGTTCCTTCACTCCTCAAAGTCCCTCCTACCTCCCTCCAACCTCGTATCCTTTTGAAGTCAAACACACCCCTGCCCTGCAGCCCCTGGAAATCACTCATCTGTTTTTTTTTTCTGTATAATTTTGCCTCTTCCAGAATTCCATGTAACTGTTATCAGAGAGTATGTAGGCTTTTTTTTTTCATTTAGCGTAATGAATTTGAGATTTATCAGTTTTCCTGAGTACATCAGTAGTCTGTTCCTTTTTATTGCTGATAGTATTCCATCATACAGATATGCCAGAATCAGCTTATCCAAATATTGATATTTAACCATTTATCAAGACCTTATTTTACAGACAAGGGTAGTTTCATGACTTTTGAAATTACACATTTTTTTTTTCTTGAGATGGAGTCTCATTCTGCTGCCCAGGCCGGAATGCAGTGGCACCATCTCGGCTCACTGCAACCTCCGCTTTCCGGGTTCAAGTGATTATCATGCTTCGGCCTCCTGAGTAGCTGGGATTATAGGTGTGCGCCACCATGCCTGGCTAATTTTTGTATTTTCAGTAGAGATGGGGTTTCACCATGTTGGCCAGGCTGGTCTCCAACTTCTGACCTCAAGTGATCCACATGCCTGGGCCTCCCCAAGTGCTGGGATTACAGGCATGAGCCACCACCCCTGGCCTAGGCATTTATTAAGAAGGAAAAAAGGGGCCAGGTGTGGTGGCTCATGCCTGTAATCCCAGCACTTTGGGAGGCCAACGTGGGTGGATCACGAGGTCAGGAGTTCAAGACCAGCCTGGCCAACAAGGTGAAACCTCGTCTCTACTAAAAATACAAAAAAAGCCGGGCGTGGTGGCGGGCGCCTGTAATCCCAGCTACTCAGGAGGCTGAGGCAGGAAAATCGCTTGAACCCAGGAGGCGGAGGTTGCAGTGAATACAATAAAATACACCCATAGAATGGCCGATATCGCGCCATTGCACTCCAGCCTGGGTGACAGAGCGAGACTTCATCTCAAAAAAAAGAAGGAAGAAAGGTACATTCTCATAATGCCTTAAATTAGTTACTTGGGATTTATTTGACAATGATTAGGAATAACTGTTTCAAAAGATATATTTTTTCATATACCTTAGAAAACAATAGATATTTGTTCAACTCTCTAATTGTGGGTTTGCATTTGAAATGTGTATTGTGATTCAAAAGTTTTCTCTACCTAGAAGGGGAATACAACACATGGAAATTATTATTGCTGGTGACACCAGATAATATTTTGCCTAAACTCCTGAGGTGAGTGCTCTATGAAGACCCCATTCAACCCAGACCTTTGAAATGGCTCACTTCCCATTTAAACTCTATTAATCTTCTACCTCATGGAGGCAACAGGTGGTTTAGAAAAGAGCCAATAGAAAGATAATTTTTGTCCTTCAGGATCAGTGCCAATGGAAAAAAGTGACCTGAAATACAGATCTCAGGCCTGACATGATGAAAATCTAGTGCCACAGCTGTTGTCTCTCAGAACTGTCACTCATCATGTTTTAATTTCACAGTTTTGATTTAATCTTTTCTAAATACAGCACTGGATAAATACAGAACAAGATAACAAGAGTTCCCAGCAAAGGATCCAGGTTGGTATTCACACTATCCTCTTTTCACCTCTTCCCCAGCCCTTTGGGTTTTATTTTCTGTGGTGGTTGCATCTCCAGCACCACTATATTCCTGAGGGACAGGGCTTCTTTACCAGCTCTTGAGCCTAACAAGAATCCTAGTGGTTTGATTTCAGTGTGATTTATTTATCTTTCTTATCAGGCTAACCAGAATGCTTTTATCAGCCATGTTAATTTGTAACACACAGTGGAATTGGGTTTGTAGTTGAAAAAAAAAAGTTTTTCAATGATGTACCCCTAAGAGCCCCTCTTTTCTAAGCTCTGTAATGAAAAATACTATTGTCAGCCATGGATTAGTTCTTTTTCTTATGAAGCTACCTTTAAAGAACTACAGTGAGTTATAATTTACATACGATAAAATGCACCCATTCTAAGCATACAATCTTGATGAACGTATATGCTTGAGTAAACCACTACTATAAGATATGGAGCATTCTCCCCGTCACCCACAGGCCTCCCTAATACCTCTTTTCAGTCAGTTCTGCCTCCAACCTGAGTCGCAAGCAACTGATCTGCTTTCTAACATGATAGATTGCTTTTGCCTTTTTCAGATTATTCTGTAAACAGTGTGTACTCTTTTTGGCCTGGCTTTCTTACTTAGCATAAACTTTTTGAGATTCATCGATGTTGTTGCATGCATGTGTAACTTGTGTTTTCTGTTTTTCCCCAACTGAGTTTTATTTCATTTTATGAATACACCACAATTAGTTTATCCATTTTTTTGCTGATGAACATTCGGATTGTATCCACTTTAGGGCTATTTTGAGTAAAGCTGCTATGGACATTTGTATGTAAATCTTTATGTAGTATTCATTTCTCTTGGGCAAATATCTAGGAGAAAATGGCTGGGTTGTATGATTAAGTATATAATTTTAGTCATTTTAGTGGGTTTGCAGAGGTATATCATTGTGATTTTAACTTGCAGTTTCCTGAAGACTAAGGACAAGACTAAGGACATTGAACAGTTTAATTTATCCCTATTTCATATTTTTTGGTGCTGTTGTGAATGTAATTGTTTCTTTAATTTCATATCCAAGGGATCTTGGCTAGTATCTAGAAATACAATTGATTCTTTAATATTGACCTTATTTTCTATAATTTTGCTAAATTCACTTATTTGTCTCAGTAGTTTATTTGGGATTCCTTAAACTTTTCTATATGCACAATCATGTTGATGGGTAAATACAGTTTTACTTCCTCCTTTCCAATCTTGCTTTGTATTTTTTTTCTTGCCTTATTGTAATGACTAGGATTTCCGGTACTTTGTTGAATATATGTGATAAATGCAGACCATCCCTTTGTCTTTGGAGGGGAAATACTCAATATTTCAATATGATGTGTGATGTTAGCTCTAGGTTTTCCACGGGTGTCCTTTATCAGATTGAGGATTCTCTTTTCCATCCTATTTGTTGAGAGTTTTACCATGAAAGGGTGTTGAAATTTGCCAAATACCTTTTCTGTGTCTATTAAAATGATTATATATTTTTTCTTCTTTATTCTATTAATATGGTGAATTACATCAACTGATTGTTTTTTTTTTTTTTTTTTTGAGAGAGTCTCGCTTTGTTGCCCAGGCTGGAGTGCAATGGCATAATCTTGGCTCACTTCAACCTCTGCCTCCCAGGTTAGAGTGATTCTCCTGCCCTAGCCTCCCAAGTAACTGGGATTATAGGCGCGTGCCACCACACCCGGCTAATTTTTGTATTTTTAATAGAGACAGGGTTTCACCATGTTGACCAGGCTGGTCTCAAACTCCTGACCTCAGGTGATCCACCCACCTTGGCCTCCCAAAGTGCTGGGATTACAAACATGAGCCACCGTGCCTGGCCATATCAACTGATTTTGAATGTCAAATCAAGTTTGAAATCCCGCAATTACAAATACATGGTCATAGTCATGACATATTAATCCTCTTTATATATTGCAGGATTGATTTTCTAATAGTTTAATGATTTTTTTCCTTTTGTCTATGTTCAGGAGAGATTAATCTATAGTTTTCTTTCTCATGATGTCTTTAACTGGTTTTGGTACTGATATAACGGTGGTCTTGTAAAATAAGTCAAAAATGGTTCACTCTTTCTGTTTTTCTTATGCAGTTTCTGTGGAATTGGTATTACTCTTTTATTGATTGTCTAATACAGTTCACTAGTAAAGCTATCTAGACCTGGAGTTGTGTGTGTATATGTGTGTGAAAGTTTTTAATTTGAATTTAATTTGACTATTCATATTTTCTATTTTCTATTAACAAAATTAGTAATTTGGGTCTCTCAAGGAATTTGTTTATCTAACCATTGAATTTATTGGCATAAGGATGTTTAAATATTTTTAGTAGAGACTGGGTTTCACTGTGTTAGCCAGGATCGAGACCATCCTGGCTAACACAGTGAAACCCCATCTCTACTAAAAAATACAAAAAATTAGCTGGGCGTGGTAGCAGTCACCTATAGTCCCAGCTACTCGGGAGGCTGAGGCAGGTGAATGGCATGAACCTGGGAGGCGGAGCTTGCAGTGAGCCGAGATAGTGCCACTGCACTCCAGCCTGGGTGACAGAGCAAGACTCCATCTCAAAAAAAAAAAAAAAATTCCCTTATTTTACGTTTAAATATTCCCATTTTAATGTTTGTAGGATCTGTAGTGTCACTCCTGCTTTCTTCTTCATATTAGTAACAAAGTGCTACAATATTTGCTTTCAGCAGTTATGTATCTTTTAAATAAAGTGAGGAAATATATGTGTGTACAATATACTACATATCTATTTACCCACACAGTTACCATTTCCAGCATTCTTCCTTCCTACCTATAGATTCCAGTTATGATCTATGTAGTTTAGTTGTTAGCCAAGGATTGGGGAACTTTTTAAAATCCAATTTGGAGCTTGCACTCTCTGTAGTTCCCTTAATTTCAGAGCTACCCCTTCTCACTCTCCACAAATTTCCACCTATTCCTCTGGCACCTCAGGCCATTAAGCCTTCAGCTTTCTGCTGCCTCAGCTGCATTCAGGTTGGGAATATACTCTGTCAAAAGACCAATGAAGTCACAAATCTTGCCTGAGATAGTTCTGATACAATGTGCAGATACATTATTCTCTCTTTTCTACCTATCTTTTGCTATTCCCACGTGGTCTTTTCTACTTATCCATAATTTAGCAGTCAGCTAGGGATTTGGGTAGAGTTTATACTCAGAATTTGGGCCTTATCCCTTCTGTGGTTTTCTTGCTTCTAATATTTCCTCCTAAAGTTCCAGCTACTCTGAAAGCTGTGTACTCTGTCTTTGTCCACCAGCAATACTGCAGTTTTCTGTCCCAGGAGCTTTGGGCATTGCAAACTCTCCTCAGGCAAAAAAAAAAAAAAAAAAAAAAAAAAACCCTCAAATTGCAATTCTTACCTGCTGCTGTTACAGTCTTTCAACAATAAACTGTTTGCAACTTCTGGTTTTCTCCAGAGTCTTCAAATCATTGTTTTAAATAAATGTTTTGTCCAGTTTTTATCATTGTTATCTGCATAAAAGTTCACCTGACCACTTTATAATGCCATTAGTAGAAACTTAACCCTTGATTTTTAGCCTTTGGCTTTACAATCATATATTGCAATTGTTTCTTATATGTGTTCTCTCCACAGATTGGTCAGGCCATTCTCTCTATAGGGATTGGGAATGATATTTTTATTTGTATGTGCCTCAAATGCCCAATTTTATTGCACATACATTTATTTAATATTTGCTTGACTTGAATACAAAGGTAAATATTTGCTTGACTTGAATACAAAGGTAAATAAAACTTGGCATTAAGGACTTGTCTAATGTGGGAAAATGATAAACAATGGAGTATGTATAATGAATTATTGTTGTTATGCCAGAAGTGGTTAGAGGGTACCATGGATCACAGTGAATATAAGGGTCAAGACTCTCAGAGAGGTCAGACAAAGTCTTTACAGAATTAGCAATCCAGTACTCAGGAGGCTGAGAGGAGAGGATCACTTGAGCCCAAGAGTTCAGGTCCAGCCTGGGCAACATAGTGAGAACCCCGTCAATAAAAAAAACAAAAGTAGGTTAAATAAACCAACAAATAAAAGGAAAGTGTAATACTTGAGAGCTGAGTCTTGAAAGATGATTAGCTGTTGGCCCACCTTTATGAGGTTTTGGTGAAATTCCTTATCATACATTTTTCTATAAATTAAGTAGCCATTCTCAAAGTTTGTATTGCAGAATAAATCATAGTGAATTGAAAGGAAATAATTATGTATTAAAAACTATAATATGGCAAACATTATGCTATAGAGATTTTACATATTTCATTTTAGTTATCATCTCAATAACTGTGAAATATTATTAGCCCTATTGTAGAGATAAGAAAAAAATAATTTTCAATTTGCCCAGTGTCAAGCAATTAACAAGTTATGTACATTCCTTCACCAAGTATTTTTTAAGCACTTGTTACATGCCAGACAGACATTATTGTTGGTGTCGGGTATACAAAAATAAACAACATAAAGTCCTTGGCCTTATGGAATTTACATTCTAATGCAGAAAGTCAATTTACAAACTAATAAACACATAAATATATGATGCTTTCCTTGGGAATAAGTGCTACAGAGAAAAATAAAAAAGGCAAGGAGGTGATATGTTACTAGATATAGAGGATGATCAGAAAAGTCTTCTTAAAGAGACGTTTGAGCCAAGATCTGGAAGAAGTAAAGAAGGATGCCATGAAAATACCTGGGGGAACAGCATTCAGAAGGCAAAGAGGACAGCACATGCAAAAGTGCATTCGTTGGTGTGTTTGAGGAATATGAAGGCAGCCAGTGGGGCTGCTGTGGAATGCGAGATGGGGAAATGGTAGGGGACGAAGTGAGATAAGTAGGTGGGCCCAGCTCATGCAGGGCTTTGTAGGCCAATGAACTTTTGAATGGATGAAATGAATGAAGCAGGAAATCACTGGAGGCTTTTGAGCATTAGAGAGGCATATTATGTCCTATATTTTAGAAGGATCACTCTGGTATGGGAAATAAACTATGGGGGCAAGAGTGGAAGCACACAGACCAGCTAGGAGATTATTAAAATTGTTCAAGTAGGAGATTGGACCAGCATTGCAGCCAGTGAAGCTGGAGAGAAGAATTTGGATTCTGGACTTATTCTGTGTGTAGAGTTGACAATATTCCCAATGAATTGGAACTATCTTTTGAAAAAGAGTTGACAATATTCCCAATGAATTGGAACTATCTTTTGAAAGAGGAGCCAAACTCAGGTCAATCTAATTTCTGAACTCACACTTCCTCTAAGTGCAGGAAAAAAAAAGTCTATTTAAAGAAGAAAAGCAGTGGAAAAAACTCATGGTCACTGGCAAATCCAAATTATTTTAATCACCCAAAATGTCTTCAAACTAAGTTGCTCAGTGTGTCAACCTGAAGCACATTCAGTGTTATGAAAACGGATAATACACAGAGTGTATGCAATTTGTGAATACTTTAGAATTCTGTGCATATAAAAATACTTTACTCAAGTTTGAAAAATAACTAAAAGTAAAATGAGAATCATGACAATCCTGTGAAGTATGAGATGAACAACTATTAGTCCTACCATTCCATGAGTTATAAAGTCACAATAAATATATGGCCCCTTTGGTCAAATCCAATTAATCAAGCACTAGGATCAGGGTATATGGATTCTAATTCTAGAGCAGAGATACTCTTTGATCAATTGCTGACTCACGCTCAAGGTTGCCTGCCTTTTTAGCCTATTTTTAATTAAAGGTATCAAATATTTGATACCATACGCATGACAAGCATTTTGAAACAGCAATAGATGGTATAAGAAGATCCTACACAATGTTAAATTTAGAAGTGTCCACCAAAGGATAGCTCACTGAAGTACAAAGAGCTTGGAAGAACCAATTTCTAAGTCTTTATGTTCTATATCAGTTACCCTAAGTATTTTGAAATATCTATAGTTTTTTTTTTTTTTTTTGAGATGGAGTCTTGCTCTGATGCCCAGGCTGGAGTGCAGTGGTGTGACCTTGGCTCACTGCACCCTCCACCTCCCGGGCTCAAGTGAGTCTCCTGCCTCAACCTCCTGAGTAGCTGGGACTACAGGCATGTGCCACCATGCCTGACTAATTTTTTGTAGTTTTAGTAGAGATGAGGTCTCACCATGTTGGCCAGGCTGGTATTGACCTCAGGTGATCTGCCTGGCTTGGCCTCCAAAAGTGCTGGGATTACAGGCATGTGCCACCATGCCTGGCCATCGAAACATCTATAATTGTGTAGATTTCCTTACTGCTTACTCTGCAATGGCAAAATCTGTTTAAATATTTCTTTGGTGGGGGGTTTCTTTGGTGGGGGGTGTTTAGAAATGCACACAGAAAGAACATTTGCAAACACATTTGAACAAAGCTTGTTTGGAGACTAATTTTTACTTCTATGATGTTGAGCACATAAAATGACAATTATATTATTTCCTCTAAAATAAAAAAAAAAAAAGTTTAGGCATGAGGTGGCCATAGAATTTATCTGTACTGAAGCAATTGGGTTGTATGGATTCTTATATTACATGGTAAATATTTTGCATTTGTCCAGAGTAAGCCTCAGTAATTAGGCCATAATCGTAATTTGTCACTCTTAAAGACTACAACTGTGTGTATTTGCAAAGGTTAATGACAATTCGATTTTTCAATAATTCTGGGAGCATTGTTTACCAAACTAAGATGGCTAGCAAGACTCTTATCGTTTACTTGATATAAATATATTTTATTAAATACTTAAGACTACATAACTACATAACTTTGTAAAGAAAGCTTTTAACCAAATTTTGGAAATTAAAGGTGAGTTTTTTCTTTCTAAAGCTGTGATTTTAACCTTCATGGTGCCCAGTCATGTGCCATATATTATTTAATATTTAATAAATAGATGTCATGACATCTATACACACATATATTTTAGTATTAAAATCTATATTATTGGTTTTTCCTTAAAACTATTCAGAAGGTAATAAGCAATTCTATTTCTATTTTACAGACAAAGGTATGAATATTTAAATGTGTAATAGGCTAAATCACATGAGTAGCAGAATGAGTACCAGAACATGATTCATTAATTTTGTGTTTACAGATCAGTGAGCCCCAGAATATTTTTGTTTCTGGACTGTTCTTTAGTCAGGGTGGATTAAACTACATCTGTATTTGCTGTTGGAGAGATTCCAAATGCACATTTTATATGGTATAAGTTGAAAGTGGAATAAAATGTTACTGGAAAAGATCACCTTTTCCACATAAAATCCAGGCTTTCAAAAGAAGCATAGTCTAGATTCATATAATTCTGGAACATCAGAATAAATAAACCAATCAATAAACTAATAAGGGAAGGAAGGTTTCTTAGTTACTCTTCCAGATTTTACGGCTGGTTGCAGTATCATGTTCATGTTAGTAAATGGCTTTGGGAAGCCTATTAGCCAGCAGAAATGTGAACTAAAGATTATACTCAGTGGAATAACAGTAGTTAGCATTAACCAGATAGCAAATTTCAATAAAATCATTTCAAATTGGAGAGAATAATCCCATTTGGAAACTTCTGTTACCTGTTCAAACAACAATGGTATTGAACATGTTTTTTTTTTTTTTTTTGAGATGGAGTCTTGCACTAGAGTTAGGCCAGGCGCAGTGGCTCACACCTGTAATCTCAGCACTTTGGGAGGCTGAGGGGGTGGAGCCCGGGCTGGAGTGCAGTGGTGTGATCTCAGCTCACTGCAACCTTTGCCTCCTGGGTTCAAGCGATTCTCCTGCCTCAGACTCCCAAGTAGCTGGGATTACAAGCACCTGCCACCAGGCCTGGCTAATTTTTTGTGATTTTAGTAGAAATGGGGCTTCACTATGCTTTCCAGGCTGGTCTTGAACCCCTGACCTCGTGATTCTCCTGCCTCGGCCTCCCAAAGTGCTGGGATTACAGGCGTGAGCCACCACGCCTGGCCTGAACATCTATTTTATGTCCACCAGTGGTATAGGGTGATGAGATATGAGAGAGAAAATTAAGAGTTTTTTGCCTTCAAAGAATTTATAATCTAGTTCTTCCTGACTGTTTCATTTCAGGGTGGCCAATACAAGCTTTAGATGCTTCTTGATACCTTTATTTAAAGAACCAAATTTTGTCAGAATCACTCAACTCATCAGGCACCGTGGCTGACACCTATAATCCCAACACTTTGGAAGGCTGAAGTCGGAGGATCAATTGAACCCAGGAGTTCAAGACCAGCCTGGACAATATAGCAAGACCCTGTCTCCACAAAAGAATTAAAAAACTAGCTGGGCTTGGTGGCATGCACCTGTAGTCCCAGCTACATGGGAAGCCGAGGTGGGAGGATTGCTTGAGCCCGAGAGGTTAAGGCTGCAGTGGGCCACGATTGTGCCACTACGCTTCAGCCTGGGCAACAGAGTGAGACCCCACCCCCACCCTGCCCCCCTAAAGAAAGAGAAAAAAAATCGCTCATCTCTTTTGGAGGGTACCAAGAAGCAAATGAATGATAGTGAAAATATATAGTGCAAACAGTCCTTATTTTCTTCAGTTGGTGATGATTCAATGACCTGTTAGAAAGATCTCAGTGTAGAAAAGGCCTTGACTAGTCAGGTGATCTTTGTGAACTCCTTCACCCTCAGAAAGGAAAAATAATATTGGTTCTGCCTCCTGGCACTGGCAAGAAACACATGAATGCCTGTGCAAGTGCATATCAAGGACTGCAATGTCATTTATCAACAGATTTCCAAAGCAGCAAAGAGCAAGCATTTAAACCATGCAATTGAATTTTAGGAAAAATGCTCAAAAATAAAATTTGACTAATTATTCAACCTTGTTAGGCATTCTGCCCGATCATCTTTCTTTTTTCCTACACAGCGCAAAACACTTATTTGTGGTATTCATTAGAAGGAAAAAATAATAATTATTGTTATTGTGCCAAATTTTTGGTAAAAATTAGTTAAAAGCTTATCAACCTACTAGATTTTTTTTATCTAGTCTTGCCTTATGGTAATTATGCTGAAATATCAATTGCACAATCATTTATTGTGCAAGGTCAAGGTACAATTCACTGTATTAGACACGGAAAGAAATACATGAATATAAATATTAACCTATTTTTGATGTCCAGATACTTATAACCTAGCAGAGATAACTCTTTTTTTTTTTTTTTTTTTTTTTTTTTTTTTTCTGAGACAGAGTTTTGCTCTTGTCGCCCAGGCTGGAGTGCAGTGACACCATCTTGGCTCACTGCAACCTCCGCCTCCTGAGTTCAAGCAATTCTCCTGCTTCAGCCTCCTGAGTAGCTAGGATTACAGGCACCTGCCACACGCCCAGCTGATTTTTGTATTTTTAGTAGAGACAGTGTTTCGCCGTATTGGCCAGGCTGGTCTTGAACTCCTGTCCTCAGGTGATCCACCCACCTTGGCCTCCCAAAGTGCTGGGATTACAGGCGTGAGCCTATAAATAGGAGATTGTGCTGAAAGTGTTTATAAGATGCAGTTGGACACCTCTCACCCCAGAGCTCCTCCTCTACTCTGTATAGTAGATCAAGTGTAGGCCCAACAAGGACAAAATATTGCAGGTTTATTCAAAAGAGGGTATTGGAAATGGAAGACACTAGGCAACATCGAAGCTAGGGGCTACTCTGCAAAGAACAGTGGAATTAAGTGATTTTTAACATATATTCTAAGAGCAGTCAGCTTGTCTTCCTATCCTTAGTTCCCAGAATGTTTGCTTCCAGCTTCTACTCTCTCTAGGCTGAAGAGTGGAAAAGTCATCTCTGGGGAACCTGATGAGCCAAGAAGACCTAAAGATCCTGATATCAGAGTTCCTTCAAAGAAATGGGCCACGCATATCACCCACCAAGAGCAAAGGACCATCTAAATGTAGTGCATCCAGAAGATGCTCAGAGCTCTCTATTCGCTTTCTAGTCACCTGCTCTTAGGGAATCCAAGGTCATTCAACATCTGAGAGGATCCACTTATGTGAAAGACAGAGAGGGCAACAAGTAGATTAAAACAACATTGAAGGCATGGATACAGGCAGGAGGAGAAAAGGGAAATACTTTCATATCTCTGATGGAGAAGAGAGAATGCTGTATCCATAAAAGTGAACAGTTTGATGATCTATCATCTATCTATCTATCTATCTATCATCATCTATCTCTCTCTCTATCATCTATTTATCTGTCTCTAAAAAGAGTAAGAAAGACATCCTTAATATTCAAATCACGAGAATATATATTAAAAAAATACCCAATAGAAGAGTTGAAGGTCGGGCGTAGTGGCTCACGCTTGTAATTCCAGCACTTCGGGAGGCCGAGGAGGGTGGATCACTTGAGGCCAGGAGTTCGAGACCAGCCTGGCCAACATGGTAAAACCCCATCTCTACAAAAAAAAAAAAATACAAAAATCAGCTGGGCATGGTAGCACATGTGTGTGCAATCCCAGCTACTCGGGAGGCTAAGGTGAGAGGATCACCTGAGCCTGGGAGGTCAAGATTACTAAGCTATGCTTGTGCCACTACACTCCAGCTTGGGTAACAGAGTGAAACTTTGTCTCAAAAAAAAAAAAAAAGAGAGAGAGAGAAAGATAATTATATAAATTGAGGACATCTCTCACAAGGTAGAGTGAAAAGACAATGAGAAGGATAATTACATAGAGAAAAGATTTAGAGGACTAAAGGACCAGTGCAAGAAGTTCAATATCTGCATAACAGGTATTTCAGATGGTAAAAGGAATCTGAGGATTTTTTTTAAGAAGAAGAAAAAAATTCATAAAAGGAGATAAGAGAAAATGGATAGAAGAAAATAATCAAATAAGTAAATCAAGAACATTTGTCGGAACTGAAGGATATGAATTTCTACATTAAAAGGGGACTACCAAGGGCCCCAAGCAGTAATTCTAATTGTTTCAGTGGAATTTTAAAAATTGCTTTTATAGAGACAGGGTCTCACTATGTTGTCCAGGCTGGTCTTGAACTTATGGGCTGAAATGATCCTCCCACCCTGTCCTCCCAAAGTGCTGGGATTATAGGCACAAGTCACCATGTCTGGCCTCAGTGGGATTTTTTTTTTTTTTGAGGTTGGGAGAGAGTTTTTTGGTCATATTTTCTTTTCTTGTTTGAGACAGGGTCTCACTTTGTTGCCCAGGCTGGAGTGCAGTGGTGCAATCATGGTTCACTGCAGCCTTGACCTCCCAGGCTCAAGAAATCCTTCTGCTTCAGCCTCCCAAGTAGCTGGGACTACAGGCATGCACCACCACACCTGGCTAATTAAAAAAAAATTTTTTTTTTGTAGAGACAGATTTCACTATGCTGCCCAGGCTACTTTTGACCTCTTGGGCTCAAGTGATCCTCCTGCCTTAGCCCCCTAAAGTGTTCGGATTACAGGCATGAGCCACCATGACCTGCCATGTCTTAACTTCTAAATAATATGCTTATATAGCTGCTTTGTGAGTTTTCAGCTTTAGATGTCATCTATTGTGTTAGTCCGTTTTCACATTGCTATAAAGAACTCCCCTGAGACTGGGTGATTTACAAAGGAAAAGTTTCAATTGACTCACAGTTCCACATGGCTGGAGAGACCTCAGGAAACACAATCATGGTGGAAGGGAAAGCAGGCATCTTCTTCACAAGTTGGCAGGAAAGAGAAGAGTGAGGAGGAACTTCCAAACACTTAAAAACCATAGATATTGTGAGAATTCACTCACTATCACTGGAACAGCATGGGGGAAACTGCCCCCAGGATCTAATCACCTCCCTCCCTCAACACGTGGGGATTACAATTGGAAATGAGATTGGATGGGGACACAGAGCCAAACCATATCATCTATTGACTTCCTATTTTAGGATGAGCATTATTTACTCATTACTTTCTTCCTATGTATCTATTCTTCTCTTCTTACCATTCACCTCGTATAATTATGTTTTAATTTTGGCTAAACCAGTATTCACAATTTACATTATTATGACTACATAAAAGCTGCTCACAGCTGAGACATGTAGCATTTTATAATTTCTCTTTTTGTTTCCGATATAATCTTTTGCTTTCCTCTAAGTTAATCTTTGTCTTGTTTCTTCATTTGTGAAATTTGAAAGTTTAAGAATCGACCTATTTTCACTCACAATTCAAATACTGTCATTAAGAAATGATCTCCTTCCTTTGATCTGCTCTCCTGTCTTCTGAGCCACTTCATTCTCAGGCAGGCATTCCTAGCAAGCAGGCAAGAAGCAACTTCAAGCTTACACGCTAGCAGTTTAGAAACCTCAGCAGATAAAGGGAGACTTTTCTCAATAGCTCCAGGAAGAAAACCAATCTCTAACCCAAGAGGATGTGCTACTCTTTTCGCTTTTCAGAGTCCCACTCTAGCCAGAGGATGGTGTAGGTTTTATGTCAGCCTTTAGGATTGAGAATGACAGAAGGAGTCTGAGCAAACAAAAAAAGATTGGAAGAATATTATGTATTTTACGTTAGTATCTGTAACTATATTATAGCTCAAACTCAAAAAGGTGTTAGAACTGTACAGGCTAGAAGGGAATAAGAGTTCATTTAGTCCATTCTTCTGATTTAATCAGGGTCATAACCAAAGTATTCCAGATTTAACATTCAAATTTTATTGATGTTGACCTCTATAGATGATGCATTTTGGTGGAAGAAACTCTATATAATTCAATTTTTCAAGTTTAAAATGGCCCAGGGGGCTGGGCATGGTGGCTCACACCTGTAATCCCAGCACTTTGGGAGGCAGAGGCAGGAGAATTGCTTGAGCTCGGGAGTTTGAGACCAGCCTGGGCAACATAACACGACTCTGTCTTTACCAAAAAAAAAAAAAAAAGGCCTAGAGGATAATGGCCTAGTATTATGATTTTAGGGCTAATTCAAAAAATTTGTATGGGTGCTCAAAGGGCAGAAATTTATACATAAGTCAAAATTAAGATGATACGAATTTATGGTTTCTATTCTTTTATGGCTGTACTATCTTATCTCTCTGAAGACATAAGCAACTTTAAAAAAGCATCTTTTGGCCCGGCGAGGTGGCTCATGCCTGTGATCCCAGCACTTTGGGAGGCCGAGGCGGGCAGATCACTTGAGGTCAGGAGTTCGAGATTAGCCTAGCCAACATGGTAAAACCCTGTCTCTACTAAAAATAAAAAAAGTAGCCAGCATGGTGGTGCGCACCTGTAGTCCCAGCTACTTGGGAAGCTGTGGTGGGAGGATCACTTGAGCCAAGGAGTTTGAAGTTACAGTGAGCCATGATCATGCCTTGCACTTTAGGCTAGGTGATAGAGTGAGACCCTGTCTCAAAAAAAAAATTACAGTATATATTAAGTATAATAAAAGTACAGAGAATAACATAAGAAACATGCGTGTACCCATCATTTAACCTTTTGACATATTTGGTAACTTTTTTTTAAATTACTTTTAAATTATGTTATAGACATTTTTTTCCTCTTTTTTTTTTTTTTTTTTTGAAAAGGAGTCTCACTCTGTTTCTCTGTCTCCTAGGCTGGAGTGCAGTGGCGCAGTCTCCACTCACTGCATCACTACAACCTCCACCTCCCAGGTTCAAGCGATTCTCCCGCCTCAACCTCACCAGTAGCTGGGATTACGGGTGCTGACCACCATGCCCAGCTAATTTTTGTATTTTTAGTAGAGACAGGTTTCACCATGTTGGCCAGGCAGTTCTTGAACTCCTGACCTCAAGTGATCCACCTGCCTCGGCCTCCCAGAGTGCTGGGATTACAAGCGTGAGCCACCACGCCCAGCTTATAGACAGTTTTAATAGTGTATAGAACATACCTATAATAGCTTAAGGAATAAGATGAATGTGCATGTACTCTTTAGCAAACTTTAAAAAATAGAACATTCCTTCTATCTTAGGAGGCTTCTGTGTTTCCCTCTCTAATGGTTGACAGTTTGACTGAATATAGAATTCTAAGTTGGAAATAATTTTACCTCAGAAGTTTTAAAGACATTGTTCCGGTCAGGCGTGGTGGCTCACACCTGTAATCCCAGCACTTTGGGAGCCCGAGGCAGGAGGATTGCTTAAGCTCAGGAGCTCAAAAATCGGCCTGGGCACACAACAAGACTGTCTCTATTAAAAAAAAAAAAAAAAAAAGAAGAAGAAGAAGACATTGTTCCATTATCTTCTGGCTTCCCATTTTGCTGTTCAGGCACCTGATGCCATTTTGATTCCTTTTCCTTTGTATATAATCTACTTTTCCCTTCTATGGAAACTTTTGCCCCCAGGGTTCTGACATTTCACAACGATGTACCTTGGTATGAATTTATTTTTATCAGTGTGCCAAGCACACTCTATGAGTCCTTTCAATCTGGAAATTCATGAGCTTCTGCCCTGCGAATGTTATTAGATTACTTTTTTGATGATTTTTCTCCAGAACATTTTCTATGTTCTCTACTATTATTTCAGGGTAGACATGATGGGTTGATGTCCTAACTTTCTTTCATTTTTCTCTCTTATCTCTTTGCCTTTTTGCTCTACTTTCTGGGAGATTTTCTCAACTTTATCTTCATGCCCTTCCAACTTCTTATTTCTATCATATTTACATATTTATTCTTTCTTTTGTTTTTTGAGACAGGGTCTTGCACTGTTGCCCAGGCTGGAGTGCCATAGTGTGATCTTGGCTCACTGCAGCCTTCTCCTTCCAGGTCAAAAGTGATCCTCCCATCTCAGCCTCCCAAGTAGCTGGGACCACAGGCATGAGCCACCACTCCTGGCTAATTTTTGTATTTTTGGGAGAGATGAGGTTTTACCATGTTGCCCAGGCTGGTCTTGAACTCCTGACCTCAAGTGATCTACCCACTTCCACCTCCCAAAGTACTGCGATTACAGGTGTGAGCCATCATGCCCTGCCCATATTTATAATTTCTAATAGCTCCTTTATTCCTGTCTTTTTAACAAAGTATCCTATTCTTTTATGGCTGTTCTATATTATCTCTCTGAAGATATAAGAAACTTAAAAATTATTTTTCTTCTCTTTGCACGGTCTCCGTTTCCTTGAGAACATTTTTTTTTCTCGTTTCTTTGTTTTGGTTTCTCTTTCACATATTCCTCAGTATTTCATAGTGATCCTTGGCCGCCTGCTCTCACTAAAAATGGAGCATTAAAGAGATCATTTGGGTTGGGCATGGTGGCTCATGCCAACACTTTGGGAGGCTGAGGTGGGTGGATCACTTGAGGCCAGGAGTTCAAGACCAGCCTGGGCAACATGGTAAAACCCCATCTCTACCAAAAATACAAAAATTAGCCAGGTGTAGTGGCTCGTGCCTATTGTCCCAGCTACGAGGGAGGCTGAGGTGGGAGGATCACTTTAGCCCCCAAGGGAGGAGACTGCAGTGAACTGTGATTGTGCCACTGCACTCCAGCCTGTGTGACAGAGTGAAACCCTGTCTCAAAAAAAAAAAAAAAGATAATTTAGAGTTCCATGTCCATGTATGGGACTTACTGACCAGGAGATTTATTATGAGATGTTTTGGCTGCAACATTTTATTCGGGAAGCCCTGACTATAGTATATCTTATATTATATATAACATATATGTTATATATAACATATATAACATATATAATATAAGATCTATGTATATATACCTTATAGTGCCCATAAGTATTTTTATGACACCTGGAAGAGAGTCTTCCATTTTCCTGCCTTGCAGGTAAAAACTGGTGGCTAATGTTTCAGTCAGAAGGCTGGTGGAGAAATGGTAGTGTCTCAATCTTTAGTATGTACCCATTTTATTTAATCTGTTTTCAATATGGTAGCCTGCTCTCACAGTGCCCTGTGCCCTCTGGTCAAGAAATACTGTTCTATTCTTTCTAGGTGATGAACCTTCAGTGTTGTGCTGGAGTAAGAAAATGGCAATCCCTTGACTACAAGGAGTTGCCAGACTCTGGGTATATAACTGCTTCTTAAACATTGACTCAATCTTCCTTCTTAAGGCCCAACTTTATTCCCACTTCCAAAATTACCAGACACGATTACTGGGAGCTGTTTGTGGGTTTGGAGGCATACATTGCATTGCTTTTTTAATTCCTCTACAGTCATTGTAGAGTATGAAGCTTCCTGAATTATGTTGAACCCATTTGGTTTCAGATTCCTATTCAAATTTCTCATCCTTTTTGTCCTTGTAGACAAATCTTCCTTTTCGTTTGTCTTGGTGTTCTGCAGTTTAGCTAGGATGGGTTTAAGTGTAGGTTTTGTTTACCTTGCATTGGGTTTCTTATGTTCCTGAATGTGATGATTTGTGTCTTTTATCAATTCCAGAATATTATCAGCCACTTTTTATTTTTTTATTTTTTTAGAGGAAGTCTAGCTCTGTCACCCAGGCTGGAGTGCAGTGGCTCAATCTCATCTCACTGCAACCTCTGCCTCCTGGGTTCAAGCGATTCTTCTGCCTCAGCCTCCTAAGTAGCTGGAACTAGAGGTGTGCACCACCACGCCTGGCTAATTTTGCGTATTTTTAGTAGAGACGGGGTTTCACCATGTTCGGGGACTGGTCTCGAACTCCTGACCTTGTGATCTGCCCGCCTCAGCTTTCCAAAGTGCTAGGATTACAGGCGTAAGCCACCGTGCCTGGCCAAAAATAACCTCTTTAAACACATTCGACATGCTTATTATCATTTCAGAATCTATGTCTTTGCAGATTTGCTTCTGTTACCATTCTGCTTTCTTTCTGTTTTTGTTTCTCTTGCTCTCCGTGGCTTCTTTTGTTGTTGTTTTGAGATTTTTCCAATCTGTACTCTTGTTCCTTGGAAGTTTATCTGTGAAAGCTCTTTGCGACCTAAATTTAAAACATCTACAAGTTCTTCTATCAGTACCACTTGGAAACACTGCCAACCTAGAACCATTTTAATGTAAATTTTTAGTTTGGGCACTTTGAGCCATACAGAGAGTGTAAATTCTGACCCTAAGTTCAGGTTGAGGGCCACTTGAGGTTACATATTACCGAGAGAGACCTCTCACCCTCATCCATAATTAAGACCAAGGAAAGCAAGTTTCTTTACTATTTTCCTTTTTCTTAGTTGCCTCATTAAAGAGAACAAAATTGTTTCTGGTTGGAGGAGGGTCTCAAATAAGAACTGCAATAGTTAATAGGCCCTCATGTTTATCTTTTTTTTTTTTTTTTTGAGACAGAGTCCCACTCTGTTGCCCAGGCTGGAGTGTAGTGGGGTGATCTCAGCTCACTGTAACCTGTGTCTCCCAGGTTCAAGCAATTCTCCTGCCTCAACCTCCCAAGTAGCTGGGATTACAGGTGCCCACCACCACACCCTGGCTGTTTTTTGTATTTTTAGTAGAGACGGGGTTTCACCATGTTGGCTAGGCTGGTCTTGAACTCCTGATCTGCCCACCTCGGCCTCCCAAAATGCTGGGATTACAGATGTGAGCCACCACACCTGGCCTATCTTTTATCATTTGTACTAAACCATTAAGTCTGAAGCTTTAGACCCCCTAGAATTTGTAGATTTCAATCCGCTGCATCCCATCTCCACTCCAGGCAGTGGGGATATGGTAAGCTATCTCAATGGCGTACACAGCAACGTTTAGTTCTTGTTCACATCACAGTTCTTTATGGAATAGTCAGGTCTTCCCAGAGATTCTCTTCCAAGCGGTGGTCTTGTATTTTGTGTGCTTACGTTGCAGAGCTCCAGTACCTGGAACATTTGGCTTTCAAAGGCATTACAGAAGTATCTGTAGGAAGAATTGTAGGACTAAGAAGGAAGTTTTCAAGGCAACACTTCTGTTTATGTTTTATTGCCAGATTTTTGCCCCAGTCAAATTTATATGAGGCCAAGAGGCCGTTCATGGTGGTTCATGCCTGTAATCTCAGCACTTTGGGAGATGGAGGCTGGCAGATCACTTGAGGTCAGGAATCCGAGACCAGCCTGGGCAACATGGTGAAACCTCGTCTCTACTAAAATTACAAAAATTAGTAGGGTGTGATGGTGCACACCTGTAGTCCCAGCTACTCAGGAGGCTGAGGCACGAGAATAGCTTGAACCTGGGAGGCGGAGGTTGGAGTGAGCCAAGATTGTGCCACTGCACTCCAGCCTGGGTGACAGAGCGAGGCTCCGTCTCAAAAAAATAAAATAAATAAATAAATAAAATAAAATAAAAATGAATTTATAGGAGGTCAAGAAATATAGTCTTCTTGTGTGCTGAGGAAAAGGAATTGGTGAATACATAGCATTATCTCTGTCACCAAGGAGGGCTCTAGGGACTCTAATGGATTTAGAAAATGTAAATTTGCGAAATGAAATGAAAAAAATGAGTAAGAAATCAGTGAAATAGTTTATAACCCATCTATTGCAGTTGAATTTATAATATGTCAAATCTGATTCAAACCAGGAGAATTGATTCCCAGATTCCTTGAGCATCCTTGCTCCAAGGCTGTTTTATGTTAATGACATGCTGTGAGCTAGTTTGGGAACCAGTATGGTGATGCTTCGAGAATTATCAGGACAGAAATAAGATGAATTTTCTGGACTTACATTTCTGGGAGATATCCACAGATTTTGTTAAGCATTAAAACTCTGACCCCTACTGTTCTTCTATGCTTTTTTCATGAAACCCATTAGCCTAACCCCCAAACATATAGTCCTCTCTCTCACCTTTTAATCTGTACATGTCTTGTTCTCTGTGCTTGGAGTTCTTTATTACTGTTTGCCCTCATGTTAGGCTTGTAATCACCAAAAGTTTATATGTAATCTTTTCTCAGAAGTCTTTTTGGAGTCCCCCAAAAAGAATTGCTTGTGTTTTCTATGTGTTTTCAAATATCGTTGTTGGTTTTACTTATTTATATGGTTGTGGTCTTCATCACACCGCCTTATTCCCTAAAACACAGTTATACTCATAATTAGGGTGTGATCACATTGGAAGTAAAGATTGAGTCTTTTTGTGTTTTTTCTCCATAATCTAGGATAGTTCTAGACACATAGAAGGTGCTCAATAAATGTCTGCGGCTCAGTGATAACTCTAGCTTAACAGAGTTCTCCATGCACATGGTGAAATTATTCAGTTCAGTCTAGCTGAGGGGATTAACTAACTGCATCGTAGCCCCGCTCCATAATCCACATGATTGTGGTCAGATCACTTTAATTATAAGGGAAGAAGACACAATCTCTACCCTTAATAAACTTTATCTCTAGAAAAGAGATATAAAACACACCCAAGTATACACACAGATATACAAAGAAGTTACAATTAAATTTAAATGTACGAGTGCTTGTTAAGCAGAAAGGAGGGAAAGACGGAGTGCACTGGGGGAAAAGAAAACCTATGATGTGAGGTGAACATGCACAGGCAACTGTGGCAGTGTACCCAGCCTGGCTGTCCTCATTCACCCCTCAGCTGCATGCTGACGAAACAGTCACTCTGTCTGTTTGGAAGCTAAAACATTTTTAGCAGGCTTGGAGTGCAGACATGACCACATTTAGCTCCTCAATGCTGCTCCTGATTGACAGTCCCTAAAATGGAAAGCTGGAAATTTGGTCATATATGAGTTTAATATCTCATCAGAAAGAATTTAAAAAGCAAAGTGTATTGACCTTTTTTTTGTTTTGTTTTTGTTTAGTTAATATCATTTTTCTATCATGCAGCTTGAAATAACACGGTGCTAAGCATGGATTTTTCCACCGAATGAGGAAATTCTAATTCTAATTGTTAGTCTCTTTATCAATGACGCCAAGTGGCAAGGAACATCACCATCTTTGGAGACCTAGTGGTGGAGTTAAACTACTACAGGGAAACAACTTTACGTATAGAGGAGTTGAGCTTCCTAGAGGAAAAGGTACATCTGTTTTTTGTTTCTCTTCCTTTTTCCTGATACAACTTAGCAGAGCAGCACAAGTTTGTAGGTGTGGAACCACCACTTTACCCAACACATGCCCCAGAAAATTACCCAATTCCTGTCTATTCTGCTTCCCTTGGCACCCCTTTTCACCTCCCATTCCAATCCTGTCAGTCTCAATCAACTTTTACTGCTGACGTATGGGCCCGGCTGCTGAATGCCTTGACTAGAATCCTGAAGAGTAATCACATCTGTTGTTACAGTTGTAGTGGTGGTGGTGATAGTGGTGGTATGTGTATGTGGCTTAGGTGGGGGACAAGGAATGTTACATGACAGCTTGTTTCCACTCCATGTTCTTCAACAGTAACTATACATCAGAATTTAGTATCTGGAGATTAAAAACAACAACAGCAACAACAGCAACAAAAACTAAGTAATAGAGATGTTCATTTCCAGTAGTGACAAACTAGTAATTCAGACCAAACCTCCTACTGAGTTTTAATAGAAAAGATGGGGGAAAATCCATTTGAAGGTATCTGAAAGCTAAAGAAGTAGGGCATAATTAGTTCACGATTTGGAAAAAATAAAAATCAAGAGACCTTGTGCCTTATGATTGAGGCTGCTTTTCTCCTAGAGACATTTGAAAATTCCAGAAAAGGTATCTGGGGTATAAAAGTCCTTCCCAAGTGGAAGCTTATCAAACTCTTTGCACATAAGGTTGTAACTCCAAAGAACTATAGCCAGGAATAAGGGTGAAGTAGAAGCCAACTGGCTCTCTCAAAGACTGTAGCCCAGTTCCAAATTACTTTTATCACTGAAATTATCTTAAGTGTTTCCAGATTGCTAGAGGTCCCAAATGTCCCAAATGCAAACTTTTTCCTGGGTAAAGTTGACATTATGCTAGACCTCAAATTATGTCAACATATAATTTTTAAAACACAAGTTCTGATGCACAATAGAAAATAACCAAGACTCTAAGAAGACAGAACTTCATGAAAAATAACTAAAAACAGTCTTGCAAACACTCCAAAAATTAGGGTCCTCAAACATTGATTTTAAAAGCTATGCTTTCTTACATTCATAGAGATAAAAGACAAGATTTGGAATTATAGCTGAGAGCTAAAAATATTAAACCATGGTAAACTGAAAAGGGATCAAATAGAAAAGCTAGAATTTGCAAATGCAGTAACTAAAATTAAGAACAAAATATATGGATTTAACAGCAGATTAAACACAATTGAAGAGAGAATCTGTGATCTGAATGGTAGGACAGAAGAAAATATGCAGAAAATCATAAATCACAATTAATGGCAGACAAAAAAAAGAGAGAAATGATGAGATTACAGTGAGAAAATATGATATACATGTGGAATCCAAGAAGTAGAGGAGAGTGAAATAGGACAGAAACAATATTTGAGAAAATAATGGCTAAGGATCTTCCAAAGTTGATAAAGAACAATAAGCCTATATTCAATAATTCCTAAGGATAAATAAAAAGAAATTCATACCTAGGCTCATCATTGTAAAACTGATGTAAATAACAATAATAAGGTAAATTTTAAAAGCAGCCAGAAGAGAAAAGACAGATTACTTTCAAGGAAAACAATTTGACATAGTACTTTTCAAAAGAAATAATGAAAGCCAGAAAACAATGGGATGATATTTCCAAAGAACCCAAAGAAGATAACCTATAGTTTATACACAGGGAAAATATCCTCCAATAATGAAGATGAAATAATGACATTTGTTTTTTAAGCAAAAACTGATATAATTGATCTCTAGCAGACCTACAATAAAGAAAATACTTCTTTTGGCAGAAGGAAAATCATTCCTAATGGAAGATCAACTATTCAAGAAAGAAAGAAGAGCAATGAGAAAGGTAA
This sequence comes from Homo sapiens, assembly GCF_000001405.40. Taxonomy (NCBI): domain Eukaryota; kingdom Metazoa; phylum Chordata; class Mammalia; order Primates; family Hominidae; genus Homo; species Homo sapiens. Next base: position 91,242,936 of record NC_000005.10, on the reverse strand, counting down.
ATATGCGGGCGTACCTAAATGGAAGTTGACTAAATATACTAATCATCGTATCTTGTGTAATTTAAATATTATTGGAAGACAATTCTTTATAGGCCTCCCTGCATGATTTGTGAGCAAAGGCACTAAAAGTTTTGTTTCAGACTATTTTTAATGAATGTTTGTACAGCAAGGAGCTTTGGGGTAGAGATAGTGTCTCTCTCCAAAGCACAGTAAGTTTGTCTGCTCAGGATTTCTCAGTTATGATGCAAATGCACTATGTGCCTAGTATCTACCTGGACCACTCCGTGTCACCCCAATGGGCTTTTCGGGGGGGTGAGGAGAATTGACACAAACACAAAGCTTACACTTCTTCCTGTGCCATGAGTAATAATGTCCTTTATCTTTGACTCAGGAATGTTGTAGCTTCTGCCTGCATCCCTGAAATTATGGCAGGCTAACTTGCTAGCTTGCAAGTAGAGTAAAATCTCATATCTTTCATAGTTCTTGACAAATATGCATGTAGAATTAAAATAAACAACACTACCATGTAAGCATATATATTACATTCAAGTGGGGTTTATTAAAGAAATGTAAATTGACTTAACTTTTGAAAATTAACCAATGTAATTCATCACACTTGCAGAATAAAAGAGAAAAATGATTTGATCATCTTAAAAGATGCAGAAATATCTTTTAATAATTTCAATACTCATACATGATTTAAATTCAACTTCTAGCAAATTAGAAATAGATAGACACCAGGTGTGCTATCTATCTAATCCCAGCACTTTGGGAGGCTGAGGCAGGTGGGTTGCTTGAGCTCAAGAGTTCAAGATCAGCCTGGGTAACATGGTGAAACCCCATCTCTACCAAAAATACAAAAAATTAGCTGAGCATGGTGGCATGCACCTATGGTCTCAGCTACTTAGGAGGCTGAGGTAGGAGGATCACTTGAGCCTAGGAGGTGGAGGTTACAGTGAGCTGAGATCGCACCACTGTACTCCAACCTGGGTGACAGAGATGACGCCATCTCAAAAAAAAGAAAGAAAAAGAAATGGATAAGAACTTTCCTAATCTGCAAAAGGCATCTAGACCCAGAGCAAGCATCAGTTGTATTTACACATCAGCAGCATTTATAAAATACAAGTTTGAAAATATAAAATTCACAACATCATAAAAATTTAAAATGCCTAGAGCCAATCAAGATGTGCAAGGTCTTTTTATTTATTTATTTATTTTTGAGATGGAGTCTTGCTCTGTTGTCCAGGCTGGAGTGCTGTGACGTCATCTCGGCTTACTGCAGCCTCTGCCTCCTGGGTTCAAGTGATTCTCCTGTCTCAGCTTCCCGAGTAGCTGGGACTACAGGCACACACCACCACACCTGGCTAACATTTGTATTTTTAGTGGAGACAGTGTTTCACCATGTTGGTCAGGCTGGTCTTGAATTCCTGACCTCAAGTGATTCATCCACCTCGGCCTCCCAAAGTGCTGGGATTACAGGCCTGAACCACTGCACCTGGCCATGTGCAAGATCCTTATGCATAAATATATAAAATATTATTGAGAGAAGTTTTTATAGGCCTAAATCAACAGAGAGATATGTCATGTTCATGAACCGGAAGACTCAACACTATAAAAATATCATTTTCTCCAAGCTGATTTCTAGACTTCATAAAATCCTAATCGAAATCCCAAAACAGCTTGCATGCATGTGTCTGTGTGCATGTATAACTAAACAAGTTATATGTCGTCGAAGGCCACTATCCACTATCTACTCTCTCTCTGGCTTATACAGGGACTACGATAGGAAAGTCACAGCGTATCTGTGTAATGGCAAAAAAATTGTTTGTTCATATAATTTCATGTGTAATTGATAAGTATGAGATGGACTTAATGTATTGTATAATATTTTGGAGGTTTAAAATGTTGCTATTTCTAAACCTAGTTTACCAGGATTGTTAAAACTCTTATTGTTGGGGATTTTGTGTAAAATTTAAAAATAGTTTATTTTGTGTTATAATCAAGAAAAACACAATTTTCTCCTTTGACAAAAAAAAAACCCAAAGTCATTATAGTTACATATTGCTATGTCTATAAAACTTTTATATTAATCACATGCTGGCCAGCTGATCGAAAGCTAGCCGGTATTTCTGTACAGGAATGCCAAGAATAAAATTTCATAAGGCCTTTACTTCTCAATGAAAAATAATAGTCAATTTAGAATATATATTGGGGAATTTACATATTAGGACTTTTTAATTCAAATAAAATTTTAGTTTTTTCCTTTGAGGTAGAAAATTATCATCATTATTAACACTATTAACTGTACCTTGGCAGTTGTCTTGTTTATCAATTAGATTCCAGAGCTAAATATCTTATGTCCAATCTCCTCAACTACAACCCCAAAAGCTGCCTTAAACAGTTAAATAAAAATTTTTCACAGACCAAATTCTATATGACTTGTAGTGGGATGTGAAGAGGTATGTTATATCAATGGTGTGCTGGCGCGTCTGTAAACTGATTAATGAGAACCAGTCATGAGTGTGTCTTTCCAACTCCACATTTAGTGACGTCATATTGATAGTTTGAAATCAGGCGTGGTAGACAGGAGTAGTTATACCACAGAAATGGGTGAACACAATAAATCAGGGTTTGTTGTTGTTCTTGTTGTTTTACCCTGGAGAGCTGTCTGTTAAACATTACCAGCACACCATTATGTTAGGTGAAGAAAAAAAGAAAAGGAAACATGGAAGTGGTTTTAGTTATAGAAAGGCCATGAAATTTGAAAATGGAGTTCAGAATGACTTGTCAGATTCAGAATTGGAAAATATTAGTCAAAGTTTCATTTATTTATATATGTATTTCTTTAGAGACAGTCTCGCTCTGTCCCCCAGGCTGCAGTGCAGTGGTGCCATCTCAGCTCACTGAAACCTCTGCCTCCCGGGCTTAAGTGATTCTCCTGCCTCAGTCTCCTGAATAGCTGGGACCATAGGTGTATGTCAACATGCCCAGCTAATTTTTGTATTTTTTGTAGAGATGGGGTTTCGCCATGTTGGTCAGGTTGGTCTCGAACTCCTGACCTCAAGTGATCTGCCCACCTCGGCCTCCTAAAATGCTGGGATTACAAGAGTGAGCCACCATGCCTGGCCGTGTGATCCTATTTTTGATCAAACATTTGAAACCTTTATTTTTACAGACTTCCCCAAATCAAATTCTCAATTTAAGTCTTTTTAACCTTGAACTAACTTTGAGATGTTCCACAGGGTTCCAGAACTTCTCAAATGATCTATTAAATAAGTATTAAACTGAAGTAGGCTTATTTGATATGTTAAATTATATAAGAAATATTGTCAAATAAGAAATGTTTAACCTTCTTTGAGTTATATTTGTATGGACATATTATTAATATGTGCTCCAAAATCGTATGAGATTTCAAAAATTATGATGTTATCAGTAATAATTTTGGTTATTATGTTCCAGTGTTGTACACCACAGAGAAAACCAAATTTCCTTATCAAGTGGGTCACTATGGACGCTCATCAGATTTTGAACCATGGCCATTTTATGTCTTGTTGCCTGCAGTTAATTGCTTTATTCGGATGCTTTTCTGAAAGCCTTTTGCAATCTTAAAGCATTGTATCTTCAAGGAGGTTCATGAAGAGAATGGAACGAATTCTGACAAGTACAGGTTTCTGATAACTGAGATATTATTAAACTGGGTAGGAATTTCTAAAACTCAAGTGAAAAAACTGATGGGGTTGGGTGTGGTGGCTCACACCTGTAATCCCAGCACTTTGGGAGGCTAAGGTGGGCCGATCACTTGAGGTCAGGAGTTCATGACCAGCTTGGATGGACAATATGGCGAAACCCCGTCTCCACTGAAAAAATACAAAAATTAGGCTGGTGTGGTAGCGCTGTAATCCCAGCTACTTGGGGAGTTGAGGCACAAGAATTGCTTGAACTCAGGAGGCAGAGGTTGCAGTAAGCCGAGATAGCACCACTGCACTCCAACCTGGGCAACAGAGAGACACTCTGTCTCAAAACAACAAAAACAACAATAACAACAAAACTGATGCGTTTGTGAAGCTGCTAACTAAGATTAAATAGAGCAAAAATTAATCACATTAGACTGAATGAACTGATGAAGAAAACGTATGAGGTTTCATGGCTTTTAAAAATTTGAGCCAATGCTGGTTCTTTTCATGTCTTGTTTTTCAAATTTAAGGAATTTCTTTTTCTTTTCAGCTATGTACAGCTTACAGCAATTTGATAAAGTATTCTTTTGTACATAAAAATGGAAACATTTGCTTTTCTTCCCTACTTGATCTCTCCAAAATTCAGAAACTATTAGTGAGTATTCTTATTTTTATGTTAAATATGAGTATTTACATAAGTTCAATAAGAATTTAACTGTATCCTTTAACAAGGTACAGTTGAAATATTGAATATATTACTGAGGCTTTGACTGGAATGTCATATTTGAAAATGAGCATAGAATGCCTGGCTTCAGGAGTTCCCAACCCTTCAGAGAGTGAATAAACAGTTATCACTTCTTGGCAGGCCAGAGAACTTCAAGATATTACATACTGTAGGCAAAGTCTGATATCTGCCTTGGTTTGACATCCTAGCATGAAGAGGTTTTTAAAAGTCCAATTTGAGTTTCCTTGTGAAAATTTACAGTAAAGCAAATTTAAAAGGAGTGAGCTTATGTGGCTATTCTTGCTGCACTTATGTAAATATCAGGCCAAGTTTGAGGCTAAACTTATTTTACAATCATATTGGTCTTACCATGATTATCTTTAATAAAAATGGGGGTAACTGTAGAGAGAAAAATTATGTTTCAGAAGAAAAGTACAGTACATCTGTTATTTGCTTGTAGCCCTATTTATTGCCTTTGAATTTTTATGATCTATCTGTAAACTGGATTCCAAATTCTTTCTAGTTTTCTCTAATATCTGGGTACAACTCTTCAACAAAGAATGAGAACTGCTCTGTTCCTGAAACCCTATAGCCAAAGTTTGACAATTCAATATACATTCCAAGGGACAAGTCTCATGCCTGATGTTTGAGCCACACAGATAGTTTGTGAGAATGTCTGATGCCACAACTGAAGATATTCAAACTGCAAATTAGGATAAGTCTCTGACTTCATGCTGTGGATAGCTTTTCACAAAACCAGAGGAATAAGACTCCATACCATAGTAAGACTCTTACCCTTCTTATTTTTCTTTAACAATTTTTTTCTTTTATATTTTGTAAAGATGGGGCCTCACCATGTTGCCCAGGCTGGTCTGAAATGCCTGAGCTCAGACAACTCTTACCCTTCTTAATTTTTGGTTATTTATGCTTATCTCTTCCACTTGACAGGATAATGCTGTAGTTAGAATTTCAGTCAGTAGTTTTTGTGAGTAACTTAACAAAGCATTGAATCTGTCACGTCAAATCCATTTTTTTAAAAGAAATGGGGTTTTGCTATGTTGCCCAGGCTGGAGTGCAGTGGCTATTCACAAGCATAATCATGGCACATTACAACCTTGAACTGGGTGCAAGCAATCCTTCCACCTCAGCCTCCTGAGTAGCTGGGAATTTAGGAATGTACCACCATGCCTGGCTCAAACCTAAACCTTTACAGGACTTAAGAGATCTTTGAATGTACCTAACGGGTAACATTAGCAACATTCCTAACACAATGTTTGTTCACATTGTACTAGTGGTCTCTTTTATAGAGTTAGTATTCTCTGCTTTAATTTGACATTTTCCTGTGTTGCTAGATGATAGAATTGCTGCCTACTATTTACTGAACAAGGAGGAATCTGTGCAGTTGACACTTCTTGTTGCACATAGATAAATACATAGGGTATTGTGGAGACAGTTGCAAAAACTTAACGATCAGCCTACTTGGTTAAAATGGGTAGATCCTCATCTGATTCATTCTTTGATCTATTCAATTTTAGGTGGTTCAATTCATCAAGACCCTGGCTTAGGAGCATACTCCAAACTCTTGGTAATATCTTCCTAATAGTCATACAAATAGTCTGCCTGGTGCATTATTTTTTCTTGAAAAGTTTTAACTTTTTGCACACAGCTATCTGTCAAATATCAAATGGTTTTCCTTCAGTGCAAAGAAATGCATTTTCATGAGAACACTGTAACCTACCAATGACATGTTGAGACTGGAAACCCAGAATGATGGTAACTAAGAGTAGTGTTAATACCTTTCGTTTTGATTTAAAATTTTTTTTTTAATTTTTTTTTTTTTTTGAGACGGAATCTCGCTCTTGTTGCCCAGGCTGGAGTGCAGTGGCATGATCTCAGCTCACTGCAGCCTCAGCCTCCCAGGTTCAAGTGTTCCTCCTGCCTCAGCCTCCCAAGTAGCTGAGATTACAGGCACCCGCCACCGTGCCTGGCTACTTTCTTGTATTTTTAGTAGAGATGGAGTTTCACCATGTTGGCCAGTCTGGTCTCTAACTCCTGACATCAGGTGATCTGCCTGTCTTGGCCTCCCAAAGTGCTGGGATTACAGGCATGAGCCACCGCACCTGGCCGATGCCTTTAGTTTTGATCACACTCTCACCTGGGTGAGAACCTCACCAAAAGAGGGAAGTTGTTAAACAAGCATTATAGGAGGCCATTAACTCCTGCACTAGGCCCCAGCAGATTAGACTAAAAACCACAAATGGAGTCACCCACACTCACCAAAATAAAACTGAGTTATTATCTGGTTTTCCAAGAAATCAAGAGGGAAAAATAGCTTAATTTTTCTAACAGGCCTGTTGCAATCTTCAATTGGCATGATAATGAAGTTCCTCTTGTTTTAATCCTTACATTAAGGAGTGATCTGAAGTAAACTGGTGTTAACCAATCAGTTATCTCTTTATTATTCTGTCTCCCTGTCCCTGTCTTACAAGGAAAGCAACTTTGAAATGATCAGTCTCTTTTTGTTCTTTATGTCAGTCTTCTTCAGCTCATTTTCTGTCTCTAAAGCCAACCTCCTCAGTCCAACTCATTGGAACACTTATTCTATTTTATGGGATGGAGTGTTGCCTGATTCTAGAATCACAACTAAGCCATTTGAAATCTTTAAACTTAATTTTTTATAATTTTATCTTCTGACACTACCTACTACTCTGTTCCTAGGCACACAGATCTCATGAAAGTTGTCTGTATGTGATTATCGATTTTTTTATTGCTCTGTCTGGCATATAGATATTATTTCTACCTAGTAGTTTTAGTGGCATTTGTTTCCCATGTAGTTTCTTCAGGAAGTTTATTTCCAGTATGTCCTTCATTTCTCTTCTTCATTGATCTTCCTTTAGCCTTTGTTTGCTCTATGAGAGGAATGTAGACTCTGGAACTAACAAAGGAAATACAAATGTACAAATAGTATTTCCAATACAAGAGTCCATGTGACCTTTAAGAAGAGTCCAAGCTCAATTGGCTGAAAAGTTTTCTGTGAGAAAAGCATTTTCCCAAGGTCAAGAGAGTTCAAAGAACACAGCAAACTTTGTGGAGCATGCCAATTAATTCTGTAGAAGTTGTTTTTGTGCGTGTGCAAAGACATAGGGGCTTGGCTGGTCATTCTGGTCTCCAGATGGTCACAGGATGCAGCCAGTAATGACCATGGAACATCCTGAAACTGATTATTAGTTTAATCAAGCAACACAGTCTCATTTGTTTGCTTGTACGAGAAAGTTTGACAAAAATTTTGACTATGTTCTCTGTCATCCCTACTACTACTCCACGCTAAGTGACTATCTTTTTCTGGCTGGATTATTGTAATGACTTCCTAACTAGTCACCTCTTTAACAATCTTGCTTCTCTGAAATCTATTCACACTGCAGCTGGAGAGGTCATTTTAAAATCTACATTGGATTTTGTCACTCCCAGCTTTAGAAATGTCCTTGGCTTCCCATGGTAGTTAGAATAGCATGGAAAAAGCTATACCATGGCCTGCAAGGTCCTGAATGACTGGGACCCCACCTCCCTTCTCCATTCTTCCACCATCCCTCAAGTTTCCAACAATCTTAGCTGGTTTCATGCCACTGTCCCTTTGGCCTAGTGCTCCACCCAGCCACAGAGCTTCTTGTGGTCCCTCAAAAGCCCAAACTCCTTCTTATCGTAGGGCTTTTCCATGTGCTCTTCTTTCTCCCTAAAACATGCTCCTCCTTCATAATTCAGTGCTACACATACTGTTTGGGGTATCTCTTTAAGGGTGGTAGCAGGCAGCTAGCAATGGTCACTTTTACCTGGCCAGGCTGGGAGTGCTCCATGAAGGAGGTGATTCTCAAGCTTGAAGTTGAGGAAGCATTCATAGGCAGACAAGTGGGACAAAAGTGTAATCTCAGCAGAGGGAACAGACTAGATTAAAATATGGAAGGCAAGAAACCATTGGGATAAAAGTAGTGATGACATTTGTTAAAATAAGGACAACAGACTGAGGAGGAATTTTTGAGAGAAAGATGAACTCTGCTTAGAATCTGTTGAGTTTAATTTATCTGGGACTTCAAGATGGAGAGAAGAATAGGCAATTGGATATGTGGGGAAGGATATGGACTAGTTATCTAAAAGGTAGAGAAGGACATGTAGATCTAAAAGTTACCAGCACAATTTCCCAGGGAAAAATTTTAGAGTAATAAAAAAAGAAACACCAACATTTAAAAAGCAGGCACCAGTAATGAAGACAAGAAATAGTCAGAAAAGTTGATGTCTCTGAAAGCGAGGAGGGGGAGAGTTTCAAGTTGTCCATAGCAAAAACATGGATAATTTAATGTAAGAACTAAAAGGACCTTAAGGGATTTGGCAATAGGAAAGTCGTGGATGAGCTTTGCCAGGGAAATGTGGGAAACTGAGATATAAGGAAAATAGGTGGAGACTGGGGAGAAACTGGAATATTAAGAAATGTAGCTGGAGATTGAAGACCATTCTTCTGCACAGTTTGGCTGTGAAAGAGGAAAGAGGGGGCAGAGGAACAGAGTAGTTCTTGTGAATCCCCGTGAAGTGGGTACACAACTATGAAGTGGATACAGAGTTGAGTTAGAGTGTTTTATTTGTATTTTTTAGATTAGATGAGGCTAATGGTTTTATAGACAGAAGGAAGGTAAGATTGAAATATAATATTTGAGAAAACAATTTATGAAACAAAATATTGCAAGAGAGGGTAGGGACTCTGCTTTTGAAACCAAGAAGAATTTAGTAGAGGAACAAACTCTGAGATGGGTAGAGAAGAGAAAAGAGTCATGGCCTGGTTATACAGCGGTTGACTGCAATTTTCTTCTGTGAGGTAGGAGCTGTGGCCACTGCTAAGAGGCTAGACAATGTGGTAAGTGGCTACCTCATCTCAGCAACTTAGCTGAGATACCTGTTGGTACAAAATCATAGTGGTTTTACATGTCAAGGGTTCATGGCTATGAGGACTGGACCTACATATAAAGTAAAATATTCGAGGCTGTGACCTTTCTGCAGATGTGTGCACACGGTCTGATCTGGTCTCTCCTGGCCCAGCAATAGGGATGCAAGGTCAGAGGAGAAGATTTGAAGGTCAAGGATGTGAAAGTAGCTGCAATAGCAGGTCAGATCCTCTCTGAATGTAAATGTCAGACCCTCACAGTGACTGACTCTCAGGCCTGGATACCACATTTTTCTTTTCAGTAGAGTGATTTAGGAATCAGTCACAGTTCTAGGGACTGTCTGATAATGCTTGCCTGTACCTCATATTTGAGCTAATAAACATTGTCAAATAACTGTTTGAGTGGAGTGAGAACTTTTAGGGTAGGATAATGCATATAATTGTCTATTATCATTATAAAAGGCCATGCTGCACCTGTACTTCTCACTGGGGAATAACAACTAAAACATGTGTTTTTAAAATATGTATCCAATGCATTTAGCATATGTTTATCAGGCATATTTGATTTAAATCAAGAGTTTAGGTGGAGTTAATTCTTCACTTCTTGTATCTGTAAACATTAAATTATCTCTTTCTCCTTGCAGCGGTACTAACACTGTCTTCAGTGTTTTGTAATCTCGGTTTTTGTTATTTTGGCTTTTTTTCTCTTGCCTCTAACTTTTTTGTCTTTGCTTATGTTTTTTCTGCTGAGTTAACAGCATCCCAGGCACAAAGTAAGCACCAGATAAATACCTGCTGATTGACTGACCCAAATCCCAAAGCAGGACGCTTTAGTCACAGGGTCGAATCAGGAAAATGATGTTGCCAATTTAAACCTGTCTTCCTGGTGGCTTCAAGCCACCCATTCATGGCTAAGTAGTGTGTGTGTGAGCAACTGCCTTGCAGCACTGCTCAAAGTGGCCATGCTATTGCTATTAGGACCATAGAGGGTAGAATTTACTAAAGTACAGAAACGTTTAGCTTGGGTTTTCTTTCTCTCTAGTTGCTAATCTTAATTAGACTGTCATCCTAAAAGATCACAGGTACATACCATTTTCATTTTTAAAAAAATACAGCTTCATTATCAGTAGCAAAAATTCTTAGGATGAGGCCCTGGGTTAAAGCTATAAACACATAAAGAAATTGTTCAAGGCAGCTATATTTGAACATCTATTTTTATAGCCCATTAAAAAGAATTTTGTAGGTGTTTCCATTGTAAGTAGTAAGGCGAGGTCTTTCTCTTTTTCACAAAGCCATGCCATCTATTGCTCTGCAGTGTTGTATTTTAAGCAGTGTCCAACTTAAAATGTTATTGATTTTCCTGGAAAGTTTTTATTGTTCTGATTAATTTGTACTTTTAAAACCTTTGCCTGTTGTTTCATGTGCAAAGGTTTTTTGAATTATGGATGAATAATGTCTGAAAGATCATAATTTCCCACAGGAATATGTCTATAATAGAGTGGCACACAAAAGAGAGAAGGTTCTTGTCCTCAGGGAATTTATCTTCCAGTCGGGAAAGATATAAAAAATAAGTAAAATGATAAATAAATAATTTTAAGTTGGGATAGCATTTGTAGAGTAGTCCCCCCTTATCCATGGGGGATAAGTTCCAAGACCCCAGTGGATGCCTGAAACTGCACAGTAATGGATCCTATATACACTGATATGGAATGGCTGTATCCCCAACCAAATATCATCTTGAATTGTAGCTCCCATAATCCCCATGGGTTGTGGGAGGGACCCGGTGGAGATAATTGAATCATGGAGGTTCAACACCATCCTGTTCTAGTGATAGTGAGTTAGTTCTCACGAGATCTGATGGTTTTATCTTTTATTTATTTGTTTATTTATCTATTTTTAGATGGAGTCTCACTCTGTTTCTCAGGCTGGAGGGCAGTGGCACGATCTCAGCTCACTGCAACCTCTGCTTCTTGGGTTCAAGCGAGTCTCCTGCCTCAGCCTCCTGAGTAGCTGGGATTACAGGCACCTGTCACCACGCTCGGCTAATTCTTGCATTTTTAGTAGAGATGTGGTTTCACCATGTTGGCCAGGCTGGTCTCGAACTCCTGACCTCAGGTAAACTGCCTGCCGCCTCAGCCTCCCAAAGTGTTGGGATTACAGGCATGAGTCATCGTGCGCAGCCATGAGATCTGATGGTTTTATAAGGGGCTTCCCCCTTTGCTGGGCACTCATTCTTCTCCTTCTTGTTGCCATGTGAGAAAGGAAATGTTTGCTTCCCTTTCTGCCATGATTGTAAGTTTCTGGAGGCCTCCCCAGTCCTGTGGAACTGTGAGTCAATCAATTTTCCTTATAAATTACCCAGTCTTGTGTATGTCCTTATAGCAGCATGAGAACAAACTAATACAGTAAATTTGTACTGCAGAGTAGGGTGCTGCTACAAAGATACCCAAAAATGTGGAAGCAACTTTCGAACTGGGTAACAGGCAGAGGTTGGAATAGTTTGGAGGGCTCAGAAGAAGACTGGAAGATGTAGGAAAGTTTGGAAATTCCTAGAGACTTTTTGAATGTCTTTGACTAAAATGCTGATAGTGATATGGACAATGAAGTCCAGGATAAGGTGGTCTCAGATGGAGATGGGGAACTTGTTGGGAACTGGAGTAAAGTTACTCTTGCTGTGAAAAGAGACTGAGGCATTTTGCCCCTGCCCTAGAGATCTGTGGAACTGTGAACTTGAGAGAGATGATTTATGATATCTGGCAGAAGAAATTTCTAAGTGGCAAAGCATTCAAGAGGAAGCAGAGCATAAAAGTTTGGAAAATTTGCAGCCTGACAATGCAACAGAAAAGAAAAACTTATTTTCTAGGGAGAAATTCAAGCCCAGGGCAGAAATTTGCATAAGTAATTAGGAGCTGAACGTTAATGGCCAACACACTGGGAAAGTGACTCCAGGGCATGTCAGAGAACTTCACCGCAGCCCCTCCTATCATAGGCCCGCAGGCTTCGGAGGAAAAATGGCCCTCTGGGCCTGGCCCAGTGCCCCCCTGCTGTGTACAGACTAGGGACTTGGTGCCCTGTGCTCTAGCCACTCCAGTCGTGGCTAAAAGAGGCTAGGGAACAGCTCAGGTCATGGCTTCAGAGGGTGCAAGCCCCAAGCCTTGGCAGCTTCCACATGGTGTTGAGTGTGCAGATGCACAGAAGTCAAGAACTGAGGTTTGGGAACCTCCACTTAGATTTCAGAGGATGTATGGAAACACCTGGATGTCCAGGCAGAAGTTTGCTGCAGGGACAGGGCCCTCATAGAGAACCTCTGCTAGGGCAATGTGAAAGGGGAATTGTGGGGATGGAGTCCTCACACAGAGTCCCCACTGGGGCACTGCCTAGTGGAGCTGTGAGAAGAGGGCCACTGTCCTCCAGATCCCAGAATGGTAGATCCGCCAACAGGACAGTTTGCAGAGTGCACCTGGAAAAGCTGCAGGCACTCAACACCAGCCCATGAAAGCAGCTGGGAGGAGGGCTGTACCCTCCAGGGCCACAGGGGCAGAGCTGCGCAAGGTCATGGGAGTCTACTTCTTGCATCAGTGTGACCTGGATGTGAGACATGGAGTCAAAGGAGATCATTTTGGAACTTTAAGGTTTAATGATTGCCCTATTGGATTTTGGACTTGGATGGGGCCTGTAGCCCCTTTGTTTTGGGCAATTTCTCCCATTTGGAATGGGTGTATTTACCCAATGCCTGTACCCTCATTGTATCTAGGAAGTAACTAGCTTACTTTTGAATGTACAGGCTCACAGGTAGAAGGGACTTGTCTCAGATGAGACTTGGGACTTGGACTTTTGGGCTAATGCTGGAATGAGTTAAGACTTTGAGGGACTGTTGGAAGGGCATGATTGTGTTTTGAATTGTGAAGACATGAGATTTCAGAGGGGCAAGGGGCAGAATAATATGGTTTGGCTGTGTCCAAACTCAAATCTCATCTTGAATGTAGTTCCCATAATCCCTATGTGTTGTAGGAGGGACCAGGTGGAGATAGTTAAATCATGGGGGTGGTTTCCCCCATCTTGTTCCCATGACAGTGAATTCGTTCTCACAAGATCTGATGGTTTTATAAGGGGTTTCCCCCTTTGCTAGGCACTCATTCTCCTTCCTGCTGCCATGTGAAGAAGGACATGTTTGCTTTCCCTTCTGACATGATTGTAAATTTCCTGAGCCCTCCCAAGCCCTGTGGAACTGTGAGTCAATTAAACCTCTTTTCTTTATAAAATGTATGTCCTTATAGCAGCATGAGAAAGGACTACTACATACACTATGTTTTTTTCCTATACAGTATCAAGCAGGTAGCATGTATAGTGTGAATATATCAGACAAAGGGATGATTCATGTCCAGATTCATGTCCAGGGCAGGACAGAGCAGGATGGTGCAAGATTTCATCATGCTACTCAGAATGGTGTGTAATTTAAAACTGATTAGTTGTCTATTTTTGGAATTTCCACTTAATATTTTTGGACCACTATTGACTGCAGATAACTGAAACTGGAAAGCAAAACAATGGATAAGGGGGGACTACTGTATTTGCTTTTTCTTCCCCATATGTTTCTGTCAGCCTTACCATTTATAGACTTATTAAATGTATTCTCCATCAAGAAGTACCATACAGTATAACTTCTAATTGAGAAAGTTAAAAATAAGAAAATGGATTAAAGTTGATGGGATTACTGACTTTACCATGTATCTCATGATACATGGTAGCAGTCTGCCTTATAAAACTATAAGATGGGATACCAAATATTCAACTATGATGCCAGCCAGAAGTTAACACGTTGTGCAGTTGGGGTGCTAGCATATGAAATATGGTATGTGGTCTGAAGCTGTGACAATTTTATGGTACCAATGCTTCCATGGCCTGAATGCATGAATTTAGCAATTAAGGGGCAGAACTGGAATGACACCTCTCATAAAATCACATAGTGGCTGAATCACAGAAGCTTGCATCACACTCCAGTCCCCCTGGGCTCTGCTGGTTTAGGGGGTCTTAGAGGCCAAAGGAGGGTTGCTTCCACAGGGTACCAAGTAAACACTGGCTTAATTGCATTGGAAACTGAGTTTGCCACTTTTTCGTTTCCAATTCTAAAACCACAGGATGAAAAGTCAAAAGAAGACTATGATATGACAGAAATGATGATTCTAGCTATAATGGGGAAACAGTGTTGCTATTATGCAATAGGATCAAGAAGGGTGTTGGTAGAAATCCAGCAATCCTCTGGGGTGCTTCTTAATACTGCCATGTCCAGCATCAAAAGTTAAAGGAAATCCACAGCAACCCAGTATGGGAAGAATGATCAAGGGACAGCTTTCTCAGGATCAAGGTATAGGTAAATCCTTGGTTGAGGGGAAAAGAAACTTGAAATTGATAATAGAGGAGTTGAGTCATCAGTGCAAATACAGCACCAAGACGAATTATAGAAATAAGACTGTAACACCTACCCATATTTTCTTTCATGTATATATGTATAAATCTTAACTGTTTTTCCTACCTTGTATCTCCGTTCTATTATTTCTTTATTAATAGTGGCTTTTACAAATTAGTCCATAGTTTACAGAATATTGAGACAATACCATGGCACAATTCCAGAATAATTGGATATCTTCCAGAATGCCTGAATTTTGATCTGGATGAAACTTCAACTGGTCCCTTTTATATGAGGAAGAATAGTTACTTTAAGTTAAGTAGGAACATTTTTTTTTCCTGGAACTTTAAGCATGGGGAGAAGCTTGTAAGTTGGTGTTGAGCTGCCGGAAGTTTGGCTTATAGTGGACATTCGTGATTCATTTTGACTGTATGGCAACCAAGTCCCATTCTATACTCTATTTGAGAATTCCTACTCATGAATCTTGGTGTGGGGCAAAAAGAGTCTATCGCTAATGAGGCTAACAATGCCAGACATTTAACAGCTTCTTTTGAAGACAGTTTATTGTCATGAGACTTAGTTAGGTTCAGAACTGGACTTTAAGGGTTAGTGATGGAAGAAATCAAGAACAGGGGTCTTTTTTCTTGTGACTATGGCAAAGACACCTATTAATATTACTTCCTTATAAACAATAAAGCTAAACTTAGTGTGAAACTTTCAGATTTTATCCTGAAATTGGGCTCTCCAGCCCTGCCAATGTGTTTACAAATTATTCACTATCCTTTTAATAAATTCCTTTCCTGCTTAACTCCAGCTAGAGTTGCTAGAAACCATGATATCAACTACCATAGCATTTGTTGAGGCATTTCCCAATATTTTACTACTGTTATGAATTCCTTTTTAAAAATTCTTTTTAAACAACCCCTTTACAAATATTTATTTTTAAAAGTCAGCCATGGACCTCGTACTTTAAAATATTTTAATATTAAGTAAAATGCATTCGTTAACATTACCACTTCTAGGAGCCCCAGGTTGAGGATCACCAGCATAAGATAAACCAAGCATATATTGTGCAGCAACATCTCATTAATTCAAATGAAATGGGAAAGATTGTCTATATCAATGTGAAATACTCACTTTTAAAACAATGAGGTTTTATTATTTCCAATTACTTACAGCAAGTAACTGCATCTAACTACCATCAAAGCATTACTAGAAATGTTAGAAATCTACTAGAAATAACTAGAAATCTGCCAAGCTAGATATATAGAGTACATGTTAGTATAATCAAGTTTTATTTTGTTGGAAGGGACCTGTATTATTCAGGATTCTTTCTGTTTCAAATAATTTTTAAAAACTGAACTCAAACTGGCTTAAAAATGAAAGGGAATGTCTTGACACACAGAACTTAAAAATCCAGAGGTTAATCTGGCTTCAGACATTATTAGATGTATGGGCTAAAAAAAGAGCCAGGACTCAGTCTCCCTCTCTCCACTGCTTGGCTATAGTTTCCTCTGTATTGGTGTCATTCTCAGGCAAGCCCTACCCGACTTGCTAGCAAGATAGTTGCCAGAAGTTCTGGGCCTACCTCTTACCCTTTCAGCAACCTGTAAAGGAAACGATTTCTTTTTCCCAATAGTTTCCTTAAAAGTCTTAGGACTGCTTCAAATTTTCCGAGCGTGGACCATGTGCCCTTTCTTGGCCAACGAGATAAAAGTCACTGAATGTCTATATAAGGATCAGATGCCCATTTCTGGAAGCTGAGGATGATTTTAGCTCTACCATACCTTGTAGAAATGGGGGAGAGGTGGTTCAACAAAGAACAATGGGATGCTGTTACCAGAAGAAGGAATAAGATGCTGGCCAGGTGAAAAGACCAATTTCACGAGAGAACCTTAAATTACCAGCGCCACCTGGTGCATCAAAACTCCTCTGAAGCCGGGCGCAGTGGTTCACACCTGTAATCTCAGCACTTTGGGTGGTTGAGGCAGGAGCATTGCTTGAGCCCAGGGGTTGGAGACCAGCCTGGGGAACATAGGGAGACCAACCCCTCCCCCTACCCCAACACACCTCTACAGAAGATTTAAAAATTAGCCAGGCATGGTGGTGCACGCCTGTCATCCCAGCTAACTGCAAGGCTGAGATTGGAGGATTGGTTGGGCCTGGGAGGCTGAGGCTGCAGTGAGCTGTGATTGTGCCACTGCACTCCATCCTGGGTGACAGAGTGAGACCCTGTCTCAAAAACAAACAAACAAACAAACAAACAAAATTCCTCTGTAACACTACTGATGGCTACTGAGCTTCTACTTGTATACTTCCCATACTGATATATTTTCTATTCTATTCAGCAACTTATTCTGTTGCCAGTAAGTGTTAAAGTTCTTCCTTATGTGGAATTAAAATTTGCTTCCTTGGATTTTAAAAACATCTATCTGTTTATGCTCTGCTCCGTGGAGTTCAGCACGTGCCCATTCCTACTTAAAAATGACACTCCTTACAGTGTTTGAAGTCAGATTTCATACAAATAATGCACCCCATTTCTCAAATGACTCTTTTTCTCCAGAACCTTTATTATCTTGGACACTTTTCCCCAAGACATTTTCTTGCTCATTGATGTTGCCATAAAATATACTTCTATAAAAGAACATACTTGGAAGATAAATAAAACAAGGAAATGAGAGTACACCATGAAATACAGAAATCATTTTGTTAACTGTGACCCATCTCTCTAAATGCAGCCTGATTTGGTTAGAAGAGCAATCCTTGGATTTGGAAGTAGATAAAATGCAATGTCCTGCTTTCTTTTTCTTTTTTCTTTTTTGTCTTGACTAGAGTGACTGTAGTCTGGTTTACCCAAGACAGTCTCAAATTAT
This sequence comes from Homo sapiens, assembly GCF_000001405.40. Lineage (NCBI taxonomy): Eukaryota > Metazoa > Chordata > Mammalia > Primates > Hominidae > Homo > Homo sapiens. The sequence goes on along the minus strand of NC_000005.10, from coordinate 91,225,331 downwards.
CCATTTTGGGCTAGTGTAATTATTATGGTGTCCCCCTTCTCTTTCAAAACCTTATTTTGGTCACGCTAGTCTTGAACCACTATCTGCATATACTGTTCATAGTTTGAGATAAATCATACCACAAGTTTTGGCTATGTGCCAGAGGTAGCAAAACCTACAACCTGTTCAGTTTTTGGATTTCATCCAGGTCAGATGTGCTGATTGAGTCAAGGAGTTTCCATGCTGGACAAGTATGTACTTTTGGTTGATCAGTGCTAGATAATAATGCTTCAAAACTTTGTCTAGGTAGTCTAATTATTCAGAGGACTGTGTGATATTTGTGACATTGCCAGATGGAGCACGTTCAAGGAGAAAGACAACTATGCAGCCACAAGAAACCCACACTATCACCTTGTGCTTGAGGAAATGGTGTTTTATCATCACGTTGTTAATCGATTGACAATACAATTACTTACAGTTCATTTATGCTGGAATAAATGTAATTACCGATATATTTAGGATTATGTCTATCAGTTTGTTATTTGTTTCCTATTTGTTCAAGCAGTTCTATGTTTCTTTAAAAATGTAAAGAAGACATGTTGATCCACTGATTAATGTTTCAATGGCCTTATTTTCTTGAATAGCTATTGGAGTGTTCAAAATAGAAATAGACCACATTCCAAACATGATGTATCACTATAGTGGTTTCAGAGCAAGGGCAGATTGAGTGAGCTATGTGTAAGGGTACCCAGAAAATTTATCACCAAGAATGAAACAATTTTGAGAGTGAGAGAGGGTGCTATTAATAATTATTCTGGAATGACAGGTGTAAACCAGGACAATTCCAGGCACACAAAGATGTATAGTGACCCTAAACAAACATGTATTTATTGTATAATTAATTGTTTCCTATTAGGGAGCTGTGCACAAGAATTCTGATCATGGAAGCTGGCGATAGGAAACTTGTTGTATTTGCTGTATTAAGTGTGTACCTTAAATAATAAACAAGTTCTATGATTAGGATTTGGTCCAAGCAAATTAAATGTCTAGAATTTACACATCCAGAAATTATACATGTACTGTATCATTTGTAGGCATCAAGATTAGTAAGTATTACATGAATCAGGTCTTAAATAGTTTGGGAAAAGTACAAGTTGTTTTGAGATACCTCAATCCTTCTTCATTCCCATTACTAATCATGAAAACAACACAAATGTTTTTGTTTTCTTCTTGACTTGGGTCACATTCCATTGTGGGGTGATGTAAGAGTTTTAGCCAAGCATAGAATAGTAATGAGCAATTTGGGAGATTCAGTTCTAAAACCTTGCCTAGGGTCACACACAACTAGCACTTAGAATCTAAGAACATGGAACCATTTGACTTGTAAGGTTAATTGTATACCTGTTGACTTTGGGCATATTTTCTAAGGTTAAACTGGAAAAACAAAGAGTCGGCTATGGTCCACTTGTTCAAGAAAAAAAAAATGCAAGCCCATGAGTCTTCTAGTATTTTTCCTATCCCATTGAAATATACAAGCGACCATAGGTTTCCTCTGCAAACAGCTGAGGCCTCTTGACTTCTGCTTCTAAGCCAGTAGTTTCCAGCTTGGATGCACATTAGAATCATCTAGGGGGACCCTAAGAAATCCTGATGTGGCCAGGCACAGTAGCACACGCCTGTAAATCCCAGCACTTTGAAAGGTCGAAGTGGGCAGATCACGAGGTCAAGAGTTTGAGACCATCCTGGCCAACATCGTGAAACGCCTTCTTTACTAAAAATACAAAAATTAGCTGGGTGTGGTGGCGCATGCCTGTAGGCTCAGCTACTCAGGAGGCTGAGGCAGGATAATCTCTTGAACCCGGGAGGCGGAGGTTGCAGTGAGCTGATATTGCGCCACTGCACTCCAGCCTGGCGACCGAGCGAGATTCCGTCTCAAAAAAAAAAAAAAAAAAAGTCCTGATGCATGAGCCATACCTCAGATCAATTAAATTATCATCTCTGGTGGTGGAACCTAGGCATCTGCATTTTTTAAACACTGGAGATAATTCCAATGTGCAGGCAAGGTTGAGAACCATTGTTGTAGTTTCAGCTCCATCCCCAGCTCTGCAACCATTAAGAGCTAATTTGAGGAGTTCTAGTCCAGTGCTGCAAGATGTCTGAAAGATTCAAAATCGAGTTACAAAGCTAGTCTGACTTACCAGTTCCAGTAACTAAATTTTTAAGAGTTACAGGCTAAAGTAAGAAAAAGAAGAATAATTGGATTTGGATTTAGCTAGGCTTTATTTTATTTTTTTTTTGACATCTTTTTTTGAGACAGAGTCTCACTCTATTGCCCAGGCTGGAGTGCAGTGGCATGATCTCAGCTCACTGCAATCTCTGCCTCCCGGGTTCAAGCGGTTCTCCTGCCTCAGCCTCCTGAGTAGCTGGGATTACAGGTGTGTGCCACCACACCTGGCTAATTTTTGTATTTTTAGTAGATATGGGGTTTCACCATGTTGGCCAGGCTGGTCTTGAACTCCTGATCTCAAGTGATCCACTCACCTCTGTCTCCCAAAGTGTTGAAATTACAGGTGTGAGCCACCACACCCGACATAGGTAGGCTTTATTTTTAAACCAGAATCACGAATTTAAATTAGCTGTATGGCCTTCGACAAGTTTACATATTCTCACTGAGCCTCAGCTTTCTGATCTGTAAAATGGACCAATAACATCTGTTGCCAGACTGCTACTATTGCTTTCCTTCTTAATGAAACCGAACCACTGCTTCCGTTTAACCTGGTTTTGGAAGCTCCCACTTCTAAAAACATCTGTATTTCTATCTTGATAACTTTATATTCTAGAACCTGGCCTCTGCCTTGTTGATGTGGATGCCTTCTCAATGACTGTAATCTCCTCTGACACCAATCCAATGGCGGGATTTGGCTATTGGCTGACAGATTTTCCTAATTCTATCTCTCCATGTACATGTACTTTTGCGTGCTGCCACTTCTGGATTTCCCATATTTGGGCTTCTGCCATTTGACCAATGGCTTGTCGAGAACTTCTTTTTTGGATATCACTGATACCTGTTGCCCGTAAGCACACATACTGTGCACCAAGTTCCATCAGCCTGACTAGATTTCCTCCTATCACCTCCAATTGTGCTATCACTCAAGTTCTACCTCAGCCCTAAGTAAAGTATTGTGTTTATTCAATCAATCAATGTTTACTGAGCATTTACCAAGCCCAAGCACTTTGTCTCTGCACACAGAAAATGTATACAGTACAGTGGAGCAAGATAAACAACAAAAGGTATAATAAATACAGTGACAGGGACAATTCTAGCCCTTGACCTTCCCTATATCCTCTTCTCTCATCAAAGATTAACACTTTTATATTGGTTTAGGTCAGAAGATAGGATCATTGTTAAAGACAAATTATTATTTTTATTATTATTATTCTTGTTACTTTGGAGATGGGGGTCTCACCTTGTTCCCCAGGCTGGCCTCAAACTGCTAGGCTCAAGCGATCCTCCCACTTCAGCCTCCTGAGTAGCTGGGATTATAGGTGCAACTGGCTTTTTTTTTTTTTTTTTTTCTTGAGATGGAGTCTCACTCTGTCACCCAGGCTGGAGTGCAGTGGTGCAATCTCAGCTCACTGCAACCTCCGCCTCGTGGGTTCACGTGATTCTCCTGCCTCAGCCTCCCCAGTAGCTGGGATTACAGGCACCCGCCAGCACGCCCAGCTAATTTTTGTATTTTTAGTAGAGACAGGGTTTCACCATGTTGGCCATGCTGGTCTCGAACTCCTGACCTCAAGTGATCCACCCACCTCGGCCTCCCAAAGTGCTGGGATTACAGGCATAAGCCACTGCGCCTGGCCTTGCTGTATTACTTTTAAAACGGTAAAACCCGCAATTCCTTTTGCATTAACCTAATGTGTTGGATACCTGTGTTTTGCTCTACATGATCACTGATTATTAATTTTTTTGATAATTTTTCAAAACTCATTTTTACAGCAAGCACACTGTCAAGTCTATGTTGGGATTATCTTTGTGTACCTAAAGTGAACTCCATGCTTTTCCTCAGGAACAATTTGATTTGCTGTGTGGAGAAAGTGTCCTCTGGCTCTCTAAGAGTTAACTGATCTGGCTCTACCTGATCTATCTGTGAATTTCTATAAATACTTTACAGGTATGTGAACAAACCAGTGTCAGATAGTAAAAGAATTTTGTAGCCATTCCAGCAATCTACTTTACGTGGCAATCAGTGACGATGTTATCTTAGCTGTCTTTTTTTTTTTTGACAGGGTCTCGCTCTGTCACCCTGTCTGAAGTGCAGTGGTGTAATTTCGGCTCACTGCAGCCTCGACCTCCTGGGCTCAAGCAGTCCTCCCACTTCAGCCTTCCTAGTAGCTGGGACTACAGGTGTGCACCACCACACTTGGCTAATTTTTGTATTTTTTGTACAGATGGGGTGTCGCTATGTTGTCCAGGCTGGTCTTTTTTTCTTTCTCTTTCTTTCTTTCTTTCTTTCTTTCTTTCTTTCTTTCTTTCTTTCTTTCTTTCTTTCTTTCTTTCTTTCTTTCTTTTTCTTTCTTTCTTTCTTTCTTTCTGAGACAGAGTCTCACTCTGTCACCCAGGCTGGAGTGCAGTGGCGTAATCTCGGCTCACTACAACCTCTGCCTCCCAGGTTCAAGCGATTCTCCTGCCTCAGCATCCCACGTAGCTGGGATTACAGCCACGCACCACCATGCCCGGCTAATTTTTGTATTTTTAGTAGAGACAGGGTTTTACCACGTTGTCCAGGCTGCTCTCAAACTCCTGACCTCAGGTGATCCACCCACCTTGGCCTCCCAAAGTGCTGGGATTACAGGTGTGAGCCACCGCGCCTGGCTCCAGGCTGGTCTTGAACTCCCAAGCTCAAGTGATCCTCCTGCCTTGGCCTCTCAAAGTGCTAGGATTATAGGCATGAACCTCTGTGTTCAGCCTTAGCTGTCTTTTTACTACCATCCCCAGCCTCTGCTTATCAGTTGTGAGTTTCCTCTGGCCTTTCTAATTCTCTTTCTCCATGTTTTCTGCCAGCTCCTTTATATTACCCACCAGAGGGATGAAAGCGATTGATTCTACCAGAAGCTATTGAGAAATGTATATGGCTTTTAGTAGTGGTGATGATGATGATGATGACGATTGTTTTGGCACTTTCAGAATTCAGAAGCAATTTGCTGCCTCCTGGGCACTCTACTCATGACCAGTTAACTTTAAAGTGGTCCTATTTGCTTTGTGGTGGTCGGGGCTGGCTTAGCAAAAATTACAAAGGAATAAAAAGCTAAATTTAGTAAGTCTATCTCTACTATGTTGTGTCTAATCTTCTTGTGCTGGTTTCCTAGAGTGCCCTCTGCTGGGCCCAACCAGGTCTTCTGATTCCCATGAAACCCATGCCTCAATTGTCATCAAAAGCTTACTATTTTATGTCACATGCCATCAGAATCCTAGCATTTGCTTTCCAGATTGACAATTAACCAAGGTAAACTAATCCATGTTAATGTGTGAATGTGTTTTATTGTATAAATGGGAAAAAACCCAATGCCCCTCTCAGGTCATTTAAGTATACATTTCCGCAATGACTTTATGGACGTACTGCTTCTACTTAGTATCTAACTCTGGTGACTAATGGTGAGAATGGAAGCCAGGAATCTGGGGAAGGCTATGCTCTGAGAAATCAAAGGGGAATATGTTTTCCAACAGACAGAACCTTGTGGCTCCCCTCAAATTACACTGTGTGGGCAGCTGTCTACTCAAGCTATCTGTATGGCCAAGCCCCATGGAGGTAATTTTCACCCTGTCAGCCAGAAAAGAATGAACATCATTGTTTACTTTTAAGTTTTTATGAAGAATGCCTTGAGCTCTTTAGATTGTGTTATCTAAGTCTTAATACTAAGTAAGTATGTGCCATTGTTTTGGGGATTAATTTATCCATAAAGATGTGTATAGGCTGTACAGTCATTGGCTTGACCTCTGCTGCCCTGTGTACTTTCTTGTCTACTGAAATCAGTTGGGCAATTCTTGTCTGTAAGCACGTTTCCCAAGAACTGGTTGGAGCCAGTCTTCATAGGAGGAACCTATTATGAAACCAGCTCCGAGGATATTTACTTTGCTCAAGATCTACTGAATGCTACACTTACTTGAAAATGAAATTGCTTTCTTTTGGCTCTGACCCAACCCCTTGAAAACCAGCGACCCTTGGGATTCAGTTAGAATGAGATAGAAAGGGGAGATGATATGCTGGGCCTGACTGACATTTTTCTGCAAGCTTTTCTTATCGTTTAAACTAGTACTTGCATAGTTGTTGAATGTGTGTGTTTCAAGAAGATCAGCTAAACTGATAACATATTATCAAGTAAATAAGGCACCCAAGATTGGGAACTTGGAGGACATAGCACATATTTTTTGAAGGCCCACCTTTTTTCTTAAAATTTAATGTAAATTTGTATCTTTCTATTTAACATATCCAGGTCTTATTTAAGACAAAAATAACTCATATAGTTGCTTTCCAGTTAAGTTATTTAATCATCCAAATCCTCACTTAAATAAATGCTCCAGTGAGAAACATTGTCTTATGGCTCCTGATCTAAAATTATACCTCCCTGGAAATGTATGTATCCAAATTTGAGAAGCACAAGCTTGGAGAAATAGTGAAGGAGAGAATTTAGTCAGAGAAAATGAGTGTGTACTGATGATCAATCCGTAGGTAAGGAGGACTAGCGTAAGTTTTGTTGTAGATGACTTTCATAGGAGAGTGGCAGTGGCATTTGATGTTGAGACCTAGTACATAGTTGTATTGAGATAAACATGTTAGGATTATCTAGATAGAGCTAGAAATGAAGAGAAAATAAACTCAGAATAGGGACTCATCAAGATGGCTGTGAAAAAGCCAGAAATGTGATAAACACTAATGCAGATTTCTTGGGCTCCTTACAGACTTAATAGGAATTGTGGATGCACAAAGTAAATGGTATGGCATGTAAATAAAGAAGAAAATTCTGCATATTACTTTTGGCATAATAGCAACTTCTCTGTACTTTCTGAAATTCAAAAATAAATATCCTTTTAATCTAGAGAGTGCTATATACTTTTTATAACTAGTGTTTTACATTTATTATCTATAATAAATATCTGTAATAATAATTATTTATAATAAATATTATCTATAATAGTTATTTATAAAATAATATATATTATCTATAATTATATAACATAATTATTTATAGGATTATTATTATAATATTTAATAAATATTATCTATTAATATCATAATTATATCTATAATTATTATTTCAAAAGTTTATTCAAAACTCAGAGTGAGTTTTCCAATACAGTCTTCTTAGCACTGAGATTTTCAAACCAGTCCCTAAGGTGTATTTAACACACAAGGCTTCTGGAATAGGTCTGGAGTAAGGGGCTTAGGTATCCACATTTTTAATGAACACACTTTGATGCAAGCGACCTGGACAACACCGTGAGAAACAGTGTTGTAAGAGGTTGAAAACTCTTGGGATAGGGGCTGGAGACTAAGGACACCACGCAAGAGCCTGGGACAAGGTTGCAAAGGGTTGTAGAACTAAATGAAGCTGCTTGTTTAGTCCGTAATTCCCCTTTCTGCTACTTGGTGTCTCTCCCAACTCCCCAACAAAAGTAGATACCTTGGCAGTTAGATGGAACTAACTGACCAGATCTCATGGAACCATGGTGGACACCTGATCTAGGCTAGGCCAACTAAATATTTCAACTTGAGAGTTTGGACCTGGGACAAGAATACCAGTTAACTACTGGTTGTTTGAAATGAAGAGATTCCCTGGAGCTACAGGAAGCCAGGCCTATCTCGCGAATGGACCGGCAGAGAACAGCACACATAGAGGAAGAAGGAAAAACACACAGGGAGAAGAGATGAGGAACCATGGGTTGGAGATGGGGAGGGAGAGGGAGAAGGAATAGATGAGGAAGGGAGAAATAGAGAAAACCAGCAAGAAAGCCAGAGGGAAAGAATTTTCCCTACAGCTTATCAATTTGCTGTTGTAGATACCAATCCCTCCTGTGGTCTGAGTGTGCTTTCTATAAGATATTTTTGTATCTGCCCAATAAACTCTTCTGTCTCACTCAAGCTAATTGAAATGTGTTCTTGGGTGAGAGGACAACCAGGAGTTAAGGAGAACCACAGCTATAATGAGCTGTGTCTTATTATTGTGACTGCTTTCTCCCTCCAATCTTTCTCCATTCTCTCTTCCCCCTTCCACCTTTCCTTCCACCTGGATTTCCTCAACCAAGATTGTTAGGGGAATGAAAAAATGATTTTTCATCTCTCCAAATCCTTGATCCTTTTCCTTTTCTGTGTTTAACTCCTTCCTTTTCTTCTTTGCAAAGAGGAAGAGAGCCTCCTTTCCTTTTATTATTTTTAAATTATTATTATTAATTAGTCAATTTTTTTAAAAATAGAGATGAGGTCTTGCTATGTTGACTAGGCTGACCTCGAACTCGTGGCCTCAAGCGATCCTCCCATCTCGGCCTCTCAAAGCCCTAGGATTACAAGCATGAGCCACTGTGCCTGGCCCCTCCTTTCCTTTTGCCATCCCTGCTCCTCTCTAAGTGTTATTCATCTCTACCCTAAATAAGAATGAGTGGCTGCCATGTGGAGGGAAGAGGAGGGAATTTCCAGGACCACTTGGGCACATGTAAGAAAGAGATTGCTCATATTAAAATGTAACACAGGGAGTATATTTATTTAAAATAGCCCATTTAACTAATGCCCAGTGAACTTAACCTTATGTAATGTTTTACCTGATGGAACACTTCTCTGGCTGGATCAGTTTCAGTTGTGCTAATTGGGCCTTTTTTTTGAGACAGAGAGTCTCACTCTGTCACCCAGGTGGGAGTGCAGTGGCATGATCTTTGCTCACCCCATTACCACTTCCTGGGTTCAAACCATTCTCATGCCTCAGCCTCCCAAGTAGCTGGGATTACAGGGGTGCACCACCACGCTTGGCTAATTTTTGTATTTTTAGTAGAGACGGAGTCTTCCCTTGTTGGCCAGGCTAGTCTCAAACTCCTGGCCTCAAGTGATCCACCCATTTTAACCTCCCAAAGTGCTGGGATTACAGACGTGAGCCTCCACGCCTGGCCCTAACTGGTCCTTTAAAAATTAGATGCTCTTCATTGAGCTGAAAGAAAAGAATTGCAGGTGAAGAATAAAGGTCTAGATCTGTGATTAACTTGAAATATAATAGTCATTACATAAAAGTTACATCTTTATATCATAAAAATATTTTATGTTGAAAGGGCTAAGCTAAAAATGCCCCAATTTAGGCTTAGGTTATTATTATTATTATTATTATTATTATTATTATTAGAGACGAAGTCTTGCTCTATCACCCAGGCTTCCAGGCTGGAGGGCAATGGCGTGATCTCTGCTCACTGCCCCCTCCGTCCCCCCAGTTCAAGCAGTTCTCCTGCCTGAGCCTCCCGAGTGGCTGGGATTACAGGCGCCTGCCACCACACCTGGCTAATTTTTGTATTTTTAGTAGAGATGGGGTTTCATCATGTTGGCCAGGCTGGTCTTGAACTCCTAACCTCATGATCCGCCCACCTTGGCCTCCCAAAGTGCTGGGATTACAGGCATGAGCCACACTGCACCTAGCCAGCTTGGTTATTTTTATGAAGACATGGATTGAGTTGTCATAAATCACCAGATCAAGGCAGACAGCATATTTGCCTTAAATGAACCTGTAGTGAGTTTCCTTCTTGCATTTGTATGAAGTTGGGAGAGATGTAGCTTAGTATGTATGGATGGACAGAAGAAAACTTTGATTCTCATTCAGCTCTGCTGCTCACTTGGCTAGCTACAGGAATTTCAATAAATCACAATTTCTCTGGGTCTAAATTTTCTTACTTTTATAAAATGTGAAATACTTTCTTCAAACATAGCAACAATATGTACATTAGATGAAAGGAGAGTGCCCTGATCAGGTGGGCTGCAGGTGGGCCAACTGTCCAGAATCTCTTTCCTCCCAGTCTCCTCCCCATTGCCCCACTACTCTACCCACCCACCACACATGCCTCTACCCTTCTGGACTTGAATGAACTCTCAGGGCTTTCCTGAGCACCCCTCGAAATCCCTACACTGAACAATTCCCACAATTGTTTCAAGCTCATTAATTTGATGCTTCTATGAAATTTTTGAGGAAAACTCTAAAGAAAATGAGAAAATACATCATTTGCTCCAATTAATGTTTTTGAAGGCTCTCTCATGACTATATTTATGATTCAAGGGGCAGATGATGTGAGAGATCAGATGATTATTGAAGCTGTCATTTTAATTGCTAGAAATCATTTTGTATATGTGTTTGTTAAAGCAAGAAGATCCCTCATGTCCCACATGTCTATATTTGCATTTTGATGGAACTTCAGGGAAAAGGAATGTGCTCATAATGAACAGTTGAAATTGACTTTTCAGTCAAAGCAAAGTACTGTAACTGGGGTTACAAATACGCCTCTTTTTCTAAGAGCTATCAGTTACGAAAGTAAATTCTTAGTATTACTGTTGTTTCACGTGGGGCCCGTGCCTTGGATGCCATGGCTGCCTTCCATCCCAACCTTCCTCTTCAGTCAGAATGCTGCCCTTTGGCAGAAAAGAGTCTAATTTGGATGACAAGATTCTTTTTAAGCTTTATCTCAAAGTAAGGACAAACAGGGAGGCTAATACATCTGAGCTTCATAACCCCCCCACTGTAGGTGGAGTTCTGTCCCTCAAAAATTCACATGCTGGAGTCCTAATCCCTAGCATCTCAGAATGTGACCTTATTTGGAAATAGGGTTGTTGCAGATGTAGTTGGCTAGATGAGGACCTACTGGAGTAGAGTGGGCCCGGATCCAATATGACTGGTATCCTTACAAAGGGGGAAATTTGGATACAGATATGCATATGGGGGAATGCCATATGAACATGAAGGCAGAGATTGGGGTGATATTGCAGAAGCCAAGGAACACCAAAGATTGCCAGAAAACCATCAGAAGCTAGGGGAGAGGCATGGGACAGATTCTCCCTCACAGCCCTCTGAAGGAACCAATCCTGCTGACACCTTGATCTTGGACTTCTAGCTTCTGGAACTGTGGGACAATGAATTTCTCCTACTTAAGCCACCTACTTTGCGGGACTTTGTTACAGTAGCCCTAGGAAACAAATACAACTACCATCATTATTAAATTTCCAGAGGGATGTGTTTTAATATGTTCTTACACTACTATAAAGATACTACCCTCAGACTGCATAATTTATAAACAAAAGATGTTTAATTGACTTACAGTTCTGCATGGCTGGGGAGGTCTCAGGAAACTTACAATCATGGCAGAAGGTGAAGGGGAAGCAAGGCATATCTTACATGGTGGCAGGAGGAGAGGGAGCGAAGGGAAGTGCCACACTTTTAAACCATCAGATCTCATGAGAACTCACTCATTATCATGAGAATAGCAAGGGAGAAATCCACCCCCATGATCCAATCATCCCCCACCAGGCCCCTCCTCCAACATGTGGGGATTACAATTCGAAATGAAATTTGAGGGGGACACAGAGACAAACCACATCAGGGTGATTTTTCCGTGTCAGTCACTTGAGTAAGGACTTTTGCTATGGTAGTACATGCCACCAATTACAACTTGTTTTATATTTCTTCCTTTAAAAACCTATTTTTATTTCATTGGGTATAGAAAAAAGAGAAGACTTTTTTTTAAGTGGATTTGGGAGTCTAAGTGCTCTTTAAAAGTTACTGGAGCCAGGCACGGTGGCTCACGCCTGTAATCCCAGCACTTTGGGAGGCCGAGGCGGGCGGATCACGAGGTCAGGAGATCGAGATCATCCTGGCTAACATGGTGAAACCCGTCTCTACTAAAAATACAAAAAATTAGCCGGGCGTGGTGGCGGGCACCTGTAGTCCCAGCTACTCGGGAGGCTGAGGCAGGAGAATGGCGTGAACCCGGGAGGCGAAGCTTGCAGTGAGCCGATTGTGCCACTGCACTCCAGCCTGGGTGACAGAGCAGGACTCTGTCTCAAACAAACAAACAAACAAAAACAAAACAAAACAACAACAACCAAAAAAACTACTGGAAGTGCTAAGTTAAAATATAAGATCTTTTATGAATCTTTTATGCTTTTCATTCACTCATTTGTTCAACAAATATGGGTCAGGTCCATGACAGGTACTGGCGATAGAGAGAGAAAAAGCAGAGCCTAGCTCCAGCAAAGACTAGATGTCTGTACATCACAGCATTTCCTCTTCTTCCTAGGTGGACAGCTTAACTACTTTTTCCAGTCCCTCTTATAATTGGGTGTGGCCATGTGACTTATGGGCAGTGGTCATGTGAGGCACCAGCAGGCTTGGCCCATAAAACTTCTTTTTCAAAGTGAACATGTATTGAAACTGGCCGAGCCACAGGATGGAATTTAGGACCCTGACTCATGCTTGGAGTAGAGCCACCTGACAATTAGGAACATCTGTTTGGACTTTCAATGGGAAAGAAAGAAACCTCCATTATATTAAGCTACTCAGATGTAGGAGTTTGTCTCCTGCAATAAGTAGCATTGCCCTAATTAACATGCCACACTCAAAATCAAATAGGAAAATAGAGTTAGAAAAACCACCATACAGTACAGTGCTTTGAAAGTGATCAAGCATACTCTGGTCCCAGTACATAGGACAGCTTGAGGAGTCAGAGACAGAGGAAATGACATTTGAAGTGAATTTTGAAGATTAGGTAAGTGTCAGGCAGGCTAAGCAGGAGGGAGTGTTCGAGGCAGAGAGAAATGTGTGTACAAAGGCTCGGCAGGCAAGAAAGAGCAATTTCAAAAGATTAAAAGAAGTTTAGGAGGGAGTTCAATGCGGACTTAGTTTGAGTGAGTCAGCATTGAGGAGAAGGGTGAGATACTGAGTCTTGAGAGGTAAAAAGGAACTGGATAATGAAGGATGAATAGACAGCTGACAGGATGGGAAGTGGGCATTCTGGGCAGAAAAAACTGAAGGTCCCAAGCCCCGAGTTATTACAGAGCATAGATATGTCTGGAAATTCAACACAAATTAGCATAGATGGAGTAATGTAGGAGTGGAAAATCAGACCCTTTTTCTTCCTATCTTGATTCTGAAGACAGCGAAGTGCTATTCTGGAGTTTTTAGCAGGGGAGTAATGGAACATATTTTTACTTCAGAAATATTCCTCCGGTGAAAAATCATGCAGAATACAGATTAGGGTTTATGTAGTCTCTTAACATAGCAGTGTTTGGTTTTTTTCTACCAAAAGTGTTTTGTGATGTTTTCCAAGGAATTCTATCTTATCATTGCTAAGAGATAAAAGTCTCATTGTGTATGGATCAGGATGTGCTGTATTAGGAAAGATTGGAAGTGAGGGGACATGTTCAGAGCTACCAGTATTGTCCAGAACATTGATGATGATAGTCTGAGCAAGGGCAGAGTCAGAGGAAAGGGAGAAGACAGGATGAATTCACAAACAGACTAAGCAATTTAAAGAAGGGGCTTAGGTGGGAACAAACATCAGAGCTTACTTCAGTTCTTTATTTTGTGTGAGTAGGGAGATGATGATGTTACTCACCCAAAAAGGGCCCAAGACATAGGCAGAAGAAAAATTTGCAGAAGAAAGAAAAGGTTGCTAGCTGAGCATGGTGGTGTACACCTATGGTCCCAGCTGCTCTGGAGGCTGGGGCGGAAGGATTGCTTGAGCCCAGGAGTTTAAAGGCTGCCATGAGCTATGATCATGCCACTGCACTCTAGCCTGGGTGAAGACAGAGCAAGACCCTGTCTCTACAATAAAAAGAAAGAAAAGTTTGGTTTTTGAAATGCTGATTCTGAGGTGACTGAGGCACATCTGAGTGGAAATGTTGAGCTTTCATTTGGAAAAAATAAAATGCTCAGACTCTTACAGACCAAAAAAAGGGAGGATAAATTGTGGAGTACTATCAGTGTATAGCAGTCTCAGTACAGGTCTGAATGAAAGCAAGAGAGATTAGCCGGGGTAAAAGGAGTGCTAAGTGAGGAAGCTTAGAGGCCTCTTACATTTTGGCAGCCAATCAAATGAAAGGAGAGACAAAAGTAGGAGGAAAACAACACCAAAGCAAGGCTTGGCGTCCAGAACAGCACAGTCACAGCAGGCACTTGAAACACTGCCATGGAGCAGTTTTTTTTTTTTTTTTTTTTTTTTTGACATGGAGTCTCACTCTGTCACCCAGGCTGGAGTGCAGTGGTGTGATCTTGGCTCACCGCAACCTCTGCCTCCTGGGTTCAAGTGATTCTCCTGCCTCAGCCTCCTAAGTAGCTAGGATTACAGGTGTGCGCCACCATAGCCAGCTAATTTTTGTGTTTTTAGTAGAGACAGGGTTTCACCATTTTGGCCAGGCTGGCCTCGAACTCCTGACCTCAGGTGATCCACCTGCCTCGGCCTCCCAGAGTGTTGAGATTACAGATGTGAGCCACTGCGCCTGGCCCAGAAGAGGCTTCTATACTTGCTCCTATAGAAGTCCTTGGAGACCTTTTGGAAAAGTCTAGTAGAAGAGTGGGAGTGGAGGCCAGATTATGGTGAATGAGAAGAAGGCACAGATGTGGAAATGTCTTCTTTCAAGAAATTTTCCAAAATGGCTAGAGACTGCAAAAAATGCAGGATGGAGGAAAAAGTCTCTCGAGAAGAAGAAACATTTGAAAATGTGCATCAAGATTAGAAATGGGTGCAATTAAGGGGAAGACATTGAAGATGGAAAAGCCTGGGGATAATGGTGGGGCAAACTCTTTAATGAGCTGTGAGGGATACATGAGGACTCTTTTTCCATTGCTCAGAATCATTTTGGCAGCTTATACTACTTTGGCTCTGAAATGCAACCATTTCTAAGCCAGGGTCCCGTGGAGGAAGTCTCTTCTGTGCTAACCATTCTGTGAGAGGAGAAATACCAGCAAGAGAGATGTAGATGCAACAAATGCATTGCAAATTGATTTACTGAATATACTCCACTCAACTGAAAATAAACACAATTTCAAAAATTATTAAGTGAGCTTAATTTGGGAAAATTAATGTTAAAATGATGGCTTTTGAGGCCTCATTTTTTTTTTGATTCTATGAAAATCACCAAAGATATATATCTGAAGTATAAACCAACCGTATTTTTATTTATTTCTTTGTTTTATAGATTAGTGGTGATGAAAACAAGCCACTTCTTATTTTCTTTAAAAGAATTGGGTTATTATGAGAAAATGTCTGTGAAAAAGTCCTGTAGAAATATTAATTTAGATTTCTACAGTTCTAAAAAACGTAATGGTATAGTAGCCTTAATTGACTCCAAATAATCTCATTTCTACAGATAATATATAGTCATGCACTGCATCATGACATCTTGGTCAACAATGGAACACATATACTTCCATAAGATTAAAATGGAGCTGAAACATTACTCTTGCCTAGTGCCATGCCATCATAGCCGTCATAATGTCATAGCACACTGCATTCATTACTCATGTATTTGTGGTGATGCTTGTGTAAACAAACCTGTGTGGCCAGTTATATAAAAGTATAGCACATATGATTTTGTATAGTACATAATACTTGATAATGGTAATGAATGATTATGCTACCGGTTGATGCATTTACTATAATGTATGTTAAATCATTATTTTAGAGTGTAATCTTACTTACAAAAAAATAATCTACAAAACAGCCTCAGGTAGGTCCTTCAGATGGTACGTGCACATCTTGTTTTATTGCACTTTGGTTTATTGCGCTTTGAAGACAATGCATTTTTTCCAAATTGAAGATTTGTGTCAACCCTGCATTGAGCAAGTCTATTGGTGCCATTTTTTCAATAGCATGTGTTCACTTTATGTCTCTGTTACATTTTGGTAGTTCTTGCAATATTTCAAACTTTTTCATTATTATTATAATATTCTTTATTTTTGATGTTAGTGTCATAATTGTTCTGGGTGCCACAAACTGCATCCACAGAAGACAGCAAACAATAAATGTTGTATGCGTTCTGACTGCTCCACTCACTGGCTGTTCCCCTATCTCTCTCCCTCTCCTCAGGCCTCCCTCTTCCCTGAGACACAATAATATTAAAATTAGGCCAATTAGTAACCCTACAATGGCTTCCAAATGTTCAAGTGAAGGGAAGACTCTCATTATCTCTTACTCTAAATCAAAGCTATAGATGATTAAGCTTAGTGAGGAAGGCATGTCAGAAGCTGAGATGGTCTGAAAGCTGGGTGGCCTAAGCCAAACAAACTGTGACTACAAAGGAAAATTCCGCCAGGCGCGGTGGCTCACGCCTGTAATCCCAGCACTTTGGGAGGCCGAGGCAGGTGGATCGCGAGGTCAGGAGATCGAGACCATCCTGGCTAACATGGTGAAACCCTGTCTCTACTAAAAATACAAAAAAATTAGCCGGGCGTGGTGGCGGGCGCCTGTAGTCCCAGCTACTCAGGAGGCTGAGGCAGGAGAATGGCGTGAACCCAGGAGGTGGAGCTTGCAGTGAGCCGAGATTGCGCCACTGCACTCTAGCCTGGGTGACTGATCAAGACTCCGTCTCAAAAACAGAAAAAAAAAAAAAAAAAAAAGAAAATTCCCTGCAGGAAATTAAAAGTGCTACTCCAGTGAACATGAATGATAAGAAAATGAAACAGCCCTGTTGCCGATATAAAGAAAGCTTTAGTGGTCTGGATAGAAGATCAGACCAACCACAGTATTCCCTTAAACCAAAGCCTAATCTAGAGCCAAGACCTAACTCTCTTCAATTTGTGAAGCTGAGAGAGGTGAAGAAGCTGCAAAAGAAAAGTGTGAAGCTAGCAGAAGTTGATTCATGAAGTTTAAGGAAAGTAGCCATCTCCAGAACATAAAAGTGCAAGGTGAAGCAGCAAGTGCTGATGGAGAAGCTGTAGCAAGTTATCCAGAAGATCTAGCTAAGATAATTGATAAAGGTGGCTACACTCAACAATAGATTTTCAATTTAGATGAAATAGCTTTCTATTGGAAGAAGGTGCCATCTAGGGCTTTCATGGCTAGAGAGAAGTCAATGCTGTTAAGAGCATTTGTGATTCATGAGAAGAGGTCAAAATATCAACATTAACAGGAGTTTGGAAGAAGTTGATTCTAACCCTCATAGATGACTTCAAGGGGTTCAAGACTTCAGTGGAGGAAATAGTTGCATATGTGATGAAAACAGGATGAGAACTAGAATACCTGAAGATGTCACTGAATTGCTGCAATCTCACGATAAAACTTGAACACCTGAGAAGTTACTTCTTGTTGATGAGCAAAGAAAGTGGGTTTCTTGAAATGGAACCTACTCCTGACTGTGAACATTGTTGAAATCACAATGAAGGATATTATGTAAATTTAGTTGATAAAGCAATAGCTTTGAGAGGATTGAGTCAAATTTTGAAAGAAGTCCTATTGTGGGTAAAATGCTGTCAAACAGCATTATGTGCTACAGAGAACTCTTTTGTGAAAGGAAGAGTCAATTGATACAGCAAACCCTATTGTCTTATTTTAGGGAACTGCCACAGCCACCTCAACCTTCAGCAAACACCACCCTGACCAGTGAGTGGCAATCAACATTGAGGCAAGACCTTTCAGCAAAAAGATTATAATTCTCTGAAGACTCAGATGATCATTAGCATTTCTAGCAACAATGTATTTTTAAATTAAGGTATGTACTTTTTTTTTAGAAATAATGCTATTGCACACTTAATAGACTACAATATAGTGTGAAGATAACTTTCATATGCACTGGGAAACCAAAAAAAGTGTGTGACTCACTTTATTTTGATATTGGCACTGTAGTATCTCTGAAGTGTGCCTGCATTCCAGAAGAAGACATTGTTATCGCAGGACATGACAGGTCCATGAGTGTTACTGCCCCTGAAGACATTCCAATGTCTTCACTGGACAAGATGTGGAGGTAGAGGACAGTGATATTGGTATTCCTGACTCTGTGTACATCTAGACCAATGTGTGTGTTTGCGTCTTCGTTTTTAACAAAAAAGTTTAAAAAGTAAAAAAAAAAAAAGAAATTACCAGAAAGTAGCCACAGATAAGGATATAAAGATAAAAACAATTTTTTAATTTAAAATTTTTTAATTAAAAATTTTTTTTTAAATTTAAGCTGAATGTTCTCATTTTAAGCTAAATGTTATTACAAAAGAGTCAAAAAGTTTAAAAAACTAAAAAGTTTATGAAGTAAAAAAGTTACAGTAAGCTAACTTATTATTAAAGAAAGAAAAACTTTTAAAATAAATTTAGTGTAGTATAAGTGTACAGTGGTTATAATCTGCAATAGTGTACAGTAATGTCCTAGGCCTTCACATTCACTCACCACTCACTCAATGACTCACCCAAGAGCGACTTCCAGAACTGCAAGCTCCATTCATGATGAGTGCCCTATATAAGTGTTCCTTTAAAAAAAAAAGAATCTTTTATTCCATGTTTCATTATACATTTTCTATGTTTACATATGTTTAGATACACAAATACCATTGTGTTATGATTGCCTATAGCAGTGGTCCCCAGCCTTTTCGGCACCAGGGACCCTTTTGAGGAAGACAATTTTACCATGGATGAGGGCGACAGGGGAGGGCTGGGATGGGGAGGACAGTTTCAGGATGGAACTGTTCTATCTCAGATCATCGGGCTTTAGATTCTTCTAAGGAGCTCACAACCTAGATCCCTCATATGCACAATTCACAACTGTATTCGTGCTGCTATGAGAATCTAATGCAGCAGCTGATCTGACAGGAGGCAGAACTCAGGCGGTAATGCTTTCTGGTCCCTCACTCACCTCCTGCTGTGCGGCCTGGTTCCTAACAGACCGCAAACTCTACCGGTCCACAACCCAGGGACTAGGGACCCCTGGCCTACAGTATTCAACATGGTAACATGATGTACAGGTTTCTAGCCTGGGAGCAACAGAATATATTACACCATACAGCTTTGGTGTGTAATAGGCTGTATCATCTAGGTCTAAGTACACTCTACGATGTTCACACAATGATGAAATTACCTAATGAAGCATTTCTCTGAATGTATCCCTGTCATAAAGCCATACATGACTGTACTTCACTAGGTAAACAACAAAAATCAACCAGCAAAGTTAAGTGAGTTTCAAGAAAGCTTCTTTTGAAATTCTCAGTGGGGACTGCTGATATTTGAGCCTTATAAGAAAAGTGTGACGTGGGCAAACAAGCTCTGTCCTTCAGGATGAAATATTGACCGCACTAAGTATTTAAAACATAAACATAAAAAAAGGACACATCGATCTGAAGAAATCAAGCATCTTTGTGGATTGGCTTTTTATGTTTTTATACAATTTTTTGTTTGTTTGTTTGTTTGTTTTTGGAGATGGAGTTTCACTCCTGTTGCCCAGGCTGAAGTGCAATGGTGTGATATTGGCTCACCGCAACCTCCGCCTCCCGGGTTCAAGTGATACTCCTGCCTCAGCCTCCTGAGTAGCTGGGATTACAGGTACATGCCACCAGGCCTGGCTAATTTTGTATTTTTGGTAGAGATGGGGTTGCATCATGTTGGCCAGGCTGGTCTCAAACTCCTGACCTCAGGAGTGATCCGGCCACCTCGGCCTCCCATAGTACTGGGATTACAAGCATGAGCTACCACACCTGGCCTATATAAATATTTTTTATATAAGTGATCACTTAACTTTCAGCCTGGTTTTATTTATTTTATCACAGTATAAACCCAACTATAATTCACTGGCTGCCACAGAGTTCACTTAAACTTTTTGATCTTTAAACAATGTATATGCCTACTCTCACCTCTTTATTACCTACTTAATTTCTATTTATTCTTTCACTGCCTGTAGTCTGTGTTTTTATTTTCTCAGAGGGCAAGGCAACATCTGTGTCTTAAGCAATTTGATACATATTATAGAGCCTTAATAAACACCTTGCAATCAATTTTATTTGCTCTGTTAGAAAAGTTTACATTTACTCCTCAGTTAAACAATGATTCTAATGATTATTATAACATGAAATTAGAACAGTCTATAGGAGATCTCTTTAGTTTTCTATGTTTGGGGACAATCTATTCTTGAATTAAAAATGAGCTCATACTGACACATATTTCTGATACAGGGCTTTTCTACACTTTTGATGTACTTTATTTATTTATTTTTTTAAACAGACTTTTATGTATTCCAAAATCTTGCTTAAGTTTCCGAGGAAAATGCTGGACTTGTATTGGAGTAATAATTAGTGTAATTCACCTTTTCCAATCCATATGGCATGTTATAGTTATATTTATCTTCCTGAACTGGTCTACTTGTCTTTTTGAAAGCGGTCTCTTACACAGTGTTTGTGTTTCTTCCGATTTATTGTTAACGTTATGCTCTTTGTGAATTAAAATCATGTGCTGTTTGTATATTTTTATCTTTGAGAAGTTGCATTGTGAAGTAAGGCTGTGTGGTGGGATGATAGGCTCTTGATTTTTAGAAGAACTGTAAGCCACTCTGAGGCCTGAAAGCCAAATGGGAAGACAGTGAGCCCTGTTTATCAGCTTTGAAAGTGTTTGTGCCCAGCATAAATTGATCCAAACAGAAATAGCTTCTTTCGAATCACTTAGCTATTTACTGTTTTTGTTTGCCTTTGTTTGGTTTGGAGCTATGCTTTTGATTACTCACTTGGACCGAATTTGAAATACGAAATATTTATTGTCTGGACTAGTTTTAATTTTTCTTTTTTTAAACTGTAGTAAAATGTATATAATGTAAAACCATTTCAATCCTTCTAAATGTACAGTTCTGTGACATTCAGTCCACGTACATTCACATCTTTGTACAACCATCACCATCCTTCATCTCCAGAACTTTTTCATCTTTCCCAACTGAAACTCCATAACCATTAAACAGTAACTCCCCATTTTCCCCTCCCTCTGGCCCCAACAACCACCGTTATTGTTTTCTGTTTCCATGAATTTCACTATTCTAGGTTTCTCATATAAGCGAAATCATAGTAATTGTCCTTTTGTGATTGACTTATTTCACTTGGTGCATCTTCAAAGTTCATCCATGTTGTTGCATAAGTCAGAATTTCCATACTTTTTAAGGTTGAATAGTATGCCATGATATGTATAGACCACATTTTGTTTATTCGTTCACCAGGCCATGAACACTTGAGTTGCTTCCACCTTTTGCCTACTGTGAATATACCTTTACTTTAAAAGTTACAATGTATCCTATATTTCAAAGATTTGTACATTTTGTACATTTGAAACACTTTAATGTCCCTAAAATCAAGATGCTTTGAAATCATTGGAGTATCATATTTTTAAAATTAAGGCATAATTTACATATGATAGTTCAATGAACTTTGATAAACGAATATTTTCATGTAACTCACACCTTAATCAAGATACAGAAACAGATATTAGAGACAAACTATTTTCATCACCTTAGAAAGTCTCTCCTGCCTGGCACCCACACACGGGCCGCCTACACAGAAGCCATCATGGTTAGGCTTTCTATCAGCATAGATTACTTTGTCTAGTTTTGTACGTCACTTAAATGGAATTACGCAGTGTTTACTTTTGTGTCTGGATTATTTCATTCAACATATTTTTGAGATTCTTCCATCTTGTGTGCATCACTAGTTTATTCTTTTTATTGCTGGATACTATTCCACTGTATGGTTATACCATGATTTATTTATCTACTCTACCACTCTACTGTTAATAGCCTGTTAGGCTGTTTCTACTTTTTAGCTACTATTAATGAAGTTGCCACGCATATTCTTTTTTTTTTTTTTTTAAGACAGAGTCTAGCTCTGTCGCCCAGGCTGGAGTGCAGTGGCGCAATCTTGGCTCACTGCAAGCTCCACCTCCTGGGTTCACACCATTCTCCTGCCTCAGCCTCCTGAGTAGCTGGGACTACAGGCGCCCACCACCACACCTGGCTAATTTTTTGTATTTTTTGTAGAGACAGGGTTTCACCTTGTTGGCCAGACTGGTCTTGAATTCCTGACCTCAGGTGATCCACCCGCCTCGGCCTCCCAAAATTCTGGGATTGCAGGCATGAGCCACTGCTCCTGGCCACCACGCATATTCTTTTACAAGTATGTCTATGGATGCATGCTTTCATTTATCTTGAGTAACTGCCTAGGAGTGAAATTGCTGGGTAATGAATTAGGTGTATATTTAATTTACAAGAAAGTGCCAAAGAGTTTTCCAAAGTGATTGTGCCATTCACTCTCTCACCAACAATGTTGAAGAGTTCCTGTTGCTTTTTATCTTTGCTGAATTGAGTATTATCCATATTGAACTTAGTAGTTATGGTTTTTTGTGTGTGTGAAGTGTTGAAATCATTTGCTCACTTGAAATTGGGTTATTGTCTTTTTATTATTGATTTGTAGTTCTTTAAATATTCTAAATACAAGTCCTGTGCCATCATATAGCAGATTTTTTTTCCAAATCTGTGACTTGTCTTTTCATCTATTTAATGATATCTCTTAATGAGCACACAGAGATATTTAATTTTGATGAAGTCCTATCCATCATATTTGCTTTCTTGTATGCTTAAACTCTCCCTCTATTTTCTGAAAGAGGTGATTCAAGATTGGTATTATTTCTTCCTTAGATATTTGATGTGATTCACCAGTACAGCCATATGAAGATGATATTTTGATTTTAGGAATGTTTCATTACAAATGCAATTCCTTCAACAGAGGTAAAGTTATTCAAATTTTCTATTTCTCCTTGAGTCAATTTTGATACACTGTGTTTTTCAAACAATTTGTTAACTTCATATAGATTCTTTAACTTATTGGCATAAAATTATTCATGATGCCTTCCTATTATCATTTTAATTTTTATAGCTCTGTAGTGATATTCTGTTTTGTTTCTGATATTAGTAGTTTAATTTCCCCCTTCTTCCTATCCTGTTTTCTTTTTTTGATCAGTTTTATTGGGAGTTAATCAAGTTTACACATTTTTTTCTTCAAGGAAATAACTTTTGAGTTTGTTGATTTTTAAGATTTTTTATTTTATTGATTTTTACTCCTTATTTCCTTAGTTCTACTTACTTTGAGCTTAATTTTTAGCAATTTTTATATCTTAGCAGTTTTTTTCTTTTTGTACTATAAAAATATGAGTGCATTTTAAAAATCATGAAAGTTTTTAGATTTGATGAAACATTGCTACTTTTTGTAACTGCAGTTGACCCTTGAATAAGATGGGGGTTAGGGCCACTGACCACCTATACAGTCAAAAAAACCAAGGTATAACTTTTGACTCCCCACAAACCACAAACTTTACTAATAGCCTATTGTTGAACAGCAGCCTTACCAATAAATGAACAATTGATTAACACACATTTCGTACATGTATGTATTATATTCTGTATTATTACAATAAAATAAGCTAGAGAAAAGAAAATGTTATTAAGAAAATCATAAGAACAAGAAAATACACTTAGTGTTCATTAAGTGGAAGTGGAGCATCATAAAGGTCTTCATCCTTGTTGTCTTCACATTGGGTAGGTTGAGGAGGAGGAGGAATAGGAGAGCTTAGTCTTGCTGTTTCAGGGGTGGCAGAGACTGAAGAAAATCCGTGTATAAGTGGATCCATGCATTACAAGTCTGTTGTTCAAGGGTCAACTGTATTAGTTTTACAGAGATATTCCTGAAAAATATCACATCCTTATTGGTTCAAAGACATGGGAAAATTTCTCTAAAATTCAAAGGAATCTTAGAAAGCAATTGTAAATTTTTTTAAAGAAAATAGGCAAAGTAAATAAATAAGTAGGTAATACACAAAGAAGAAATATAGATAACCAATACAAGGAAAGATACGAATCAAATTTTTAAAATAACAAAACATTTTCTTTTACAACTTAGATTTTCAAGATGAAAAAAAGGTCATCAAAACCTAGTGTTGGTAATTATGAGGGGAAATACATATTCTCATATTAGTGTATTTCGGGTGTATAATTTTTTTTTTTCCAGAGCAGGGTCTTACTCTGTCACCCAGGCTGGAGTGCAGTGGCATGATCATAGCTCACTGCAGCCTTGACATCCCAAGTTCAGGTGATCCTCCCACCTCAGCCTCCTGAGTAGCAGAATCACAGGTGCACCACCATGCCTGGCTAATATTTTTAGTTTTTGTAGAGATAGGGTCCCATTATGTTGCCCAGGCTAGTCTCAAACTTCTGGGCTCAAGCCATCCTACTACCTTGGCCTCCAAAGCAGGTGCACGTCACCACACCTGGCTAATTTTTTAAAATTGTTTTGTAGAGACAGGCTTTCCCTATGTTGCCCAGGCTGGTATTGAACTCCTGGGCTCAAGTGATTCTCCCACCTTGTCCTCCCATGTTGGGATTATAATCATAAGCCACTGTGCCTGGCCTCAGGTGTATTTTTTTAAAAGCATGTATTCATCTGTAAAATGAAATTGCCTGGAGTATTAATTAATCCATTAATAACTAATTATTAATCGATTAATAATTATTAATCCATTAATAATTATTATTAATCATCTTAATGGGTACATATTTCAGAATTTGCCATTAGGATAATAACTGCAGAGGGTGAATAGATGTAGTTGTGAGGATGTCTTTTTTTTTAAATCTTCACCTTTTATTTTAAGCTCAGGGATACATGTGCAGAATGTGGAGGTTTGTTTCATAGGTAAATGTGTGCCATGGTAGTTTGCTGCACAGATCATCCCATCACCTCGGTATTAAGCCCAGCATCCATTAGCAATTCAATGGTATTGCTGTGTTAAATGGTATTTCTGCCTCTAGAACTTTGAGGAATCACCACACTGTCTTCCACAGTGGTTAAATTTACACTCTCATCAACAGTGTAAAAGTGTTTTCTCTGTAACCTTGCCAGCATCTGTTGTTTTTTGACTTTTTTTTTTTTTGAGATGCAGTATCACTCTTGTCGCCCATTGCACGCTGGAGTGCAATGGCGCGATCTTAGATCACTGCACCCTCTGCCCGTGGGTTCAAGTGATTCTCCTGCCTCAGCCTCCTGAATAGCTGGGATTACAGGCATTGGCCACCACGCCCAGCTAATTTTTGTATTATTAGTAGAGACAGGGTTTCACTACGTTGGCCAGGCTGATCTCGAACTCTTCACCTTAGGTGATCTACCCACCTTGGCCTCCCAAAGTGCTGGGATTACAGTCGTGAGCCACTGCGCACAGCCAGTTTTTTGACTTTTTAGTAATAGCCATTCTGACTGATGTGAGACGGTATCCCATTGTGGTTTTGATTTGCATTTCTCTAATGATCAGTGATGTTCAGCTTTTTTCATAAGTTTGTGGCCACATGTATGTCTTCTTTTGAGAAGTGTCCATTCATGTCCTTTGCCCACTTTTTAATGGGGTTGTTTGTATTTTGTTTTTGTAAATTTGTTTAAGTTCCCTGTAGACTCTGGATATTAGACCTTTGTCAGATGGGTAGATTGCAAAAATTTTCTCGCATTCTGTAGGTTGTCTGTTCACTCTCATGACAGTTTCTTTTGCTTTGCAGGAGCTCTTTAATTTAATTAGATATCATTTCTCAATTTTGGCTTTCATTGCAATTGCTTTTGGCATCTTCATAATGAAACCTTTGCCCATGCCTATGTCCTGAATAGTATTGCTTAGATTTTCTTCTAGGGTTTTTATAGTTTTCGGTTTTACTTTTAAAACTTTAATTCACTTTGAGTAAATTTTTGTATAAGGTGTAAGGAACGGGTCCAGTTTCAGTTTTCTACATATGGCAGCCAGTTCTCCCAGCACCATTTATTAAACAGGGAATCCTTTCCCCATTGCTTGTTTTTGTCAGGTTTGTTGAAGATCAGATGGTTGTAGGTATGTGGTCTTATTTCTGAGTTCTCTATTCTGTTCCATTGGTCTATGTGTCTGTTCTTGTACCAATACCATGAAGTTTTGATTACTGTAGCCTTGTAGTGTAGTTTGAAGTCAGGTAGCATGATGCTTTCAGCTTTGTTCTTTTTGCTTCGGATTGTCTTGGATATTTGGGCTCTCTTTCCATTCCATATGAATTTTAAAGTAGTTTTTTCCAATTCTGTGAAGAATGTCAATGGTACTTTAATGGGAATAGCATTGAATCTATAAATTACTTTGGGCAGTATGGCCATTTTCATGATATTGATTCTTCCTGTCCATAAGTATGGGATGTTTTTCCATTTGTTGGTGTCCTCTCTGATTTCTTTGAGGAGTGGTTTATAGTTCTCCTTGAAGAGGTCCTTCACTTCTCCTGTTAGCTGTATTCCTAGGTATTTTATTCTTTTTGTAGCAATTGTGAATAGCAGTTAATTCATGATTTGGCTCTCTGCTTGCCTGTTGGTGTATAGGAGTGCTAGTAGTTTTTTGCACATTGATTTTGAATCCTGGGGATTGGCTGAAGTTGCTTACAGCTTAAGAAGCATTTGGGATGAGACAATGGGGTTTTCTATATATAGGATCATGTCATCTGCAAATAAAGATAATTTGACTTCCTTTCTTTTTATTTGAATACCATTTATTTCTTTCTCTTGCCTGATTGGTCTGTCCAGAACTTCCAATACTATGTTGAATTGGAGTGGTGAGAGAGGGCAAGGGATGTCTTTTTTATAAACAGCTTTATTGAGATATAATTCACATGCCATACAGTTTACCCATATCAAGTATATAATTCAGTGGTTTGTAGTATTTTCACAGATATGTGCAACCATCACCATAGTCAGTTTTAGAACATTTCACCACCTCAAAAAGAAACCCTGTACATGTTAGCTATCACTCTTCTCCCCTGTGACCCCAAGTCAGTGTTGTTTTTAAGGGTCAAAAATGCAGAGTGATTTATGTGTTTATTAGTTGAGGTCTGGCTAAATAATTAGAAAACATCTAAACAATGGAATATTTTGATGAAGATATAAAATAAAGATTTGGAGGTATTTTTGCAATCTACTTTTGAGTGGAGAAGTGGATTATAGATTAAGAGAGCACAATTAGCATCGTAACATTTATGTGAACTGTATGCTTATACAATACGAGTAGATGCACAGATAGATCACAGAAGGAATGTTCAACAAAATGCTTATGACAAGATAGTGATAATTCAAGTATTATTTATTTATTTTGGGGTACTTTTTGTATATACATTTAAAAACAATAAAACAATTTAGAAAGAAAAACAAGCTTGCTATTTGAAATAAGAATGAATGTTAACTAAGTGGAGGTGAACTTTTACATGCCAGGAGGCACTGGATTTAATATTTTGAGTCCCATTAGTTACAGGCTTCCATTATTCTGGGTAGGACTAGATCAGAGGTAAAGGAGTGCTCTGCTGTGGAATATCTGCATGCCCCCTGCCTCTTTATCTATCACCCATACAGCAAAATGCCTATGCAATCCTTTTAGGAATTCCCAACTGCTTATACCCATGGTTCTCAAATTTACTGATGGTCTCTCAGAATCACCTGGAAGCTTGTTAAAAATACTAATGTTTGGACGCCACCCTGGAGATTTTGAAGTCATATTCTTAAACTGTTATGTACTGCAGTCTTCAAATCACTTGTAGAATAATATCAAAATTTCTCAATCAGGGAATAAAGACCCTCACAAATATTACTCCAAGTTATCCTTCCAATTATAATTCTCAATATCTTCAGGGAAGATATTCTCCCTACTTTCTTCCAAATTTATGATGTTTATTCTCCCCACTGTGCTTTAGTTCAGTGAAATAATACTGCGTAAACTACTGTCCCATTCTTTCTCTGGAGAAACTTGTGCCTGCGTGAGTTTGCGAGTGCTACCACACAGCAGAGTATCACAGGCTGGGGGGTCGTAAACAACAGGAATTTATTTTCTCACAGTTCTGAATACTAAAAGTTTGAGATTGAGGTATCAGCAGGGTAGGTTTCTTTTTCTTTCTTTCTTTTTTTTTGAAACAGGGTCTTACTCTGTTGCCCATGCTGGAGTGCAGTGATGTGATCTCTGCTTACTGCAATCTTTGCCTCTTGGCCTCAAGCAATCCTTCCTCCTCAGCCTCCTGAGTAGCTAGGACAACAGGCACAAGCCACCATGGCCAGCTAATTTTGTTTTGTATTTTTGGTAGAGATCAGGTTTTGCCAGTTGACCAGTCTGGTCTTGAACTCCTGGGCTCAAGCGGTCCGCCCACCTCAGCCTCCCAAAGTGCTGGGATTACAGGCGTGAGCCACCAGGCCCAGCCTCTTTAGCTTGTTGGTGGCCATCTTCTCCCTGTGTTTTTGAATGATTTTCCATTGTGTGTGTTTATGTCCTAATTTCCTCTTTTTATTAGGACGCTAGTCATATCAATTAGAGCTCACCCTAATGACCTCATTTTAACTAACTACCCCTTTAAATTCCCTATCTCCAAATTCAGTCACAGTCTGAGATGCCAAAGGTTAGGGCTTCAACAGATGAATTTGGGGGAGGAGAGCACAATTCAGCCCATGACACCTGACCTCCAAGGCCCTCTACACCTGAAGAATCATTAGGTACATCCAACCCACACTGGTCTTCCCATATTCTGCATTTCTTTATGAGAACCATTGTTATTTAACTGCTTTATCTGGAAATGCTCCTTGCCTCTCAGGTCACTTCCTTGAATATGATTTGTACTTTTCTGGTGTTTACCCCAATTTTCAGCTCACTGCTTTGGACATATAGTCAGTAATGCATAATGCATTTAACTAAGCATTTAATGGAGTTTTCTCTCCCATTAATACCAACTTTGAGAATACTACTTCTTGGATATAGTAAAGATGGTTGCTTCCAGGACTTCAAAATCATGGACCAGATTGGCCAAACTGCAAGATACAGTACCTGAATACGAATTCAGTGATGTAGCCAGAAGACAGTCTATATTCAGGATTATCAGTGCAGGCAGCAACAAAACACAGACTCCTGAAGTCTCGGTGGTTTCATACAACAAAGATATCTATATTTCTTCCTCAAATTCTGGTCTGATACAGATCTGACAGCTTCCACCATTTTGTAGTTACACAGTTGGGCCAGTTGTCTCCAGGTGGGAAGGCAGGGGAAGGTTTGGAGGATGGGGTGTCTTGAGAGGCCAGATCTGGAAGTGTCTCTGCTCCTTCTGTCCGTATCCTATTTGCAGAACTAGTCACATGGCCCAGATCTCACCCTCAGGGAGGCTGGGGAATGTGAAGGGCACATGGATATTTGTTACAAACATTCTGACATTCTGTCCTCTAATCCAAACCTCATCTTTTTCTTTTTTTTTTTTTAACTAGTATTTGGGAAAACCTCAGCAACTTTCTCACTGTAGCTCCTTTAGAACCGAGCAGCATTAGAAAAGGGCACATTCCCTCTCAGTGGGTTCCCTAGCAGATGGTATTGGAGAGAATAGAAACAGAGTGGCATGAGGGTAGAATCACAGATTTAGGACTGTAGCGATCCCATTTGGGGTTCTGGGGCTCTGGATTTTAGGACTCCTTCAGGTTGTATGGACATCGTGCCAGGACTACAAAGGTTGGGGTAGAATCCGAGATCTGGGGGCTACTTGTTGGCTTCTGA
Organism: Homo sapiens; assembly: GCF_000001405.40. Classification (NCBI taxonomy): domain Eukaryota; kingdom Metazoa; phylum Chordata; class Mammalia; order Primates; family Hominidae; genus Homo; species Homo sapiens. The sequence goes on along the minus strand of NC_000005.10, from coordinate 91,195,786 downwards.
GCTATCCCAGCGCTAGGATCAGTTGGCCAGTGAGTCTGGGCTGCAGGTTTGACTCAGCTGGGAAAGTTATTTGAAATCAGTGTAATTCACTTAATATGGTGGGGGGAAGATGCCTTTCTTCGGTGATCTGGATTGAGAAATAAGACTGGATGGGTACAAGCATCCAGAAAACAAATGGAATATTTTTTTTCCAGGCTTTTTCACTCCTCAGAAGAAAAAGTGGACACTATATGCCCCAATGCAGCCGCATTCCTGCTGGTCCCCAAAAGTATAGTCACAAAATTAAACAGGGTAAGTCACCCTACTTGCAATTTTGCTTGGTTGGAAAACTTAAACAATTTAAAGTTAACTGATTTCATTTTCAGTTTAATTTAGATCCACTCTGTTACATAGTCCAGCACTGGCACAGGCAGTTGGCACGTGTCTGTGCAATCGCTCTCCAAGCAGTAATAATCGTCACAATATTACCTTTCACTCACAGCAGGTGCCTCCAAGGAGCTCCTGCACCAGAATTGTTTGGCGGGCGGAATACAGCCCTTTAATGCGCTCAGTGCATTGAGGAACAATTGAAACATAGCTGTGATGAGGGGTAACCATTTTATGACATGGCTATTGCATTATCTCTATTGTTGTAATGGCATATCATTGGCTACCACTCATCAATAGGTTTTTATGGCACAGAGTGATCTAATAAACAGCGGCAGATGGAGTTTGAGTCTCCTTGGAGAATTGACTAATCCTACAACCTGTGGAACTGCTCTCTTTACATTTTTCCTCGGCCTTTTTCAGAGACCATAAATGAATAAGACAGAGAAACTGACAGGAGGAAAGCAAGCTGCCAGAGCTTAGAGCTGTTCTTTTGTCTGTACTGTTCAGGAACTGAATCTTATTCAAATTCATAGTAATTTTTTTTCAAGCCAAGCCAACTCACATTGGGAATTGGAACTCTGCATAATGCTAGACGAGCTAACACAGTAAGTGGGTATTTCTGCTCTCTACCACCCTCCAGAGAATTTTTTTCTTTCTAATTGCATTAGTCCGCTCAGGCTGCCACCAAAAACTATCACTGAGTGGCATAAACAATAGAAATTTATTTGTTCTCAGTTTTGGAGGCTGGAAGTCTTAGATCAGGGTGCCAACATAGTCAAGTTCTGGTGAGGACGTTCTACTTGTCTTGCAGATGGCTGTCCTCTTGCTGTGTCCTCACAAGAGGGATAGCGGGGAGAGAGAAAGAGAGCTCACTCTCTGATGTCTCTGTTTCTAAGGGCACTAATCTCATCATGAGGCCTTACTCTGAACACCTCATTGAAACCTAATTATCTTCCAAAGGGCCCATGTGCAAATATCATTAGATGAGGGGAGTGAGGCCTTCAACATATGAATGTTGGGAGCATAACTCAGCGCATAGCCCTAACATAATTTATGAATAGGAGCGCTTGAGGAACTTCTTAGTGGATCTCGCTGCTCCTCACTAGGCCCGTACAATCTACTCTCAGTGGAGATAGAATTTTAAAGATACATAAGCTAGATTACATCACTTCCTTGTTCAAATCCTCCAGTAACTGCCATCACATCTAGAAAAATATACCATGGACTACAAGGGTCTGCATGATTCAGACCCTTCTTTCTTCTAGTTTCTCCTTTGCTTACTTCACTGCTAACATACCGGTCTCTAGGAATTCCTTAGGCACATCAAATGCACTTCACCTTGAGGGCCTCTGCAGTTGCTGTCCCCTTTATCTGGAGCACACTTTTTCAGATATTGATTGATTGATTGATTGATTGGGGCAGGGTCTAGCCCTGTTGCTCAGGCTGGAGTGTAGTGGCATGAATATGGCTCACTGCAACCTCCACCTCCTGGGCTCATGTAATCCTCTGTTATCAGCCTCCTGAGTAGCTGGGACTACAGGTGCTGCACCCCCATGGTTGCTTAATTTTTTTTCTTTTTGGTGTAGATGGAGTCTCACCATGTACCCAAGCTGGTCTTAAACTCCTGGCCTCAAGTGATCCTCCTGCCTTGGCCTCCCAAAGCACTGGGATTACAGATGTGAGCCACCATGCCCAGCCTGTCAACTTCTTAAAATGTTCCTTTTTCCCCAATTGTCTCTAACTATATGTTCTGGTCAACGTGACTACTCTATCTTCAAAAGACTTCATATGAAACTTTGTTGTTTTTTCTTTCTCTATATATTCCTAATAGCTAGAACAGTGCCTGATACATAGTAGGTACTGAATTAGCACTCTTTACAAAAAATAAAGAAAATACTATATACAGCCCAGCGACTCCGGCATTTGTACTTCTATCCTAGTCCTCTCTCTGATTTCCAGGTCTGTATATTCCACTGACTACTTGGTTGTCCCCAACTGATTACTTCATAAACATCTCAAATGCAAAGTTTTCAAAACTGGTTAATCCATCTCATGAAACCTGAGTCTTTTTTCATGTTTCTCTTCACACAGTCTGGGAATGACTTTTAATTTCCCCCTTCCTCATCTCCCTATAATAACAAAATGCTAATTCTATCTCTAAAATACATCATGACTCTCTTCTTTGCCCCATCTCTACCAATGGCACTCTTGTCCAAAATACCACCGTTTCTTGCAACATCTTTCAACAGGTCTTTCCACTTTCGTTTTTTACACACCCCTCCTTATCTGTTTTTGAAACAATAGCCAAAGTAATTCTGAGTATTTAACAGCAAGAGTGAAAGCTTATTGAGTTCTACCACATGCCCGTACTCTGTTGGTACTTGAAGATGACCAAACATGAATTTTGACCTTCTCAGAGATTAAAATGGAAATCTGTTCATGTACCTACCCTATATAAAAGTTATATTTTTTACAAAAAGCTGTATAAAAGCTAAAATGTTACGCCTCAAAGATGCTTCCCATGAAACACCTAGTTAAAAACTGAGTCGCGTCTAACACACTCTTCATAGCATTTACATTTGGTTTTATTATAGTTGGTAATTACAGATTTATCTGTAACTGCCTAAGAGTGGCCTCTGCCATCATCTGCTTACAATCTTTTAAGCTCTGTGTGCTCACAAGCCATGGTTTGTTTGTTTGTTTGTTTGTTTTTTTGTTTGTTTTTGAGACAGGGTCTTGCTTTGTCTCTGACTGAAGTGCAGTGGTGCCATCATAGCTCAGTGTAACCTCCGACTCCTGGGCTCAAGTGATCCTTCTGCCTCTGCCTACCAAGTAGCTGGGACTACAGGTATACAGGCATGCACCACCACACCTGGCTAATTTTTGTTGTTCTTGTTGTTAGCTTTGTTTCTTGTAGAGATGGCGGGTTGGCGGGGGTGGTCTCAATATTTTGCCCAGGCTGGTCTCAAGCTCCTTCCCTCAAGCAATCCTCCTGCCTCAGCCTCTCAAAGTGCTGGGATTACAGGGGAAGTTTGCATTTTTAACTGCCATATCTTCAAGGGGTAAGCCAACAACCAAGTACACAGTGGAAATGCAATAAATACTTACAATTATAGCCAAAAATGAGTGGGACACTGTCTGCCACCCCAAAAAGTTACCCAAGATCTAAGCTTTTAACTCTGGTACCTTGAAAATCTTAAAATAGAATGCTCCAACAAGTTACTACAAAATGTATAATATGCCCAGTAACTGAGAAAAGGGAAGCATGTTTCCCTTTTGAAATCTCAATGAAACCATGGCTTTCATTGAAATTGTTTAGTTTTCTGTTCAATAGTAAAAAAGAATCATATTTTCCTGTAAGGAACTTACTTGCATTTGATCATTATATGTCCTCAATTGTTCATTTGCAAAGCACACCTTTTAAAACATCTATTCTTTAGGATAAACTGCCAATTTATTAATGGAAGTGTTGAGATTTTATTATCAAAGTGAAATGCTGCTACGTAAAGTGGTGGGAAGACACATATTTTATCCAGTTACTCAGTTATTCTTAGCCAAAACTACTTTGCATATTTAATACAGGATTTTGACATGGATTTTTAAAGCCCAAAGTATCATACTGTCTTGTTTTAACAGCAACAATTGTTGTTATTACTAACAACCACAAAAGGCCTGGCCTCTAAATACAGGTGTTTTTAATCAAAATACAAAGGATGCAGTAGAATCAGAATAGGAGACTAATTTGGGACCAAGCCTGAGGCAATTTGTTATAACTGAACTGATCAAATCAAGTTTAGGGTCCAAACAAAGAATATATCTCAATCTAGGTAAGAGGCCAACAACCTATACAAGCCCCAAGTGCCAAGCTGGCCAATTTGCTCTTTTGCTGTAGAGCCCACGAGCTAAGAATGGTTTTACATTTTTAAACTGTTGAAAAGCAATCAATACAAAATACTTTGTGACATGTAAAAATTATATGAAATGCAAATTTCACACAGCCATGTCCATTCATTTACATGTTGTCCATGCCTAATTTTGTACTACAATGACAGAGTTAAGTAGTTGCAACAGACTTTCAAAGTTTTTTGACTCTAATTCTTAGTAATATACATTGAGAGCTGTATAGTCGCATAGGTACATAGCTAAAAAGTTTCACGAAACAATACTTACACTATTCTAATGTGCTCTGCTGTGTTCTGCTCCATTCTGTTTCATTTAAATAATATTTTAAATGTTATTTCTGATTCTGATCCACTAATGATTGCTACTCACAGTTTGAAAAACATTCATTTGGATTTGTTTTCTCAATCCTGGTTGCATAATCATAAATAACCAAGGAAGTTCTTAAGGAATATGAAGCCCCACTCCAGACCAGTCTCTGGATACCTGAATGTTAGTCTTAAAAACCAGCAACCAGCAATCAGCCTCTCAGAGTGATCTTATTGCGCAGCCAAAGTTGAAAACTCATCCCCTTGCTACTCAAAGCCTGGTCCTCAGAGCAGCAGTCTCTATATCACCTGGGAGTTTGTTAGAAAGGCAGAATTTCAGGCCCCATTGTAGACCTACAGAATTAGCCCGTGCTTCTTAGAAAGATCCCCAGGTTATTCATATCTACATACATTAAAGTGTGAGAAGCGCTGATCTGAACTAGGTAAAATTTTGATTAAGCACTGCAGCATGAAGGATTCTTCTTTGTGGGGGAAAGGAAAATGGACATACTTGCTTCTGGTTAGAATTGGATTCAGACCTGCAAGGGCAAAATGTGAAATGGCTAAAGATAAAATGTATCCAGAACAAAAAGCCATTTCATCTGTGTGTCATTTTCTACCTATAGGAGGTGATTCAGCTCTCAAAAAAGGGGATTCACACAGAACTGGGTTTCAGGAACATAGCAGGAGTGACCTTGAAGTGTCAAGCCACCCGACATCTGAGCCGGGTCTAAGGGTGTGTGAGTCCTTCCTCCCTCTCTCCTGCACCTCCAGGGGGATCCATTACTTGGTTTTCTCTAATCTCAACCTTTCCACCTGGGTCATAATCAGGCCAAATTCTAGGAATCGGAGTCTAGGCTTTGCTACTGTCTGTGTGATCAGAAACATCCATGTTTTAGAAACCAAAGCTCTCTGGGGCATTTCATCCTAGTGAGATCAAAGGCAGAGTTTCTGAGTTTTCGCTGGTTGCTGAGTCCAAGGCTTCCCAGGGACACAGTGAGTCACAGAGGAGCCACGGAGGGGTGAGGTCTCCAGCAACCTACACAAACTCCTTGGCAACTGGAACCTTGGACGGAAAGTTTTCCTCTGTTATTTCCTCAGGCCTCTTCCACAGTTTAAACTATCTGTGTTCTCACAGCATTTCCAAATGCTGGTTTAACCTTCACTGCCTTGAGCAATTCTATTCGGTGCTGTTGTTAACTTTTTAAGTGCTGGTAAGAGACCACAGCATTTTGTTTAGATATTTGCTTTGTTTTGTTTTACTTTTGGTTTTGGTTGAGGGAGAGGATGTGAGAGTAGAGGTACTGGATTCGGACGCAGACACCGAGAGAAATTTAATCACGTAACTCTAGATCAAGTCAAGAGTATTAGGAGCAATCTCTGTTTTTTAGTTCACAACTTTCTTCCAAACAAATAAACAATAAGAAAACCAGATCTAATTTTAAATGACCACATCTTAATCTGTCTAGAGAAGTTTCTACAATTTCTCTTTGATATTATTGCTCTTGCAGTCCCACTGCTAAGAGAGTGCCTTCCTAGGCAGTGGTTCATAAAGTGTGATGCCCTGGCCAGGAGAAACCCTTCCACCTGGAAATGTGTTAGAATACCTGTTCTCAGGCTCCATCCAGACCTACTGAATCAGAAACTCTAGGGATGGAGTCCAGGTCTCCAGGTGATTCTGAGTCATGCTAAAATTTGAAGACCTCTGTTCTAGTAACATTAGCTATAATTTAAACTGATCTTAAGGACATGTTAACTTGATTTGGAAAACAGCTGGTTACTACTCCTGAATATCTTTGGAAAAAAGTTGGGTTTATGAAAGCAGATTCTTAGCCTGAGCATAGGTAGATGAAGACCAGCTTTTTAGGGCCACCGTAGCACTTTTCTAATGAGAGCTTTGAAAATTGTATAAACATGACCAAGCCCTATTATTAATCCTCACACTTACCTAGTGGGTTGGTCACCTGTCGTTGAAGACGATGTATTCCGATGGAAATGAATCTGTCAGAAGGAAAAGAACATGTTGCTCTCATTTTGCAACTCAATTATAACTTCCAGTCAATAAACTAGATAAATTAATGTATATCTGGAAGGAATTAAAATGCCTTCAAACAATGTAAAGTTCACCTGTCAAGATTCATTTAGCAGAAAGAAATCTCTGTTCCTGCAACTAGTGCCTTAAAAGCTGAAGGATAAGTCAATATTCACACAAATACAAAGACTCATGCAGTGTATAAGATATGTTTGCCCAGTGAATCATAAAATATGGCCTAACAGAGATTTCCAAATAAACTGAAGGTCTAAAGTTGCTGCCCACTTCTCTGGGTTAGCTGTAGTTCATGAAAGAGATTATACCCAACCCCTGTATAGGTGCTTAGTAGAAATATCTTGAGATCACATCAATGTGTTTTAAGGGTCGCTTTAAAAAAAAAAAAAAAAAAAAAACCCAAAACACCTAAATCCAAAGGAACTAGAGACCAATGATTTTCCATTTAGAAAGTTGTTTTTTTTTTTTAATAAAGGGTAAGTTTTGAGTAATGCTATGAACAAAAGAACCTACATGGTTTAATGGAAAAGTAGGAAAAGAGAATTTCAGGTGGAGATTTTTTTATTCTTAAAACTTACATATTATCCATTCATAGATCTATTCGTTTGTTTATTCATTCCTTCTCTCCACATTTCTTCACACTCTGAGCTCTCCTTGCCTAAGGGATTGAAAATCATCATTAGTGATGAATATTCTGATGTATAACTATTGATTATCAAGGAAACAGAAAAGATTTGGCTATTCACAAGGTGTGTGACCTTGAACAAATTAAGTTTTCAGGAGTCTGTTCTTTTCATTTCTGCAACAAAATTATACTTTTTTTTTTTTAATGATTCTTGTGAGGAGACATCCTATACATTCCACCAATGTGATTTCCTCTCAGTGAAGTGGAACATAATGGAGAAACAGCTAACGTTTAATTGGGTGTTTCATTTTGCTTTGTGAATAAGATTAATACACCAACTTTCTTTGTTCATTCTAGATTTTTCTAAAATTTCAAATACCCAGAAAGAAGTTATTCCCTCACTCAACAGTCTCACTTTTTTTTTTTTTTTTTTTTTTGAGATTGAATCTTGCTCCGTCATCCAGGTTGGAGTGCAGTGGTGCAATCTCGGCTCACTGCAACCTCCACCTCTAGGGTTCAAGCAATTCTCCTGCCTCAGCCTCCGAGTAGCTGGGACTACAGGCATGCACCACCACATCAGGCTAATTTTTGTAGGTTTTTGGGGTTTTTTTTTGTTTTTTGTTTTTTTAGTAGAGACAGGGTTTCACCTTGTTGGTCAGGCTGGTCTTGAACTCCTGACCTCAGGTGATCCACCCATCTCAGCCTCCCAAAGTGCTGGGATTACAGGCGTGAGCCACTGTGCCTGGCAACAGTCTCACTTTTTTCAGTGTTTTTTTACCAGCCACATTACTCCTATTAATCAAGCTAAATATGTCTTTGTTCTCTTTACAACCTGACAACTTCAAAGAATTTCACGATCCTACTATCTCTTCCTTTGCAGCACCACCCTTGCCTTTTCTTTCCCCTTGCTTCATCCTCTTATGTCTGAATTATGCAATAATCTGTTACATAGTTTTCCTGCTTTCAGTATCTCCTTCTAGTCAATCTAGTCCTGACCGTGTAGCAGATAATTAGACAAGCTTTAGAACTTTACTGCATGGGTTTGACTGTTAGCTCTACCTCTTTATAGTGATATGAACTTGGCAAGTTATTTCAACAGAAATAGCTCCCATTTCTTTGTCTGGAAAATGGAGATAATAAAAGTATCTATTTCACATATGGTTCTTTCGAAGATTCAATGATGGAGTAGATATAAAATTGTATCCAGTAAAAGCAAGCATGATATAAAATGTTAGCTGTTATTGTCTTACTCACTGATGAGTTAATCTTACTAAGGCATATTGTATCATGTCATTACCCACTCAAAAATCCAGAATGACTTTCCAATGCCAACAAGTTAGAGCGGAATGTTCATAAATGGCTGATGACTTTATTAAAGAACAGGTATTCCAGAAATTCCTTAGTGCCCTTACCTTAAGCAACCATGTACACTAGAGCAGAAAGGGAAGCTAATATTCGCACCCAAATACAGGGGAAAAATAGATAAATCAAGAAGACCTTATAATTCAGACTGGAGGATCACATGCTAGACATCCTCTCCATTTCTTGTGAATGTGGTGTCATCTTCGCCCCCAGGGGACCATTGCTTAAACCTCTGAATTTCCCAGTTCTAAGCCCCCTTGTTCCTTCCCCCATCACAACCTTGTATATGGTCATTTTTTTTGTACTTCTCCTACTTCCAAAGAATTTCAGACATTTTACAAATACATGTATAGCAGGAGAAAAATAAAAATATAACACGATGTTAAATATAATTAAATTTAAAACTGGAGCAAAATGAGCCCTCTTAAAATCTGGTGTGTTCAAACCAATTTGTCCCGTGTGTGTTTGAATTAGACCCATAAAATTCATCCATCATCTATCTATGAAATTGGGGACAACAAGGTCCTTCTTCCTCACCCATTCCAAGGTCGATACCTAACATCCTGTAACAAAAGTCAAGTTAAAAAGAGAAAAGCATAACACATTTATTTAAAGGATTAATAGCAAATGAGTATGCCCAAACCAAATTTACACACAAATTACAATTCAAACAAATATTTTCTTCTGCTAACCTGAAGTTGGAAAGGAAAGGATAAAGATAAATTTTTACCTTCCACTTTCCCTTCACGGGCACTATAGGCAGAGATCCCGAAATACTGACCTTGGTAAAAACTTTTTTTTTTAACCTTTTTTCCGGCTTTTTGTCAGTTGTCCCAGGATCTCAACTGCAGGCTCCGGAGTGAGTCAAGTGCCTCAGCCACTCCATGTTGGGTGCCAGAAACCGTAGAGGTAGAAAGTGAGAAGGTAATACCTTTTAAGGTCATGGCTGACACTTCAATACAGAAGACCAGTTAGCAAAAGAAAAGCATAACAAATGTATTCAATTAAAGTTTTATGTGATAAGGAGCCTTCAGAAATCAAGACCTAAAGACACAGGGAAAACTGTGTACTTTTATGTTTAGGTTCAATGAAGAATGGACAACCATGTAGAAATGTAATTGGACAAAAAGGTTATGATCTAATGGTCATAAACTAGGGGAACTTATGAAGTCCTGTTTAATCAGATTCTTTTTGGCCCCTCTGTTTGGCATTCTTTCCTCTGGGTATAGGGCAGGATACTTGTCACACGAGGGTCTTCAGGAGAAAAGGGAAAAGGGCAAAGAGTGACACTTACAGGTATTATGAATTGCTTTGGGATGAGGAGTTCTAGTTTCTATGATCTGCTCAGAGGGGAAGTGGGAAAGCAGAAAGGAGGGTTGGAGAAGGCCAGGGAGGACTTCTTGCTTCTGAAGCCTTTCCAGTCTCCTTCAGTTCCAACTACTCAGCATACCAAAGTGCCATATTTTGGGGTATTGTGTTCTAAGCCCCAGCACTATCTATCTATCACTGATCTCTCTCTCTCTATGTTTCTACATCTCTATCTGTCTATACATAAATTAGGCAGGCAACTGACTCATGGGTGGGAGACGGAGATTGTCAGTTTTGACATCTGATAATCAACAGTAAAGTGTTGTTATATTCAGATACTCAATGTTCTTCTAAAAGGTAAATCCATTGTTCTACTAAAACTTGGAGAATTGGGGGGAAGAACTGACACTTTTATTCCAAAATAAACTTCGAAGTTTTTCAAAATAAAACTAAATGTCTTTGAATAAATGTTGAAATAGTGGGAAAAACTGTAGGTATTTTTAAATAATCTTCTGGAGGATTCACAAAAATATAGCTATGTGGAAAGCCTACATCTCAGTTTCATAGAAATAAATACATGATGAGCTTCGAAACAGATTAGTGGAGACTTAGAATGTAAGATTATTTTTCAAGAAACTTGAATAAATTTACTTCTCAGTATAAAAAAGAAAGTGAACAATATCCTTGCCACATTCCAATATAATAAAAAAATATGAGGACTAGAGAAGAACTGTTTCAAATATTGATGTATATGCGGGTTGGCCACACGTCCTGTTTTACCCTGGATAGTCCATGTTCGCATGTGTGGTCCTGTTGTGATTGTTTTTAATGCCTCCTTTCATTCTTCACAATAATGTTCATCCTATGTACGTAAAATTAGATGAAGGATGTTTTATATGTTGACTAACTAAAATTGTCTGATTTGCAAAAGTAGAGCTCTAACTGAAACTACCTGTTCGTTTGGAAACAAACCAAACAACCTTCTAAATGAGTGTTGCTTCTAGGAGGTGTGAGGACTTCCCAAATTTTTTTTACATATAATGATAAAAATTCTGCCTGGATTTAGAAATTTCAGTGTTTGATAGGGATTACCATTTCATTCTTTCCATCTGATAAACCACCTCTAACTGACCTCTGGGAAGGGCTAGGATTTCTGGCAGGGGCACAGGGCAGCTGAGAACATGAGGCTAAACAAAACTCTATTAAAAGTAGGGATTAAGGGAAGGATATTAATCTCATGCAAGTTCTCTTGACAAATCCTAAAGAGACTAATATAATCATAGGTCACAAACCAACTGTGAAGATTAATTAAACCCTTAGGTTAATTCTCCCGATTCACTTTCCCGATTTTCTATAAAAAGTATTTCCAAGTCCTTATAACTTTAAGCTCTTTCCCATTCATGAGTTCTTTAGAAAAGCAGTAGAGACTTCTGGGGTGTTCCAGGGAGAGATCTTACAGGCAGCCAACAGAGTCCAAGACTTCAGTGGAATATTGCCAACTTGCAAATATTAAGAAGAAACTACCCATGACTCTTTAGACAGGTGTCTCCAGAGATAGCTTTAGTTTGTACCATCAGGTCATCTCTGTGATTTTTTTCCCCATGAAACTGCATTAGAAAACTATCAAAATAGACAAGAAAGGTATGATTTTTTTAAAAAAACCAAGGTCTCGAGCTCATTTAGGGGAACACTATCATTACTTTCATGTTAGACCTTCCATATACTTTAATGAATGACATAAGTGAGTATATGAGATGACACATGAAAACATTCTTTGTAAAGGGGTTATACAAATGGAAGGCATTATTATGGTTATCACTTCACCCGTCTGAATCCTTCAGATTCCTTGGGGCGCCTGGCCACAGGATAGTACAATGTTTAGAGCTGAATTGCAGCTAGGCCGTTTAGAATCCCAAAGGTGAAGTTTACCAACTTCCTCTTCAAGTAAGTGGGCGGGCAGTGGGGCAAGTGTTGTTGCAAAGCTAATGTGTTCATTTCTTCCTCCTTCCCAAACTTGTTTTGACAGTCAGGTGAGCCAGCCAACTTATGAAGACAGTAGTTTGGGTCAGGAATAAATCCTTGTTCTGGATTTCTTTTTTCCCCTCTTTGAACAGCAGCTTCAAGTTGACTCAGGTTTTACTTGTCTTTTCTTGAGTTCAACATTTATGCTTCTAAGAATGCATTTCTTATTCCTGAAACTCAAAGAGGCAAATGAAAGGGAAAGAATAATCAAGAAAAAAAAAATAGAAAAAAACATGAAGGTGGAACAGAAAGAAAGCTAGAAAAGAAACAAAAGGAAAAGATTGAAGTGGAAATCACTTTTGGGCAATGCTCTTATTTTTTTCTTGGTTTCAGTTTCCTCTTCTGTAACACAGAGATAATATTGATTTTTTTTATAGTAAATAGCTTTTAGGAAAGTTAGTGGAGCCAGGTGTGGTGGCTCATGCCAACAATCCCAGCACTTTGGGAGGCTGAGGCAGGCAGATGATCACTTGAGGCCAGGAGTTCGAGACCAGCCTGGCCAACATGGTGAAACCTTGTCTCTACTAAAATACAAAAAAATTAGCTGGCTGTTTTGGTGCCTGCCTGTAATCCCAGCTTCTCAGGAGGCTGAGGCAGGAGAATCCCTTGAACCCCGGAGGCAGAGGTTTTTCCAAGAAAATGACGTGATTCAACAAATAATTCAGTATCTTTTGCAATGGAAATAATTTGAAAGTAGCCAGAGATGCCTCTTAGGTTACGACTAATCTCACTGAAGAGTCATGCCCTGAGTCCCAAGGGTTGTTTGATGCCAAGCCTGAACAGCTGTTACCCGGATTGTGGACTCAGCTGGTTTGATTTTGGACAGTGTGAGAGGCAATAACTAGAAAAGACAGATCGTAAAAGACCTTAAGAAATACTCTTCAATTATAGGTGTGGTGTTTTCAAGTCACCCTGTTTTTCACTGAACTCAGCTCCACCCAGAGGCGAGAGGAGTCAGTAGCCAGTCAGAGAGAAACCACTTTGTAAAGCTCTACAAATACAGAAATAAGGAAGGAGGAAGCTGGAAGAGGAAGCTTTACCCTGGGGTACATTGTTTGTATGAAACAGGCAACCATCTAGTCTTAAGCTCAGCGAGCAAACTCCAAGAAAGTTTGTAACCCAGGTCCTCCCTTTCTGCGAATCTCTGAGGAGGCCTCTCTGGTCTCTTGAATGCCTGTTCCTACCCAAGCTGAGAGAAATTCTATGCCCTATTTAGTTACAATCTTAATTCTGAGATACAAGTGGCATCCAGGGCATCCTCTGTCAATCTAGGAAAAGAATGAGCAATAGGAAATATAATTTTCATATACCCAAACACATGCACCATGTGTCAAAGGATCAAGAAACACACATTTTTTTCCCCTCCCTGGACTGTCACCTGGACCTCTTGGCCTTGCACAGGGAACTGCTGTAATGTCAGAAGACTCTTTGGGAAGAGAACAAGTTATGCAAAAGACAACCAAAATTATCTAGTTCAGTAGAGCTTGTCCCTTGCTGTATATTAGAACCATCTGGAGAACTGTACAAAATACCAGTACCAAGCTCTACTCCAGAATATTCTGATTTAATCTTCTGGGTGGGGGTCAGGCAAAATTATTTTTTAAATTTCTCCAGGGTGATTCTAAAGTACAGTAAGAGCAGAGACACAAAGATTTATTTGTGTCCCTTTACTATATAACGGTGTCTAACATGTAATAAGGCCCCCCAAATAATGGTTATAACAGGAAAGGATAGATGTGTTAATTAATTGATAAACATGTAAGTTAAACCTTTTTCTAGAAAGCTGGAAATATAAGCAAATATTCTGAGATATGAGCTTGATTTGCTCCTATACTTCACTTGGGTGAATTTTCTCAGTATTGTACAATGTGATCAATCACAATAAAAATAAAAATTGAGTACTGGCTCAAATGTAGACTCTGAAGATGCCATCAAAAAGGTGCGGTACTTCTAAAACTGCATGCACAAACTTTTTTATATTCCTCCCTTTAAGAGGTGGAGTCTAATTTCCTGCCCCTTGAGTGAGGGCTGGATTTAATGACTTGCTTCTAATCAATAGCATAAAGTGGAAGTTGTGGTGTGTAACTTCGGAGACTAAGTCACAAAAAGGTGCTGTGATTATTGCTCACTTTCTCTCTCTCTGTCTCTCTCTCTCTTTCTCTGTCTCTCTCTCTTTCTCTGTGTATGATCGCTGACTCTGGGGAAAAGAGCTGACATACTGTGAGGATGTTCAGGTAGCCCTGTGGAGAATCCCACATTGGGATGAACTGAGACCTTCTGCCAACAGTAATCTGAGTGAGCCCTCTTGGAAGCGGATCCTGTAGGCATGGTCAAGCCATCAGATGATTTCTCATGTGGTTGCAACCTTGGCTGACAGTTTGATCCAGCTAAGCCATTCCCAGATTCCTGACCCTCAGAAATTATGTGAATAATAAATGTTTGTTGTTTGAGGCTGCTACATCTTGGTGGAATTTGTTATGCAGCAGTAGGTAACTAACACAGGAAGGCATGATCCCTGGCCTCCACAAATTTACAATGTAGTTGGAAAAGTAGGTTATAGGCACAAAAAAAATAACAAACTACAAAAGAATTTAAACATTCTATCAGATGAACAGGACTGCTGTGGAGTAGAACTCCAGGGGATGACATCCACATGATGGTCTTTATGAACTGCAGGTCCTGAAGCACTGTGGACTTGACAACAAGTAATAATTTAAAGGAAGAAATCAAAGTTATAAAAGTTTGAATTGATAAGATTTGGGTAAACAGTGAGAAGACTATACAAGTCTCAAGATATGTCTGGGAATCTCTCATAGTTATGAGATGTCTGTTGAAGCCAATGATGTAGTTCCATTACATCATATTATATATATATCTATATAGAAATTAAGATCCGTTAATCTGGATCTATAATTAGCTCACTGAGATTGCATTCAGCATGCTACCAAAACAGACAATCAGTCAGATCAATAAAAAATTGCAGTTGAAGTAGCTAATTAATCATTGTGCAAGTTAAGTTTTCTTGGCTTTAATGTTAACATTGTTCTTGGCATTTGTTTCCTTGTTTTTGAGATGCAGTTTCACTCTGTCACCCAGGCTGGAGTGCAGTGGCACAGTCTTGGCTCACTGCCCCCAACCTTCGCCTCCTGGGTTCGATCAATCCCCGTGACTCAGCCTCCTGAGTAGCTGGGATTAGAGGTGTGCGCCACCATGCCTGGTTAATTTTTGTATCATTAGTAGAGATGGGGCTTCGCCATGTTGGCCAGGCTGGTCTCAAGCTCCTGACCTCAAGTGACCCTCCCATTTTGGCCACCCAAATTGCTGGGATTACAGGTGTGAGCCACCGCGCCTGGTCTGTTCTTGGCATTTTTTTATTGCTGTATGTTGTGTTTTCTTTGAACTGTACCAGCAGTGGGCCTCTGACCACCATTTGTACAAAACGACTTAGCACTGTCAAAGGTGATTAGAGATTGAAATTTGGATTTAAACTGGAACAATCTGAGATCCATTTGCAGGAATTTAGAATTAGGATTTAGGCCTGGTACAGTGGCTCACACCTGTAATACCAAGGTGAGCAGATGGCTTGAGTCCAGGAGTTAGAGAACAGCCTGGGCAACATAGCAAAACCCCATCTTTACACTAAAAAAAAAAAAAAAAAAAATTAGCTGGGCGTAGTGGTACACATCTGTAGTCCCAGCTACTCAGGAGGCTGAGGTGGGAGTATCATATGAGCCCAGGAGGTCGAGGCTGCAGTGAGCTGAGATTACACCACTGCACTTCAGCCTGGGTGACAGAGAGAGAACCTATCTCAAAGAAAAAGAAAGAATGGGGACTTAGTTCTCCCTTCCTTCCTTCCTTCCTTCCTTCCTTCCTTCCTCCTTCCTTCCTTCCTTCCTTCTTCCTTCCTTCCTTCCTTCCTTCCTTCCTTCCTTCCTTCCTTCCTTCCTTCCTTCCTTCTATTCAGGGTCTCGCTCTGTCACCCAGGCTGGAGTGCAGTGGCGCAGTCTCGGCTCACTGCAACCTCCCCCTCCCGGATTCAAGCAACCTTGTGCCTCAGCCTCCCGAGTAGCTGGGATTACAGGAGAGTGCCACCACACCTGGCTAATTTCTGTATTTTTAGTAGAGATAAGGTTTCACTATGTTGCCTAAACTGGTCTTGAACTCCTGGACTCAAGTGATCTGCCCACCTGGCCCTCTCAAAGTGCTGGGATTGCAGGCATGAGCCACAATGCCTAGCCTGGGGTACTTTCTTAAGTGGAGGATACATTGGTATATGTTGTCAGTAATTTTCTTCCATATTAACCGGGAAGCATAGCGATCTAGTTGAGAGACATAAAGGGGAGAGAGTTCTATAGCTTCCATGAAATATCCCTGTAACTTTATTTTGTTAATTGCCCTTTATCACTGCAGCTGGTTACAAGTAGATCTTTCTGCAACCAAAATAACCCAATTACAGTACCATTCATGATTTTACAGTTTAGACTATTAATATTAAAAACCACTTGAACTTTGTCTATTTCATATTATAATAGGGCCCCAATGGCAAAGCATCTATTATTTTGTACTTTAAGTGATTTTCTTTTTCCTAACTTCCCAAAGAAATGGCGCAAGTAAAAGAATTTATAAACAACATCTGTCTAGCTCATGTTATTGGTTATTTGTGTGAAAATTTGTCTTATTACTCACACAAGATTTTTTTTTCACCTTCTGGAAAGGAATAATCTACAATTTCCTGTAAGTAAAAAAGCCAGGGAATATTTTTTTATTCTGATCTAAGTTATTCCTTCACTTTTAATTATTACAACTACTATTACCCTATCCAGCCAGAAAAAAAGTCTGACCTCATATAAATAAAGCTTTAGAATAATATTGATTTAAAAAGTTTCAATAGTAATGGTAGGATAATTTAAATAAAAGGGACTGTCATACTCCCACATGAAATATAGATAAAAGAGTTAATAAGATAAACCTAAAAATAAGTTTGAAAAACTATAAGATTAATTGAATGGGTACAAGCAAAGACTAAGAAATCCAGCAATATTTCCCTCTATTTTCTTCTCCAGTAGTGTTTCAGATGATTCTGAATTCCACAGGAAGTGGTAAGATCTTTTCATGATCAGTTTTTCCTTTTGTTTCTGGGGAAGGATCATATCTGGCTTAGTGACGTCTATTGTAAGAGATTGTTTTTCAGAATATTTTAACTCATCTTTTGGGTAACTGATCTCAGGTCTGAAAATTGCAAAATGTTTCCAAATGCAGCTTGTTCCTTTGAGCATTCCTCTTTCATAATTCTAGTTATGAAACTAGTAACTCAGGCTATCTGTCCTGGTGCAGGGGATTTACCTTTTCATCTCAGGAAATTTTGAAGAATTTTATACGTGTATCAGAGTATCCAAAATTATTGTATTAGTCTTTTATGAAAAATTTAAGTTCTTATTTCTGCTTCTATCTCCTCTGGGATTTTCTTTATTGTGTCGTTTGTATTGCTTCTTGCACTTGGTGTGAATTTTTTTTTTTTTTTTTGAGAAGGGGTCGTACTCTGTCAACCAGGTTGGAGTGCAGTGGCATGATCTCAGCTCACCGCAACCTCTGCCTCCCAGGCTCAAGCTATCCTCCCACCTCAGCCTCGCGAATAGTTGGGACAGGTGTGGGCCTCCATGCCTAGTTAACTTTTGTATTTTTAGTAGAGATAGGATTTCACCATGTTGCCCAGGCTGGTCCCGAACTCCTGAGCCCAGGTGATCCACCCACCTGGGCCTCCCAAAGTGCTAAGATTACAGGCATGAGCCACCGAGCCCTGCCTTGCACTTGGTATGAATGCTTTATTATGGTAGCCAGTGGTGATTCTATCAGCTTATTTCACCCTCAGTTTTTATTCCTTGCAAAGACTGAAGAAATTAACACAATCTAGGGCAACTATTTAACTTTAGAAACATTTGATTTTTTTTGGAACTCAAGATAGAGTGGTGAGTCAGCAGGGAGTAATACACTTGGTTCGTGGGAAGAATAGCTTTGGGTGGGCTGAAATGCTAATGCCAGAGCCAGGTGTGGTGGCTCACACCTGTAATCTCAGCACTTTGAGAAGCTGCAGTGGGAGGATCGCTTGAGCTCAGGAGTTTGAGAAGAGTTTGCAACTTAGTGAGACCTTGTCTCTATAAAAAAATTCTAAAAAGTTAGCCGGGCATGTGGTGCATGCCTGTAGTCCCAGCTACTTGGGAGGCTGAGGCAGGAGGATTGCTTGTGCCTGAGAGGTCAAGGCTGCAGTGAGCCATCATTGTGCCAGTGCACTCCAGCCTGTCCAGCAGAGTGAGACCCTATCTCTTAAAAAAAAAAAAAATAATGTCAGAGATAAAAGGCGGAGAGGGAAGCAGGGTGGCTGGAGTGGTAAGGGAAGTGCATGCCTAAAGATGCACACTGGATTAGGGTGGTTCACCTGAGATGATGTGATTGTGGAAAAAATTGAGAGAGGCTCTGTATGTGGCCAAGATAGTTGGTATTTACCTACATCTGCTCTTTCCTGACACACATGTCCTAGCCTGTCCAGCATCTAGACAGAACCACGTGACTGAGTGCTGGCCAACGCACTTCTAGTGACGATGACCACATATTCCACAAAAGCTTCCATTCTCTCATTCTTTCTCCAACCACCTTGATAGAAATGAAGGATTCTGAGGGTCTAAAGGACGGTGACACCACAGAATGAAAGGAGAAGGGATTCCAAGTCATCGCTTTGAAAAGAGGGATACTGGACTTTGCATAAGCAAGAAATAACTTGATATTATGATAAGTCACTGAAAACTAGGTTTTGTTTATTATGGTAGCTAGTATCAATTATTTTGATTAATACAATATCTCTTTGATTCTGCTATTGTCTTTGACATTGTCACAGAAAGAGAATAAAAAAGGAATACAGAAGCAGAAAAATATTACTCAGGGAGAGTGTATTAGTGGACGGGGGAGGGAGCAGGAGAAAACAGATGGCGTTGGGCATGGAGGGCCTCATGAGATAGGAAACATTGTGTTGGTGAACTGACCTAATTTTAGAACTGAGCAGGATGCCTCTAAATGTACCTTGATTTGCATGAAAGTAGAGTGACATATTTTTGACAACTACAGTTAAAAGGATATACCACCTTCTAGTTTATGCAAGTGTAAATGAGGCACGATAAATTAAGTTTATTAAAAATATGAAATAGGAAAAATCAGATATCAAATATCAAGTTCATATGTACATACCGAGACTTTTTAAAAATGCTGAAGTACACTATATGTATTTCAGAATACCATGTGGAGGAATAGGAGAGGCCTTAGGCCCTGAGCTTGCTGAGTTGGGGAGTGCTGTGAGGCTGTGCACTGTATGTGGAGAATGTTTGGATTGTGTATGATTAACTAGGAAGCATGCAGGGCCTGGGAGCCCAGAGAAAGTGGCAGGAGAGGACTGGTTTTTCTCTTCGCTTTTAGTATTTAAATAAAGTGACTTAGAAGTCAATCTTCATTCAATGAAAAAAAAATTTCATTATCAGGTTTGGAACAGTTATTTGAAATTACAGAACGTGTGAATGGTAAGGCTCAAGTTTCCTTTGAAATTTAGCATAGTTTTTTTTTTTTTTTTCTGAAACATGGAACAAATCCAAAAGTCTGAAATAATACTGCAAATGCTCATTTTTCCATAAATGATTCCTCTGTGACCATCAAGTATATGTCATTATCTTTTAAATATGCTAACATTGTGGCACCCATTGATTAGAATAAAAGCACTCGTGTGTTCCTTTCACAAACTGTCAGTGACAGACAATTCCTTTGGCTTGGGGCTTCTCCTTTCTTTTTCCCCATGCCTATATTAGAGATTTGCTTGGACTGAGAAGTTAAATCTATTAGTTTATGAATAGAGGTCCCACAGGGTTTGGCACCCACAGCTCCAGTGGTTCTGAGGTTCATGGTACACTAATCGTTGTGGTCACCTAATGTCATCTATGAAGCAGATTTCACAGGGGTGTCATTTCTACCAGGAACGGGAAGCCTGTGGCCTTTAGCCTCTGAAAATCTTATCTGCTATAATTGCTACTCTAGAGATTGACTGAACAAAAAGAATAGATGTCTTAAACACCACTTGTGCTAAACCCAGGGCTTAAATAATTTCCAGCAAACTATATGTATATTTTTTCTGAATTCAAATTTAACACACACTCTATGTAGAAAACTTGAAAAATACGGAAAAGCCAAAGAAGAAATTGAAAATCACTGTAATTACACTATTAACAACATGTTATATGTATGTATGTGTATATTTGTGTGTGAAGATTTGTGAATATGTTTACATTATAAACATAACATGTAAAGGTATGTTATATATTTCTATAAATGTATAGTTTTTGTATTCATATTATATATTTATATGTAAATATATATGTACATATTTAGAATTTTATTATACATATTTTTATTAGTGATAAACTTTGGATTGTATTATAAAAGCTATCTCACTTTAATTGTTAATATTCTTAAGAACTTCTAAAATATTCTTTCAAGTGACTATGCAAGAACTTTCTGCTGTCATTTATTTCATTCTCCAAAAAAATTGTATGATGGAAGAGCATGTATACTGTATAATCTTATTTTACCACTATTACATTTTTCTTTAAAACACATGGTATTCTCTTTGAAATGAAGCTTTATAATTATTAGAACTGTGAACTATATATAACTCATGAACATCCCCAAAAGGAGGCTTATTAAATCAAGTATCATGTGTACTTCTTTACATACCATAAGTGTATTGTACTGCCATTGGGGGTGACTGTACAAGCCATATTTTAAAAAGTCTCCCTAATTTGGCCATGAATTTAATAGTTTTGGCCATTGTCTATGATGCTTTTAGAGTCCGTGAAGGGTCACTTACTGCTGGAGGTGAATCAGTAGTCTCTCCATTTTTCCCAAAATGATAAATGATAAGCCATTTTAATGGTTTCCTATTTCATTGGAAACCTTGGCACTCTCAAAATCTGTTATAAGGAATGTTCACCTAAGTCACTTGTAAGTATGCGATGGCATGCTGAGCTTAATTTTTACTTTGCCTTGAAGCAGGCAGAATGTAAGCAATTCCTCTCTGCTTCATGTTCACAGTTTAGACCTAAAATAGAAAGCAACTATTGCTTATTCCAAGAGTCATTCAGGGCCTTGGGTTCTATATATTTTACTACATGACATCTGGAACCAAGTGGAAATGTATTATACTTCCAGCTGGTCTTTGTCTATTCTGAAGGTCTAACTATTCAGCAACCATGCTTAGGAGAAGGGGTGGAGGCTAAGGGAAGTACAAATCACTGAAGTTAAAAGGCTTGTCATCTTTTAGGGAGTTTTAAAATTGTGGTCACAGTTTTATTTATCACAATCTAAATCCTGTGAAGAATGGTTGTTCTCTAAGGAGAAGAACCTTGGAGTTCTTCTCTATTTGGAAATGGTCAAATAGTTTCTTTCTTTTTTTTTTCAAAGAGACAGGGTCTCGCTCTGTCACCCAGGCTAGAGTGCAGTGGTGCAATTATAGCTCACTACAACCTTGGACTCTGGGACTCAAGCAATTCTCCTGTCTCAGCCTCTCAAATAGCTAGGACTACAGGTGCATGCCACCACGTCCAGCTTAGTCAAATAGTTTAAATTCTGCAAAATAAACGAATATCACAATTCCAACTGGACAACCTTGTATTCTAGGTGGTAATGGGCAAAATACAAAATCCACTCAACTTTACCTGTAGACTTCTATAGGTTTGATGAGATAGAACAATATAATCATGAGTACAGTACCCAGAAAACAAGAAAAGTATATAATAGTATGTATTTTGTTAGTAGAAAGTATAACAAAATATAATAATAATAATAGAAATGAAGCAGTATCTGAGTTTGCTTACATAAAATCATGGTATACTAAATTTAATAATTTTTTTTTAAAAAAAATATTGGGTGTGTTTGCAAAGGAAGCCTTCCCGAGCAACCATTTAGTGGATAATTCTGTCTCTTGGTAAAAATCTCCTTTCAGCAAACCAGGCAGACATTAATCTAGAATTGTACTACAATTTTCCAATCTTGCAGTAACTCTTCTGTGTTTGAAATTTGTTAAGTATTTTATAATGCTTGTGTCCTTGACTCCTTGACTTAAATATTTGCATTGCCAAAGAATTCCAATTTACCTTTTGTTTTTAAGGCATGCTCAATTCCTACTTCCTTTCTAATAAGTACATGAACCTGTAACGCTTTAAAAAATAATTTCTCAACCTGAATGAAATTTATTTCTCTTATTATTTGCTCTTAATATTAGACCTATTATAAAAATCTATAATATAGTCTATATATTTTTCCTTAGTTGTGTAGTACAGAATTGGTCATATTTACTTGTATAAGTTTCTTTGTTTCATATCCAGGAAAGTAATTTCCTTTATAAAATTTTCTATTATACTATCAGCAGGCAGAGTCCACGAGTCTGAATTTCAGAGGAAACTGAGCATTCGTGTAAATAAAATGAATTATTATTGAACCTATCATGGATAATTATTTGAACTTGTTAACCCCTAAGAACTACTTCAGACTATTTACAGTTTTAAGGTGCTTTTATGAGAGAGACAAAGATTGTGCACGTGTGCAAAAGAGAAATCACACAGTCTTCCTGTGCTGTGGGGAGAGCAAAATGGTTCATTCCATTCTGCTTCTGCCTCCATCTTACATCAAAATAATTCATCTATGTACAGAAAAAAATTTTTCCCTGCCTTTGCCACAATGCAAATTGTTTTGAGAACACTTACATTGAGTGTTTTTCTATCTCATCTAGGATGAAATGTATGTACTTTGTTGGTGAAACTCCTACAAGGCAGAAAATGCCAATTGCTCATAATCTCTCTTAAGGCAGAAACGTGGCTGGTATTGATTGATAGAGAAGATAGAAAGGATATAGGAGGGAGCTGTGTGAGGAAAAATTAATCTGGTATTTCTGGCTCAAAATTGAAGGGATGTGTATTAAAAACTGCCTCTGCGTGGCCATGAGCAATGGCTCACACCTGTAATCCCAGCACTTTGGGAGGCTGAGGCAGGCGGATCATTTGAGGTCAGGAGTTCGAAACCAGCCTAGCCAACATGGTGAAACCTCATCTCTACTAAAAATACAAAAATTAGCTGGGTGTGGTGGCGAGGGCCTGTAATCCCAGTTACTCGGGAGGCTGAGGCAGGAGACTCACTTGAACCCGGGAGGCAGGGGTTTCAGTGAGCTGAGATCACACCAATGCACTCCAGCCTGGGCAACAGAGCAAGATTCTGTCTCAAAAAAAAAAAAAAAAAAAAAAAAAAAAAAAGAAACATCTGTGAGTAGAGGTAGCGGTGGGAGGTAGTGGTGAGAAGAATATGCCAATTATTTTGATTCTTTACTAATATTCTGATCAGAATCAGGAATTGAAATGGGACTTCTTCCACTCCCTAATATCCCAAGCACCTAATGTACAAATGCAGGTGCTGGCATTGGGGCGGGGCTGGAGCAGGAAGGAAGGGGATTCTTATTCTGCAATCTCGGCCTGTTCTCTGGGGGACAGAGGCCCATACCCTCCCTAAATATTTTAGTGGACTGAATACTGAAACAGTGCCTCTACTCCAGCAGCTTATCCAATCTCACTTTCAACATCTCTGGGTTATAAAATAACTAAAACCTTTAAGAACTGCTATCAGTCTTAAACTCTGGGTAATAAGGTAGAAACGGAAAGAGATATTTTTTTTCATTGCTTCGCTTGATCCCCTGTCCTGCCTCAGTTAGTCTGTGCCTTGGCACTTGAATTTTTGTGTAATCTCAAGCTGCTTAATCATCACTGGCAGTGACTTAGGTCCTGCAGAGAACTGGCTAAACATCACCCATCTTAATATTTTTGAATTTATTCTTTTCCCTCTAATGAGCTGACGGCTGCACTTCATCTTATTATTTATTTCTTTAAAATTCTTGATTTCCAATTCCAAAGCATTTATTATTTATTTTAAAATTATTTCTTGATTTCATCTTAATATAAATCAAACTTTTATTGGTATTCTGATTTATAATGGTAAATACAATTTAAGGGTAGCCATTATTTTGAACTGAGCTTCTGCACGAGGCCCCAGCAGAACAAACCGAAATGGAGTCACTTGTGTTCAGTGCCACATAATCAAACTGAAATTAAAATGAACAGGAAAATCTCTAAGTAGGCCAGTTTTTCCAAAAAACAAAAGATTCACAGCAACCAATCCAAAAGGACCCAGCTGACCTGAGCCGGCATGATAAGGAAGTCCTTTCTGCTTTAACCCTTATGAGGAAGGTACTCTGAAGTAACCTGAGGTTAAACAATTTGCTTTTTTGTATTAAGCAGTTTCCTTGTTCCTGCTCAAGTTTCCTTACAAAAATCAATTGTCCTGCCATACCCAATGGGGCTCCCTTTGTTTTGTAGATGAGATGCTGTCCAATTCATGAATCACTAATAAAAAACAATCAATCATTAAACTGAATTTGTTGACATTTTTCTTTTTTAACAATAATCAGACAGGCCCACATAGTGTGAAAAATATACTTTATTTAAAAATAATTTCAATATAAATTTTCAAAAACTCTCTCCCCTATAAAATATGAAGTGTGAGGAAGAGGGAAGGATAAATAAGAAGACAAAGAGCAAAGATTCCAAATTTTCTATGTGACCAGTCTTCCAAGAGAAATTTGGTAGGGTTAAGAAAATGCTTTTTCTCTCTTTCAAAATTGCCTATAGTGTTCTAGTTTATAGAGGTTTTGAATAACTGGACCTAAGACAAAATAAAATCTGTTCATCTTTTTGTTCATCCTTCAAATTTGTCAATTCTGTTGTATTTGCTCTATAATCTACACTGGCAAGTTGCAATTCTGTGCATTTTATCAAAACTTTGTTGTGCTGACTTTAAAGTTTTTTCTTTAAAAAATTATTTTCCTTTTCAAACTTTTTCTATCTTTTGCCAGGAAAAAGGGTCCACTTTCCACAGGTTAGTCTTTATCTTGGTGACTGACAAGAAGCAACAACTTTTGACTCAGAATCCTTTGGGTTGTCTTGAGAAATCATGATGTAGTTGGATATGGAAAGGTCTTGATTCTTATCAATATGTAGTTCCTAAAATTGTGGAATAGAGTCATTGCTCGGTTGTGAAGATGATAGTGTGTTCTTCTGAACCTTGGACACAAACAGTTAAACTGATTACATTGCTTTACCTTCAGAGTACAGTGAGTCTTATTTCCCTGGTTTACTACAATGAGAAATTACATGTTATCTAGAGTTGGGTATTATGGAGCAGACTTATTTCAAACATACTTAGTACAGGCATAATGAATCAACCATGAAATGACGAATACACAGTTTTTTGACTTCCTACTGTGGAACCAGATGAGTAGAAGAGATTACAACCATTTGGTTATGAAATACTCATGCATATGTAATTTTCCACACAAAGCCCTTATGACTAACAGGTCTTGAAACAAGAATGAGATGAGAGAAGTAAATATCATCTTTTGTTGTTCATTTATTCCTTTTGTCCTCCCCTAACCCCAGTAATCCTTAAAAATCTATTCTAGTTTGAAACCTGTTATACAGACTACTGCCAAAATGAAAATAACAAGTTTTTCATAGATCTTTAGTGGTTTTCAAGACTCCTTGGATAACTATGAAGCAGAGTGAATTACAGATACAATTCAACAAACTATAGCCTTGAAAATGAAAGCTGTTTGGTAACATGAAGATGATATGGCATCTTATTTGTTCAATAATTGCTATCCATTTGGATTTTTAAAGGCATAACTTCTGTAACCAAATCAATTTTAAAAAATCAAGAAAAAAGATGCTCTAATTTAGCTGCTAGGGTAAAGATGACTTTTTTTCAGCTCAACAAATTTATTGGGCATCATTTTGTTTCAGGCACTGTGTTAGTTGCTTAGGATAACAAAACAAATGAGACAGAGACAAGTAAAAGTGGGAACACTCTTGAGCATATAGTCTAGCACAGGTTGTTTAATTAGGGTTTTGCAGATGTAATTAGGGATTCTGTGAGAAGTTACTATTAGGGGTTCCAGAAGAGATTGGGAAAGTTTTCAAAAAATTTTTTTGAACTTATTTTTCCATGCAGTGCCAGCACTTACAGTGAAAAATAGTGATCAAGTTGCCCTGTAAGCAATTTTTTAAAAATTTATTTTATTGTGGTAAGAATACCCAACATGAGATTTACCCTCTTAACAAAATTTTAAGTGCATATTACATTATTGTTGACTATAAGTACAATGTTGTACTGTTGTATGCCAAATTTCCAGAGCTTATTCTAGAGCTTATTCAACTTGCTTAACTGAAACTTTATGCCCATTGATTTAAATCCCCATTTCCCCTCCCCCATCCCCTGGCAACCACTATTCCACTCTTTAATTCTGTGAAGTTGACTATTTTAGATACCTCATATAAGTGGAATAATGTAGTATTTGTCTTTCTGTGATTGTCTTATTCCACTTATCAACAGAGTAAAATGGCAACCTATAGAATGGAGAAAATATTTGCAAACCATGTTTCTGATAAAGGGTTAATTTCCAAAATATATAAGGAACTCTAACAATTCAATAGCCAAAAACACCTTATAACCCAATTAGAAATGGACTAAGGACTAGAACAGACATTTCTTCAAAGAAGACATACAAATGGCTAACAGATGTATTAAAAAATGCACAATGTCACTAGTCATCAGAGAAATGAAAATCAAAACCACAATGAGATTTCACCTCACAACTGCCAGGATGGCTATTATGAGAAAACAAAAAGACAACAAGTATTGGTGAGGATGTGTAGAAACCAGAACCCTTGTACACTGTTGGTGAGAATACAAAATGGTGTGGCTGCTATGGAAAACAGCATGGGACTTTCTAAAAAAATTTAAAATAGAACTAACAAACGAACCAGCAATCCCACTTCTGAATATTTGTCCAAAAGAAATGAAATCAGAATCTTGAAGAGATACTAGCACTTCTATATTCATTGCAGCACTATTCACAATAGCCAAGATGTGCAAACAACCCAAATGTCCATTGACAGATGAATAGATAAACAGAGTATGGTATAGACATACAGTGGAATACTGCTCAGCCTTTAAAAAGGAAATTCTGCAAAATGTGACAGCACAGATGAACCTTCAGGATAAAGGTGATCTTTTAAAAGGGGAAACAACCCCTTTACTATATAATACGTGTATTATTTGATAGAACATTCAGGAAAGAAACCATAGTACCCCTGATAGTTCTTGAGTATCTTTCTAGTTTGTGTGAGTGTTCTTACCCACTCTTTCAAGTCTTTCATTAAATGACCACTACTCCCCTCCTGTAATGTACAAAAGTCTTCAAAATGATTTTGATGAATGTGCAGAATAAGGATATATAATGTGGTGCAGGATGATGGACTGTTTCACACACTTCACAAGTCAGCTTTTGAAAACATCTTTTAATCATGGAAACTATTATTATTGTAATTTTCCTGTTTTTCTTTTTTTCTTGCTCTGAATTCCCAGGACTTTTTTTTTTTTTTTTTTTTTTTTGAGGCAGAGCCTATCTTTGTAGCCCAGGCTGGAGGTGTAGTGGCACGATCTAGGCTCACTGAAACCTCTGCCTCTTGGGTTCAAGCAATTCTCTTGCCTCAGCCTTACAGGAACCTGACACCATGCCTGGCTAATTTTTGTATTTTTTGTAGAGATTGGGTTTCACCATTTTGGCCAGGCTGGTCTCAAACTCCTGGCCTCAAGTGATCTGCCTGCCTTGGCCTCCCAAAGTGCTGGGATTACAGGTGTGAGCCACTGCACCCGGCCCCCAGAACTTTTCAGCGTCACACACACACACACACACACACACACACACACACCCCATTACCTCTGAAATAAATGTAACCATACCAAAGCTCAAAATAGTGATGTTGAAATGGTTTGCATTGTCTCTTTCCTTCATTAGTGTTACAAAACAAATGCTAGGAGTACAATCCTAAATTTAAAAAAAATCAAATTTGTGATTTGTTTACAAACTCATAAAGGTTTATCACAGGCAAAAAGTAAAGTTTGATCTTGCTAAAATTTGAATTATTGTATCTATTAGAAAGCAGTGATTACTTACGTTTTTTCACAGTCCTAAAATACTATTTCATGTACTGAAAGTGCTCATAAATTTCTAGAGCTATGTCAGTTTTAGAAACTTTGGCTCCAACCTTGGTTCTAATAGGTAGATCCAGTTGCTGAGTCCACTGCAGGGGCCAGGCTGGGAACTGAAATGAGACATCCATAGTATTCCCAAGGACCATGACAGTAGTATTTGATAACAGTATCCCATTGTCACAGATGACAGGAAGCATGGTTATTCGCCATTTGCATTTCTTCTTGAAACCATGTAATTTAGTTTATAAAAGATGTTTGTTAACCATAAATCAATGATACTGAAGCATCAATAAGTATCTGGGTTGTTTTGAATAAATTCTTTGTTAAACACTTTTATCTCCAGTGTAGTCAATTCCTAATTAAAGTAGTTGCCTAACTTGTCAAGGTGGTTTGAATAGTTATAGATTACCACGAAAATAATGTGTTTTCCTTAGGAATATTGTGCATGTATTCACGCATGTGCTAGCTAGTATGCACTATAGTTTAATAAAGCATCTGGGTGTTTCTAAATGTTTATAAAGGTGAATTTGCTTTTCTACTACAGTGTTGACATTTTTATGGAATAAAAGTTTGGGTAGGTGAGAATAATTGAGTAAGAATAAAATCAGAATGTATGAACTACGTTTTCTCAATATCACTCAGCTGAGTTGTATTTTATTTCACTAGTCAGTCAAAAAGACTAGAAGTAGCTGGGCATGGTGGCTCACGCCTGTAATCCCAGCAGTTTGGGAGGCTAAGGCGGGCAGATCATCTGAGGTCAGAAGTTTGAGACCAGCCTGGACAACATGGTGAAACCCTGTCTCTACTGAAAATACAAAAACTTAGCTGGGTGCACTGGCGTGCACTTGTAATCCAAGCTACTCGGGAGGCTGAGGCAGGAGAATCACATAAACCCAGGAGGTGAGGTTGCAGTGAGCCAAGATTGAGCTACTGCACCCCAGCCTGGGAGGCAGAGTGAGACTCCATCTCAAAAAAGAAAAAAAAAAAAGAGTAGAAGAGATGCAAGATGATGAAAGAGTTTCCCAGCCTCAGTCATTTGGTCCATTCTGTAAATATTACTCATTGAATATGTGGTCCTTTGACTTGGATCCTGCTAGAGAAGCATTGGAAGGACTGGGTCTATGACATTAACAATTAGAAGGCCATATGGAACATAGGCATGGCCTTGGTGCTTTCTTTGTTTCTGCCAAAGTCAGGGTGTCCAAGGGAGATCTACTCTGGCATCCAGACACTTTGAGGTCAACATCACTTACTTATCTGATTGACACTTAACCTCAAACAAATCTACCCAGAGGCCTTAGGATCTTAAGTGCTGGTAAACACAAGGTGAAATTGTTTGGGAGTTCAGTTCCCAAATGGCATTTTTTTTCATACCTCCATTATGTTTAAACTTCCGTGATCAGATTTGGGAGGCATGGAAAATGTTGATTAAACCTTAAAGTATCTCAAGAGATTGAAAATCAACGCAAAACTCAAGTTCCAGAATGAAATGCTTTTCTGTGTTTTGTTTACTAAGATTTTCATTCAACTGGTATTTCCTGTCTTGAAATTCCACCAGTTCTATCATCATCCTGTAACCCATGTGCATACCTCTCTGTACTTGTATCCAAATTATGAAAAATCCTTTTTTATTTTAATGTTCTAAAATACTAAAAACGTAAAACAAAAACAAATGCAATAAAGTAATCACAAAAATGCAGAAAAGTGAAGACATTGCCAAGGAAATGTCAGGTATCTCCTACAGAGGAAAGAAAATGTGATGGAGAAGGGGTATACAGAGTTTCTGTTTGGAGTGATGAAAACATTCTGGAAATAGATAAAGGTGATGGTTGCAAAACATCGTGAATGTAATTAAACCACTGAATTATACCCTTAAAATGGTTAAAATAATACATTTTATACATATTTTACTACAATTTTTAAAAACTCCAATAACGTAATATACCAAATACCATTGAAGTGTATACTTTAAATAGGTTTTATGGAATGTGAATGATATCTCAGTAAAGGCGTTAAGGAAATGTCATGGAGAAAAAGAGGACCAATCCTACTTAAAGAGAAAGATCACAGGTGAAGTGTTAGAGTCCTAGCCTTTCCGTTTTCATTTTTGAGAATTTGATTTTATTTGCTTCTCCCTACATAGTACTATATGGCAGGTGTCCCACTTTAATGCACATTTGGAGGAAACAGAATGGCAAACTATTGTTGCTATTGGCATATGAATCTTATTTGTTTTTAGCACTGTGGCTTGTAAAACCTTGGGTTTTCCTTCCAATATTTAAAAGAATCAAGCTGAACAGTGGCAGGTAGCCCTTTTGATTTTTTATCATGATGGCAATTTGAATAGCAATAGAAACCCAGCAACCTTTTTTGGTCAGGTTTTCTCAAATTTTGGCAACACGTAGAAAAGAAAAGAGCTACCAACAATTGCCTTTGTTAGACAATTAGATGTCTAATGTATTTTTTTGTAGAGACAGAGTTTTGCCATGTCACCCAGGCTAGTTTTGAACTCCTGGACTCAAGGGATCCTCCCACCTTGGCCTCCCAAAGTGCTGGGATTACAGGCATGAGCCACTGCTCCTGACCCTTTGTTTTCTACTTACAGTGACAGTCTACTTATCGAAACTCAATATAAGACGAAGGGGGTAGGGGAAGGGGAGGACTCACAGGAAAAGGAGACATTTTATAATTTATCAAGATAAATAATGCCACCTCAGGCTTTATAACAAATAAAGCCACCCTTAATAGCGATGATAAAGCACTTGGATCTTTTAATTATGGCTCTAAGGAAAATTATTAACAGAACAAAATTTTCTCTTAGCTAATCTTTTTAACCTTTCTTGAGATGATACTGATTTTCTCAAACATACTTAAGAATTCCAAAATAAAAAGTCAAAATGCCTTCCTCAGGACAAACTTGTTCTGTTCCTGATGATTCTTCTGGAACTATAGTCAATGAAATCATCACGAACACAACAGCGTTTGTTCTGGGATAGACTTTCTGATGTCTCATTCCAAGACAAAGAAAGACTGAAAAATCCAAACTGAGAAATGTTTCTCTAAAACAAACTCTGCATTGTTTGAAAGATCCTCTTCTAACTGCGTGAAAAAAATGCTTGATGGAGTTATTTTTAACTGGGGACAGAACATTCATTCTGAGAAGTGTTCAGATCCCTAATTTTATAATGAGCAGAAATACATACTGTTGAAAGACTAGGCCAACTTCAGTACTCCAATCAACATTTATGTGCAGGATCATCAACAGACAGACCATTTTACAGTTTTCAGAATTAAAGTCTTCTAGTTGCAGTGAAGT
Source organism: Homo sapiens (assembly GCF_000001405.40). Classification (NCBI taxonomy): domain Eukaryota; kingdom Metazoa; phylum Chordata; class Mammalia; order Primates; family Hominidae; genus Homo; species Homo sapiens. Next base: position 91,164,344 of record NC_000005.10, on the reverse strand, counting down.
CTTGAATCTGGATCACCTGGATTCATGCAAGATGGCACAGGGTGCTTGTCATCATCTACATATAGAGTTAGCTTTTTTTGCCCATGCACAATGTTTCTTTATCAATAATGAAGCTGGATGATACCAAATAGATTCTATTGCTTTATTGATTATTACTTTCATTAAACAATGTTAGCCATATAGGATGATTAAAAAAACAACTAATATCCTTGGAATATGAACATCCTATTAACTGATACAAACTGACTCCACCTTTCTTATAGCAGTGAATTTTCAGGTCACATACAATCAGTAATTTATACTCCAAATACAACAATCACGTTTGTATTAATCATCCAGTACAATTCACAGGTTCCTATTACACAGGTGGATGTACTTAGAGAGTTTTAGCACAAAAGCTGATACAAATATGAAAGTGTGCTCAGTCGAATGGTTAGTGAGGTGCTACAGGTGAGTGTCGGCGATGGGTATCCTCCTGAGCTCCACGATCTGGGAGTCAGTCAAGGTGCCCCCCTCCTGGCTGCCTTGACCAGATTCATTATCACTGACACTGAGACCAGCACCTGCCACAGAAATAGAATGAACACAAAAATCCAAACTATTAGTGCAGTGAATTCTTAAGAATCAATTTACATTAGGTCCAAGCCTGTTTATTTCTATTATATTAGTAAAAAATAAGCCATACATTTAGAATAGATATTATTAATACCTAACAATTATGAAACTATCTTTTACATTTCCTTTGGCAGTTTTTTAAATTGTACGGATTAATTTCTAAAGACACACATTTGGGTTCTCAATCTTTACTGTTTGTTTTTCACATGGTGGGCAGGTGTAACCTACTACCACAATATAATCTCTCAATTGAGGGCTCATCAAAATAGAAAATCAGTCAGGTTATTAGACTTTTTCACCAGTGGGGTAGGATTTGCTGTTACAAAACATATAGGCCCCGAATTCATATGCACTGAGGTCCATCACTTGAGATTCAGTGTTGGGCAGTGATCTGAGAAGAAAGACAGGCATGTGAGAACACCTGGAGTCACACCAGTGCCCTGAAGACATTGGCTTTGAATGATTCAGATCTGATCCTAAGATAAAAATAATTACGTAACACAGTGCCAAAATAGATCCACACAGGAATTCCACCACAGTAGTTACTGTTAACTACTGACAGCGCTCAGAATCTGTTTTGAGGAAGCTCCACTATTCATTACTTTTTTTTTCACAACTCAGATAATTGAGAAAAAACTATGCTAGAGTAACACCTTGTTCTTTTCTTTTTCTTTCATATTTCTAGAGAACAATGTTCTTTTCTTTTGTAATAACGTTCAGAGGAACACATAAACTCTCATCCTCTCTACACACACACAATGGGGATGTGGTCATAGGGTGTGCTGGATGAATCACCAGAGGTTACCAGGGCCAGCCCCACTAGACTCTGCAAACAAGGAGGAAAGTGAAAAACCGGTTGCTCAGGCAGCTGGGATTTCCCTTTCTGTCTGAGAGGAAGAAAAGGCAATTCTGCAGAGTTGACAGTTGTGGGAAAATGGTGAATTGGCTTAATCTTAGCCTATCTGGAGATGGAAGCCAGAGCCTACTAGTGACCTTCTAGCCAAGCCCTCCTTCTTCTGGGTCTCTGACCTTCGCACTCTCTCTGTTAAAGGCCGCTGTTGAAACTCCACTTCCTCTCTTTGCTTCTGTGACATGGTACTTGCCCATCTTATCCTCTGATCTGCTGGCTCTTTCTAGATCTATTCTGCTTTCTCATACACTTCCTCCTGCTGCCTCATTTCTGGAGGCCTTGTTTTCTGCCCTGTCTCAAGGCCTGCAGGATCCTCTTGCCTGCACTCTCTCCTAATGTCTCACTAGGGTTTCCAAGCTCAGGACACGGAGCAGCAGGTCACTGCCTTTTCACACGACGTTCTTATGCTGGCACCTCTGCCTGGGGTGCTCTTCTCACTTCCCACCTCCTTCATCTGGCTGCCTCCACTCTTCCTACCAATATCAACTCTGCTATCCCTTGAAACATGATGATTCTCTTTTAAAATTTCTGACCCCCCCACTGGATTATGTCCTTCCTATCTTTCTGTCTCCTAGCTCATAGGACAGTGCTCAGTACACTGCAGGTGTTCAGCAAATGTGTGCTGAATGTAGTATTAAACTGTGCTCTGCATCCTAAGTCGTGAACCTGCCTGCTCCATCTCATCTCCTGTTCTGTTCCTCTGGTCTGTTCTGTATTCCACTGCCCTCTCCTTCTCAAGAACGAGTGTTAGTTCCTATTGCCAGTTACACTGAGTTGGGAACCCTCTGCTTTGGCTTTCATATCAGTCTTTAATCTGTCTCTAGCCTATCAAATAGATGTATCCCAACCATTGCCTTTTGGAGCGCTTTCTCTGAAACTGATCAGGTCTCCTGATGCCCTGAATGCACCATGTTAATTCCAGCCTGAATGTCTTCCTGCCTGCCCATCAGGGCCCATCTCTATACCTTTTTACAGATACTTATTTTTCCATCTCCTCAAAATAGGGAGCTGGAGGACATAAAATGTGAAAAGTTCTCATCCCTGACAAAATCATTAATCACCTCCCCTTTATTCTCTCACACTGCCCAGGTTTTGATGATAAATTTAATAATACTCCTATCTACAATGTATACATAAGCCATAAAGCAAAATGCTTAACAAACACTCATAAACTCCTTTCTTCAAGAACCAGAATATTGCCAGTGACAATGTATTTTTAAAAATTTACTAAGTTGCTAAAATTTACCAATTAATACATTTCACATCAAAAAAATCAGATTTCTGGTTTCTCTTGAAAAAAAAAAAAAAAAACTAACAAAAACAACAACCAGAAGATCAGGCAACATTGGGCCTGCATTTCCGCATTACAAAACAAAACAAAAAACAACAACAAAAAACCCATGGACCAGGCAGTCCTTCAGTTTGTCTCTGTTTTCACCCAGCCCTCTTCAATCATTTATGGACTACCATAAATAATGCTTGGCCCCCGAAGGTAACATTTGTGTCTACTTCCAGGCCTTCGAAGGACAAATGGCCCATGCTTCTCTGCTGGGAACAGGAGAACCGTGTTATGTGGAAGAACCTCAGTGAACTGGCGAGACAGTGGCCATTCTATAAGGAGGTGACTAAGGCCCTGGGGCCTGTAGCAAGGAAGAGCTAAATATGGAAGCACTAGGGAGGAACAGAGAGGACCCCATGATTAGCCTCAGGGAAGACTGAGGCCGAATGACTTAACTAGTACCAACTCCCAGTGATTTCAGTGTCTGCCTACTCTAAATCCCACTAGGAATATCATCATAAAGCATGTGATGACAACTGGGACAAGGCACACTAGAAAGACAAGCTCTGCCTTATTGAAAGCATGCTGAGCTTGTTTAGCAACTCAAGATATGTAAGCAAGTTCTAGACTCGTCTTGAGTCACCACATCTACTGACCCATCTCATCATCCTCCTTTGCAATTTCTTCCAAGTTCAAAGAAATGCACAAATATCCAGATACTCATCCCTCACTGAGACTCAGAAAAGGCATATATTACACACAAGTATAACATGCCGAGACCTGGGAGCACAAACCAGGTCTCCCATCCCTTTGCAATTCATTAAATGGTATAGGCGGGTAGTTTGCAGTAAGTATCCTGATTTTCTGAAAGGTGTTTCCATGCTTAAATTTCAAACCAAAAGTTTAAGAAAAATCCAGCGACTGTGATAACAGGGACACTTTCCTTTGGTCAATAGAACAGGCAATTATAAAGGAACTAAAAGTAATAATTTACATTCATCATGAGCTTCATCTTTTCTTAACATTTTAATATACTTTGGTTAGGATAGGGTGAGTATCAGTCCTGTTTTACAGATGCACGGACTGAGTGAGGATGAGAGGTGCTAGCTGAGTGGCCCACATCAATGTGACAATGATCCAAAGACCATACCCCTTCCATCTTTTTCTGAGGAAAAAATTCAAAATCTTTCAAAATTCCACCTTTCCATTTTGATTCTTACCTAACTTTGTTTACTACACTGGGCTGCATAAGTTCTTGAAGTTAAATAAGTCATTGTGGTTTGATGGGATATCTTGCAAAGAGAAATTTATTGATGAGTTCTTGGAGAAGTTTGAGTATTTTGGGCCTTGATTCTGAATGTTTTCATTTGTGTTCAAGGACTTGTCATCTATTTTCTTCTAACTGAAAAATAAATCATTTCTAGGTTTCCCATATGGAAATGTTTACCATGACATTGATGTCATTGGCCTGGGATAACACCAGGAGGCTAGGGGGCTGGGGATGGTGGGGAATCAGGTTAGTCATTCTGGGAGAAGCCCTCGCTGAAGAAAGACTCCTTTCTAAGCCCAATATGTTCCAAGCTTGACATTTTCAGGAATCTTGTCAACTTGGGATCAACACAGAAATGCCAGTACTCAAGGCACACCTTGTTAAGCATGTAAATGGAGACATTCCTTTCCATCCTACCCTCATCCTGAGTCTTTGTTCTAGTTTGCTCTGAACTTTCTCCTCTTCCCTAAAATGGAGGCTGTCCCAGGGTGACTGTTCCCATTCTCCTAAAGTCCTGGTTGGGGACACTGATGATACATTAGACAGCTCTATTTAAAATAAAAAAAAAAAACTAATAATAATCAGGATACCACTAGTCTAGAACTCAGTGTCTCATTTGCCTGTGGAAGTGCCGATGTACTTCAAGAACAAATAATTGAAGGACATTATGTCATCTTTTTTGAGAGTGAAATGTGGATTTCTCATAGAAAGTCGAATATTTTAACTTAAAAACTTAAAACGTCAATAGTGTTTTCTTTTTCTAAATTTTTAAAAATGTAATATGGTTAAAATTAGATTGAAAAAGAAGTCCATGACTGTTTTATGGGCCAGGGCTTCTATTTTAGATCAAACAATTTTAATATACTTGCCTTTAATATAAGTTTGAAGTATGCAACAAAGTATGCACTAACACAGTGGCTTCAAAAACACTGTCTTGCCCACATCAGAATTCATTTGTAGCTGTCAAACATGAATTTGGAGCCTGCTGACAAGCATTTGTAAATGCTTGTAAAGAAGTGATGATTTTTTTAATCTGGAAACTGACTACTTAAGCTTTCTGTCTTAGAGATATAGTCTTTCTCATGGTTAATCTTAACATAATTAAAAAGAGAATGTCTTAGCTAAAGAGTGTTAGGTCTCCTCCTTGCCCCTTAGAGCAATGGCATTCTGACATTAAATTCTCTCTATTGCACTCAGTAAAGGCATTCTACCTACTGAATTAATGCAAGCATTTTAGTATGTGCTTGAATATCTGAACATTATTCCTAACTGAAAGATGATGAATTGTAAGGGAGATTAAAAGGGCACAGGAGATAGTATCAGTGGCTATTGAAAGGCCTAGTCACTCTTCCTGAATCCCATGCATCTATCCATCCATCCATCCATCCATCCATCCATCCATCCATCCATCCATCCATCCACCCATCCATGTATCCATCCAATATGGAGCATCAACTGAGATACTCAGCACTGCTACATTTCCAGGGATACTGAGATGAATCCTGGTTTTTCAGAACATAAACTCTGGCCCAGGACTAGGCCAGATTCTTATTTCTACATGTTCACCTGGCCACCCTTCCTGCTTCTATGTGGAATTTGCATTGGATGGACCATGCTTCCTATTCTTGTGACCTACTTGCTCATTTGAGACTTATTAACCTCTGTCTTGATTATTACATACTCTCTGACACATATTTTAGTGCAGGATCTTAGGGGAAGGGAAGTACATAGAACAAACCTGATTAACAGGTGGTACAATTTGAGAAGGATTTTCAAATTTGATCTTTCATCTGATGCTACCACAGTCCCTGAAGTCCCACAAGTAAAAATGAACTTTTTTCCACCTTGTAGGTTTTGGTTTTTAAGGGTTTTCTATTAAGATGTAAAAACCACAGAAAAAGCTTTTATCTTCTACCTGTTTATAGAAAACTTCATTATGAATGATGCTATAGCTAAGAAAGGAGGAGGTTAAAAAGAATGGCTGTTGAATGCCAAAGGCCCATTTTTGCCTTAAATTTCCAGTGTTCTCTAAGGTTGGCTGCAGATGTAAGGAGAGATTGGAGGCCTGCCAGAAAGCCTAGGACATGGGCAGAAATTGGTGGCTCATTGTCACATAATCTCAAGTAGAAAATTATCAGATACATGGTAGAAACTGTTATTTGAGAATAAGGAAATCTTTGCAATGTAGGATTTTTGAAGTAGAAGGGAAAATAGGAGTGTGCTAGCCCAGTTATTATAGGTGAGAAGAGGTGGTTAACGATTTGGCTAACGTCAGTGGTCAATGTGGGAGCTGGCTGCCCCTCCTCATAATCTAATGTTGCACATCGCTCCAGGTCAGTGCCTCTGCAGGATGTAAAGCACCTGAAGTAGAAGTCTTCAGGCTGGGATTCCTTTAACTTGTGGTACATGATGCCTTTTCAAGGAGTACAAGATAGTATGGGAAGGACAGCTTTAAGGGAATACATTCCCAGATCTTGAATTTCCATATCTATTATTCTGATGAGTCTTTTTCATTTTTGACAATCATTTATCAAAACAGATGTTTTTGTTACTCATGTTGATTTGTTGAACTGTACACTAGGAATAATTGTAATGGTAACAGTATAAAAGAAATGTTGAACACCTTAGAGTCTTATGGCCACAGAAAAAAATTAAGTTCTAATTTAAAAACATGTTCTGTTGGAAAGAAATATGAGTAAAATGAATTTTAAGTATAAAATATATTATAGTAGGATAAAATTCTGTGGAGAAAGTAGAATGGAAATATAAGTTCAAGGAGAAAAGAAAGTGATGTCAAATTTCCAATTATAAAAAAAAGCCTGTTCACATATTTAAAAAATGAATAACTAGGTATTGCATTGCTAAGGTAGTTAGCAAAGAGCCTTTGGGTTAGTTTCAAACAATAATGTAAAAGTTTTATTTTCAAACACCAAAATGTATGATATAGTGGAAATTACATTATTTGATACCATTTAAACTGATTATGAAAAACTTTTTAAACACATGCAAAAGGCTACATAGCTTTGACAAGTTGTTTAGGGGTTCAAATGAAAGAGACATGGAAGGCCCACTGTTTTAGTACTTGACTTGGAATGGGCCATAGTGAAGGTGGACCTGAGAGGGACCAAGGTTTGCAAACTCAAATGTCCTAGTGGCCAAGGAGGTTTGCATAAACCAGTGACATGGGCCTAGTAGGCACTAGACAGTGGAAGAGCTCATGTCCAAAGGGGCTGCTATTACTCAGTTCCAAGCAAGCAGCGCTGTGCTCGACTTCAAAGACTCTGTTGCTAGATTTTTCTAGAAATTCTATATTTTTAGAAAATAGCTCTGTATTTTTCATATTGGCTCAAAAAATGTTAAGATGTTATATGGATCAAACAAAGCACTTTGTTGGGCTGAATCTGGCCTTATGGGTCAGTTATAACTGCTGTAGACAAAATGGCATGTAGACTGACCTTTATTTGACCATATTCTAGGAGGGAAAGTGTCCAGTGGCTGATACATGATTACTACATTACTTTTTCTAAAAATATAGGGAACCAAGTATTAGAGATTGTTATTTTGGTCTTTTAAAGTATTTATTTCCTAGTGAGTTCAGGGAACTCTACAAATCTATAAGTAAGGAAGACATTCCTTACATTCTAGAACCAAATGCACTTCATAGTTACATAAATATAAGATGTAATGTAATATAGATCTAATTTAATTATGTTCCAAGAATTCACTTTATGTTTCCGGTGTCATAACTTCAACAACTGATGACACTGTAGCACTGAGGACATAATCTGCCCTGAGAATTACTTGTAGTCTGATAGCCTCTTTTCAGCCCTGACTTTAAGGAAAGTTTTGTGCAGCTAATCATTTCTTCCTTCCTGAAACTCCTTCCTCTTTGTTTTTCTTTCTGAACTTGCTACAGTTTCTTGGTGAGACTGTCTTCTAATTCACTCTTTAAATGTTGGTATTATCTATAACATTCCTGTTTCCCTTCCTTCTTCTCCCCTGACTTCCTCATCTCTTTTCCTTTCTTCTCTCTCCTTCCAGTCTCCCAGATCAACCTTTTTTCATCTCCATAGCTTCAAATATCATCTCTGTGCTGATGCATTTCAAATCATTACCTTTTATCCTGGTCCCTCACCTAAGATCCAAACCTGAATATTTAGGAGCCACCAGGCCTACATCTGAACTCATCAGTTTCCTCCTGCAAACAAATAAACAAACAAATGCTCTATATACTTTTCTTTTAGTCAGCCATTGTGGTGAGAAGCATGAGCTTTGGAAGATTGTCCCTCAGTCTTTCCTCGGCATTCCTCTTGTTGGGAAGCTCATTTCCCATTTTTATTTCCACTCTCCAGATTTGAGGCCTTAATCTCATTCTTTTGGAACACTGTAATAACCTCCCAGCCTTTCTGATATTGCTTCTAAATTTATTTCTTCATACTTTCATAAGAGTTATTTTGCCTCAAAACAAATAGGAACATGCCATTTCTTTCCTCCAAAACCTACATGGCTCACTATGTTCTATAAAAATCTCACTCCTTACCATGGCATCCGAATAGCATTTTAATATTATGCAAAGTATCAGTGAGTGTTCTGCTCCCCCACAATGATTGTATTGCTAGTGTTCTGGAAAGACCAGGTTAAATTAAGCAAAATGGGTTTCCTTGGTCTAGAACATTTTAGAGCTGCTAAAATGCTAATGTGAATTGTGAATCTCTGCAATTGCCCAAATATACTGGGTCAGGGATCCTCCCATTGCGGAATGACTATGAATAGCTAAGGGAGGGTGTTTGCTGAAACCCAGCTGGGGAACTCTAGTAGATTATTGATGGTGCCGGCAAGCTACCTGTCAGGCCTGCCTTCTGCTGCCCGGCTTCTCTCACTCTCTGCCCCTGCCACACTGCAGCACTGGTTCTAAAACAGGCCACACACCATTAAGCCTCTGGGCTCCTGCTAATTCTATTCCCTCAGTCCCTAATGCCCTTTCCTCCATTCTTTACTTGTTCAAAACCTATACATCCTTCAAGAATTAATAGAGAATTTTTTGTTACTTTTTCATCTCCTCTGTCATTTTTTAACTCTCTCCATTACTTTATTCTTTCTTATGTCATGTTTATGTGAATGTCTATTTTTCCTAGCAAACTCTAAGCTTCATTGTTCAAATTCATCCCCTCACTCAGGATTCAGCAATATCTAGCAAAGGTTATTCTAAGCACTAATCTGAGTATAGGGTTGAGTTCTTATTCCTTTCCATAGTGATATGATTTGGCTGTGTCCCCACCCAAAATCTCATCTTGAATTGTAAGAGTCAATTGTAATTGTATAATTCAATTATAATTGTAATTCTAGCCCCACATTCTCCACGTGTGGTGGGCAGGACCACGTGGAGGCAACTGGATCATGGGGGCAGTTTACCCTATGCTATTCTTATGATAGTGAGTGAGTCTCACGAGATCTGATGGTTTTACAAGTGTCTGGCATTTCCCCTGCTTGCCCTCACTCTGTCCTGCCACCCTGTGAAGAAGGTGCCTGCTTCTCCTTTGCCTTCCGCCATGATTGTACATTTCCTGAAGCTTCCCCAGCCATGTGGTACTGTGAGTCAATTAAACCTCTTTCCTTTATAAATTACCCAGTTTCCAGTATTTCTTCATAGCAGTGTGAGAATGGACTAATACAGATAGGATGTGCCATTCTTAACAAAGCACTCGAGAGGCGGTTGTGCCACAGCGGCTGAGAGCACGGTCTCAAGGCCAGGCGGCCTGCATCTGCTTTGCGCCGCCGCTTAACTATGTAACCTTGGGAAGGTTGTAAAATATGATACATGAAAATATGCTGTTATTCTTAGGAATTTTGGAGTATTTTTCAAGATATAATAAAATTTTAACTTCAAAATAATAAAGAAAAATGTTTTAGCAAAGCAATATACTTCATAGCCAAACAATAAAACTATAAGAAAGTAAAATGCACTTCTGAATAAATATTTCAATAACTTCAACTGGGCATGGACACATTTTCTTGCTTATGTGGTTATCTAGAAATTAAAATTCACTGGAATTTTTATAAGTGTCAGTTCAACATTTTTCTGAGGAAAAAATTTTTAAACTGCATATTTGATTTGAAAACTCAAATTAGTTTACGGTTTTCTTTTAATGTTCAAAATAGAATTTCTGACCAATAAAATATCCACTATGTTTATATTATGAATGCAGATATCATTTAGACACACTGGAAAGAATGATATCCACTAACTGTTTCACCCAGGAGCGTGTGACCCTTAATCAGGCGGTTTCATGGTCTTTTATTGCCTTAGCATGTTTCTAGTATCATATGCTGATGAGTTGGGACCTCTTGGACTGTTTTCCTCTCATTCTGTAAGAACTATCCACTGGGGTCAAAGTTGAGTGGGACTGAGTAAATAGGAGGGTCAAAGAATTATTGTATGTGATAGCACTTGGAAATTATAGAACTATACCATGCTCATTATGTTGCCTTGGAAAGTTTCTGCTTCAAAGGCACTGCATAAGAAGGTCTCTTTGGCAGGCCAGAGGCAAAACTCCCTCAGTGAGATCCCTATCGACTGTCTATAGCAAACTTAATAGTATCTTGGTGTTCTAGCAAGATTCCAGGACAGGGATATTTACATTTAGTTAGAGTATGTCTTTTTTGAAAACAAGTTATAAATTATTTTTAGGTTGTCTTACATTTGGTGCCAAGAACAAAATATCCTAGAGTTTTCCTGGGATTAGGAATGGGTCATGAGAATCAGGATGTGCTAAGGGTGACTGATAGTACTTTGCAACTTCATGGAAAGAAAATATAAATTGTAACATAGCAAGAGTGCCTACTTCTAATGTCGTTCATGGGTTCATACATACCAGTTTTTAATGCAAATATTAAATCATCAAACTCCTGGGACTCCTCATCGGCTATCAGTGACCCCTGGCCATATCCTCCAGAGGACGGGAACGTGGCTCCATTTTGTGGACTTGGCTTTAAATCAGGGCTGGCCTGACTGCCCTGTTGGAAGGATGCTCTCTCCCAGTCAGGTGGCACCTTTTTAGATTGGGATGGGGGGAAAAAGAAACCATAATATGAATGCATACACATTCACTATGAAACCCAAATGGACAATTGATCTCTGCCTCTCCGTACAAAGACCTTGCTAAACGGCAGTGGCATTGTTTTGAAACTAGACCTTTACTTATTTATAAATTTATTTTTTCTAGAGATGGAGTCTCACTACATTGCTCAGGCTGGTCTCAAACACCTGGGCTCAAGAGATCCTGCCTCAGCCTCTCAAAGTGCCGTGATTATGGGTGTGAACCACCATGCCTGGCCTTAAATTTCGGTGGGAGGATTGCTTGAGCCCAGGAGTTAGAGACCCACCTGGACAAGACTGTAAGACCCCCATCTCTACGAAAATTTTTACAATGTAAAAAATTAGCTGGGTATGGTGGTGTGCACCTGTATTCCCAGCTACTCAGGAGGCTGAGGTGGGAGACTCACTTGAGCTCAGAAGTTTGAGGCTGCAGTGGGCTATGATCATGCCACTGTGCTCCAGCCTGGGTGACAGAGAGACATCCTGTCTCTACTAAAAAAACAAAAACAAAAACAAAACAAAACAAAATAAAACAACTTTAATTTTATCTTCATTCTTTAGAAAATTATGTCTCTCCCTGAGACAATTTAATCTGTGATTCTAAACCATGTCTCTATTTGAATTACTTGTAGATTTCTATGTTGTCATGTGTGGGGAACGAAAACTAATTTTTAACCCAATAAATACTTTTTTTTGGTAAGATGTATGCAAAGAAAATTCTGTTAAAAAATATAAGAAATGGAGAAGAATCCTCCTAATCCTTTATCTAAAATGCCACATAGGATTTTAAATATAGTAGGTATCTATAAGGATATACTAAATTGAGAAAAATACTTTCATAGCATTCCTCCTTGTTTTTGATTGAATGATTAAAAAGATAGCTCTATCCTGGAATGATTAAATGTATTTACATCCCTCTAGGTTACTGGTAAACAACCCCTTAATCCTTCCTTCCTGTACTTTCCCTTCTCTGCATGGTTTTTTAGAATGTCTCTGACGGCACTTCACTGACAGCTGAATCAAGGCCAATTCTATGCCTCTGAGGAATGCAGAGCATACTTCAGGCTCTCCTGTTGCACAACACCCAAGTGAGCACCCAAGTGGTGGCTCTGGACCAAGAATTGGACTGTTACAGCTACTGCCTACCAACATAGGGTGTTCTGAGAGACAGGTTACAGCTACTGCCTATCAACACAGGGTGTTCTGAGAAACAGCAAAGACACTTCGTTTCTGAAAATGGCGATCTGAGAACTTTAGAAATGAACTTGAGAGGAAAAGATGAACCTTAAAAAATTTCACTAGGAAGTTGAACATCTAGACCAGCAGTGTCCAATAAAACTTTCTGCACTGATACAAATGTGTTATATCTGTGTTCTCCAATATGGCAGCTACCAAACACATGTGGCTGTTGAGCACTTAAAATGTGGTGAGGGTGAATGATAAACTGACTCTTTAATGTTGCCTAACTTTAGTTTAAATTTAAATAGCCACATGCAGCTAATGGTTATTGTATTGAACAGTTCAGATGTAAACAAATGCTGGACTGAGCAACCATTCAAAAAAAATTTTAAGATTCATTTCTGAATTCTTGATCCTAAAAAAGTCCCTGTTTCCATTGGGCCTGCTGTGATGAAATAAGTCTATTTTAAGAACTTTGGGGATAGAGAAATCGTACTAGATTTCCAAAAAATTAAGGATACTAAAGATATAGGTTGATTTTTAAAGACTGTACTTGAACTTATTCATTTTATAACTCAAATTTTGTACCCTTTGATCAAAATCCTTCATTTCTTTCACCCCCAGCACCTGACAACCACCTTTCTACTCTGTTTCTGTTACTAGTTAATAATTCTGTATATAAAAATTTCTCATTCAAACTAAAAATATATATAGTACTTGAATTGTGAATATTTACCTTAATTTTAACCTAACATAAATAAAATACCTTTCCATATTGCTATGAAGGACAAAAGTTATCTCTGGACAGGTAAGTTATCAGTCTATTGATTTATCTATCTACCAATCTCTCCATCCATCTATTAATATAAACTGTTTCCTTTTCAGACAGATGTACCTTGATTTCCTGCCATTTTTCAGGAAGTAAACACAAATACTGTTTTCCTTGGCTCCTTAATATAAAGAGGGCAATATGAGCTTATAAAAAAATGGTAACCAAGCACATCTTGGACACTGCAGAAATTTTTAGAGGCCTTTGTTACTATCTCCTCCTGGCCAAAGGAATTCAGGGATGTTTTAAAATGTGAGCAGTGGCCCCACTGCTAGGGGCAGCATTACTGACAAGCTGGTGGCAATGGGATTCACACACAGGAAATAAAAATGATGTGGACAGAATGCAGAGAGCAATGGGAGGTAGATTTGTACAGAGGAAATCCTGGCTAGATTTTCCAATAGTGCTGCAGAAGCACTCTTCTGAGCTTGTTTTCTAAAATATTTTCTGGTATGTAAATTGAAAAGAGGTTTGGCTTAATTTCTTTTCTCTGTTTGCTGGGATTGAAGTAGTGAGTTGGAATGGGTGGAGGAAGAGAGCTATGAAAGTATTTTTAGGAAAAATAGCATCTTAAGAACCATTTCCTTGGCAGACCCAGTCACTGACATGTCAAATTAGAAAGATTCTGAAGAAAGAAATGTCAAATTATACTCCATCTGATTTCCCAACACAAACTGCTGGTCAGTCTAGCTCACAGGGTGAGGAAGAAAAAGAATTAGATAATGGGTGTGACGCTATAGTAAGGAAACCAAGTACCATAGGTCAGAAGTTGTCACCTGGTGTGATTCATCTTGATTTAAAAGTCACCTAGTGTGATTCATCTTGTACTCTTTATGAGGTGGAGAGCCTGTCAATGAGACAGACAGACACAGAGAGAGAGACAGACAGAGAGAGAGAGAGAGACAGAGACAGAGAGACAGAGAATGAAAGGGCAAGGGCAGACACCTCCTCCATAGCACCGATGAGATTCTGGGTGGACTTGCTGATTTCCCCTCCAGCAGGAGGCATTCCACTCCCGGGCGTGAAAAAGGCTGTGCTGGGTCCAGGATGCCCATTCATTTCCACAGTGTAACTGGCCTTCATAGGGCAACACATTTGGTTGTGTAAAATGAAATAAACCATGAAAACATAAAGTCCCTGCAAAAAAAAAAAAAAAAGAAAAGAAAAGAAAAAGAAAAAGAACATCAGCATGTCAAAGTCAGTCCTGCTACCGTAGCTGAAGAATAAACATGGTTGTATTGGTCCATTCTCATGCTGCTATGAAGAAATACCCAAGACTGGGTAATTTGTTTTTCTTTCTTTCTTTTTTTCTTTCTCTTTTTTTTTTTTTTTTTTGAGCTGGAGTTTTATTCTGTCACCGAGGCTGGAGTGCAGTGGCATGATCTTGGCTCACTGCACTTCTGCCTCTCAGACTCAAGTGATTCTCCTGCCTCAGTCTCCCGAGTAGCTGGGACTATGGGCGTGTGCCACCACACCTGGCTAATTTTTATATTTTTAGTAGAGACGGGGGTTTCATCATGTTGGCCAGGCTGGTCTCGAACTCCTGACCTCAAGTGAGCCACCCACCTCAGCCTCACAAAGTGCTGGGATTACAGGTGTGAGCCACCGTGCCCAGCCAAGACTGGGTAATTTATAAAGAAAAGAGGTTTAATTGACTCACAGTTCCACATGGCTGGGGAGGCCTCAAGAAACTTAACATCATGGTGGAAGGCACCTCTTCACAGGGTGGCAGGAGAAACAATGAGTGCAAGGAGGGGAAATGCCAGACGCTTATAAAACCATCAGATCTCATGAGACTCACTAATTATCATGAGAACAGCACAGAGAAAACTGCCTCCATGATCCAATTATTTCCACCTGGTCCTGCCCTTGACACATGGGGATTATTATAATTCAAGGTGAGTTGTGGAGAACACAGAGCCAAACCATATCATTCCGCCCCTGGGCACTCCCAAATCTCATGTCCTCACATTTCAAAACACAATCATGTCCTTCCAACAGTCTCCCAAAGTCTTAACTCATTCCAGCATTAACCCAAAAGTCCAACTCCAAAGTCTCATCTGGGACAAGGCAAGTCCCTTCCACCTCTGAGCCTGTAAAATCAAAAGCAAGTTAGTTGCTTCCTAGATATGATGGGGATACAGACATTGGGTAAATACACCCATTCCAAATGTGAGTAATTGGTCAAAACAGAGGGGCAACAGACTCCATGCAAGTCCAAAATCCAATAGGGCAGTCATTAATCCTTAAAGTCAAAAAATGATCTTTGACTCTATATCTTACATCCAGGTTCACGCTGATGCAAGAGGTGGGTTCCCGCGGCCTTGGACAGCTCCACCCCTGTGGCTTTGCACATTACAGACCCCCTCCCAGCTGCTTTCACAAGCTGGCTTTGAGTGTCTGTGGCTTTTCCAGGCACACAGTGCATGCTGTTTGTGGATAAACCATTCTGGGGTCTAGAAGATGGTGGGCCTCTTCTCACTGAGGCAGTGCCCCAGTGGGGACTCTGTGTGGGGGCTCCAACCCCAATTTCCCTTCTGCATTGCCCTACCAGAGGTTCTTTATGAGGGCTCCACCCCTGCAGAAAACTTCTGCCCGGGTGTCCAGGCATTTCCATATACCCTCTGAAATATAGGCAGAGGTCCCCAAACTCAATTCTTGTCTTCTGTGTACCCACAGGACCAGCACCATGTGGAAGCTGCCAAGGCTGGGTGGGGGCTTGCACCCTCTGGTGCAATGGCCTGAGCTGTACCTTAGCCCCTTAGAGTCATGACTGCACACATGGCACACAGCAGCGGGGCCCTGGACCAGGTCTAGGATACCATCTTTCTCTCATAGGCCTCCGGGCCTGTGATGGGAGGGGCTGCGGTGAAGGTCTCTAGCATGGCCTGGAGATATTTTCCCCATTGTCTTGGCGATTAACATTTGGCTCCTCATTACTTATGCAAATTTCTGCAGCCAGCTCAAATTTCTCCCCAGAAAATGGGTTTTTCTTTTCTACTGCATCGTCAGGCTGCAAATTTTCCAAACGTTTATGCTTTGTCACCTCTTGAATGCTTTGCTGCTTAGAAATTTCTTCCGCCAGATAACCTAAATTATCTCTCTCAAGTTCAAAAGTTCCACAGATTTCTAGGGAGGGGGTAAAATGACACCAGTCTTTTTGTTAAAGCATAGCAAGGGTCACCTTTACTCCAGTTCCCAACAAGTTCCTTGTCTCTATCTGAGACCACTTCTGCCTGGATTTCATTGTCCACATCACTATCAGCATTTTGGTTAAAGCTATTCAACAAATCTCTAGGAAGTTCCACACTTTTCCACATTTTCCTGTCTTCTTCTGAGCCCTCCAAACTGTTCCAACCTCTGCCTGTTACCTAGTTCCAACGGCGCTTCCACATTTTTGGATAGCTTTATAGCAGCACCCCACTCTCTGAGGTACCCATTTACTGTATTAGTCTGTTCTCACACTGCTATAAAGAAATACCCGAGACTGGGTAATTTATAAAGAAAAGAGGTTTAATTGACTCAGTTCCACACAGCTGGGGAGGCCTCAGAAAACTTACAATTATGGCAGAAGGCACCTCTTCACAGGGAGGCAGGAGAGAGAATGCGTGCAAGCAGGAGAAATGCTAGATGCTTATGAAACCATCAGATCTAATGAGATGCACTCATTATCATGAGAACAGCATGGGATAAACTGCCCCCATGATCCAACTGCTTCCATCTGGTCCTGCCCTTGACACATGGGGATTATTACAATCCAAGGCGAGATTTGGGTGGGGACATAGAACCAAACCATACCAATGGTTGAAAGCATTGTTGATTTTCCACAAGCATTCTTCAAATTCTACTAAAAGCTGAGAATTTACAGAACATGTTAGGAATCTAGCAAGAGACCATGGCAAATTTTGAATGTCACAAAAAATTTAGTCAATGTAATTTAGGAAAACTGACATCTCACTAACAAATCTTTTTTTTTTTTTTTTTTTTTTTAAGACAAGGTCTTGCTGTGTCACCCAGACTGGAGTTCAGTTGGAGTGCAGTGGTGCAATCACAGCAGTGGTGCAACCTGCCTCCCAGGCTCAAGCGATACTCCCACCTTAGCCTGCTCAGTAGCTGGTACCACAGGCGTGTTTCACCATGTTTGGCTAGTTTTTTATTTTTATTTTTTGTACAGATGGGGTTTTGCCATGTTGCCCAGGCTGGTCTTGAATCCCTGAGCTCAAGAGATATGCCCACCTTGGCCTCCCATAGGGCTGGGATTACAGGTGCAAGCCACCATGCCCAGCTTCAAATTCTTTTCTTGGTAAAAACTTAAGTGATGCTGAAATCTAGCTTTATTAATACATGAAAACAGAATTGCAGAAGTATATCTGATTAGCTATGTACATTTTGTTTTAGAAAGCAAACTTCTTAACTTCCAAAAAAGTACCATATTTTCCCATCTATTTCACTTATTTCCATTTTTTCTTAGGAAAATGCTGAAACTGGGGTACTAATAGTGATCCATTCACATTGTAGATTTCTGGATGGGCAGCATTAATCAAGCCTCTGATTTCATTTGTATATCTCACCTACTTATCTCATTTGAAAATAGAATCACTGGGTAGGGACTCAGCAGAATTCAGTAGATTGCTTAATATTTGGCATGCCTTGCCTCACAGTAAATGTTACATAAGGATAAAGCTAACGCATGCATTCTTAAAGAGCTGCTGGCCCTTTAAATTCTTTTGCGACCCAGTCAAACTCTTGACAATTGCTGGGCTTTCGTCACAGACAGCAACTCAAAATTTGTATTGCTGTTCCTGACATCGCCTACACTGGCTCTCATTCATGGTCTCTACAAAGGATCTACTGTATACTTCTAATGGTGTGTCTATAAAGCTTGGTAATTGTGACCTTTATGTTCAGCCAATAAAATATGTTAAATTGTGCCTCTTGTATCTATTTATCCTGATGTTTCGGAAGCAAGTAAGAATCTCAATTAAATAGTTACTAAAATTATTAAATACATAAAAATAAAAGCAAGGCATTCAGCTCATTAAAGAGGAAAAGGAGTTAACATCAAGATTTTTCAGAAAACATGAATAAGTATCTTCATTTTGCGAAAAATGGCATTCTCCCGTGGTTCTTAACATTTCTGGGAGTGTAGAAGCAATAACTTTCTTGTGGGCCTGAAACTTACCTCTGTTGGTATAATCATAAAAAGTCTATTAGAAAATACCCAGGACCTAAGAATTACAAACAACTTTTATAAAAGTGAAATTAGAGGGCAATGCTCTAGGTATGTAGGCTAGTGTTTGATTTCTGCTGCCACTTCTGGAATACTATTATAATTTAGTCCTTTCTCCCCTTTCTACTCAAATGATCCCTTCTTGGGTTGGCATCTAATCTGTATTGTTAAAAAAATATGTTTTAAAATCAGTGGTTTATCTGCTAAAAATAAAGTGTAATTGCTCTAACCATGATCTAAAAGTAAACAAACATGTATTTCCCCTTGAATTAGAGTTGTTTTTTTTTTTGGAAACAATAATAATATTCTAAATTGTGTATGATAATAAGTGAATTAGTTTCATGTGCAAAGGACATCATGAACATTAGCAGAAACAAATCTTCCTGAAAATACTCACACACATCCAAAATTTTTCTTGTACAACAAACTTTTCACATGGGTATGACCTAATTAAATTGGCTACAGCAATAGACAAAACAGGAAAAAAATAAAACTGTCAGCCTTAAAAATTGTGCAAACGTTACTGATTTATTTCAGGATTTCTCTCAGTGTTGTGAAGTGATAGGGTAAAAGCTAGATCGGGAAACAAAATCCATGCTTTAAAATCCATCTCTGAGGACCCATTTGTTAAAACAGTGTATTCTCCCTCTTGTTTGTTTTTATATCTAGCCTTTTGTGTTTCAGGAAAGGAACTGCCTGCTGAAAATAACTTGCATGTGAAAGCTGCATGTTTTTTTTTCTTAAAAGCATAGAAATATACAGTAAATATTGTGAATCTTTTAGATGTGCTGCAGGAAACACAAATGCTTAAAATGGAAAGAAAAGAATGTTTAAACGCAGATTGTATGACATTTGCCTGTGTCCAGCCCAAGCTGGGCAAATATAGAAAATGGACTTTCATTATCCAAAGTACTCAGCTGTGGAGGTTTCTGACCTCAGGATAAAAACAAGTCCCCGTTCCAAACACTGCATGTTAAATCTCAGGCTCCCTTTTGTATGCCAGTCTGTGAAAGAATTATAAGAGAGAATCTGGATTCTCAATTATTTAATCCAATATTGCTGATCACCCACTACGTGCATTGGCAAGCACTGAGACGTAAGGATAAAATATTTGGCTCCTAATCTCAAGTTACTCACAAATACAACAATACCTTACAATATAACAGCTTAACTGTTTTAGAAGCTGGACCTATATAATCCATCTGTTCTTCCTATTCTTTACCTAGTGAAAGCTTACAGGGAAGGGAATTCTTTCTATGCATTACCATTTTGATTATTTTGTTGGCTCTCCTACTATAATCATAAAAAATGCTTTCAAAAGTCTTTTGTTAGATTGGGCGTGGTGGCTCATGCCTGTAATCCCAGTGGCTTGGGAGACCAAGGTGGGAAGATCACTTGAGACCAGGAGTTTGAGACTAGCCTGGGCAACCTAGAGACCCCATCTCTACAAAAAATAAAAAAGAAATTAGCCAGGCATGGTAGCACACACCTGCCATCCCAGCTACTCAGGATGCTAAGCAGGAGGATTGCTTGAGCCCAAGAGGTTGAGGCTGCAGTGAGCCATGTTTGCATCACTGCACTGCAGCCTGGGTAACAGAGCCAGACCCTGCCTCTAAAAACAAACAAGAAAGTGTCCTCAGTAATATTTGGATTGACCATACCCACTATTGATGGTAGCGATGGCCCATCTGGAGTGGCTACTGCGGAGATGCTGGCTGCAGAAGGGGAGGTATGGCTGGGCTTTGAACTCCATAGAGCTGGTGGGGGGCTGGCAGCAGGCAGGTGCCACTGCAGCCACCCAAGCTGCAGCTGCAGACCTGGGCATCTCTGCACTCTCAAGGGCCCAGGAAGCCCCCCACTGCCCCTGCAGGCCCGCTCCCACTGCCTGGCCTCTCCACACTCCCAGTGCCTGCTCCAATCTCACAGCAAAGTTGAGGCCAAGCCTGGGCACTGTTGCAACCCAGCCAGGCATGCACACACTCAGGGAAGCACTGACATACTAGCCCTCTGCTGCCTTGACCCCCTCCAGACTTAGAATGCCAATGAACATGGGAGGGAGGCTGAGGGGGGCTGAGGGCAGCTCAGCACTGGCCTGCAGGCACCCCTCCATATGAATGGCCTGGGCATCATGAACAGTGGCATGAGGCAGACTGGCTCTGGAGTAGAGGGGGAAGGCCCCTGTTGAGGCCCCACCTTCAAGCTGGGGAAGGCCTGAAGCCTGGGGGCCAGGCTGTCAGTCCTGCAAACTGGAGTGGGAACTTATGGTGCTTTTTCTAGGCCCACCTATGGCCACCCATGAACCAATCAGCATGCACTTCCTCCCTCTGAAGCCCATAAAAACTCCAGATTCAGCCAGCCTTGAGCACTTGATGGGACGACCTGCCTGTGGAGACAAGCTACCTACTCTGGTGTCTCCTCTCTGCTGAGAGCTGAGCAGACGTAGGGACGACCAGCTGCGGAGAGGAGCACTGCGAGTCTCCTCTGAGCTCTATCACTCAATAAAGCTCCTCTTCACCTTTCTCATCTCCCACTTGTCTGCATACCTCCTTCTACCTGGGCATGGGACAAGAACTTGGAACCTGCCTAATGGCAGGGCTGAAAGAGCTGTAACACAAACAGGGCTGAAACACACCCCTTCCTTGCCATATTGCAGGCAACAAGGAGAGAAGAGCTGTGGCTCCTTGGGGAGCCCAGACCTAGGAGTGCCCCAAGCCAGGGCAGTGACACCCTCTTTGGGGCTCTGCAGGTCCTGGCATTTCCAAGCTTCTGGGCATGACTGTGTCCCCTGGTGCCAGCCATGGAAGCTACTTGCGGGATGCCTAGTCCAGCCACAGCCTCACAGACAGCCAGTGCCTGTGGCGGTGTCTGGAGCTGCCAGCTCCACCACTGTGTGCAGTGGCCGGACCCCATACTTGCTCATTCACACACCCCTCGCCACTCCACTCGCCCTTGGCAGGCATGGGATCCAGGCCAGTAGCATGAGCCAAGCGTAGTCTGCCAGGCTGAGCAGGCCCAGTGGGCCTGAGCAAAACTCAGGCAAAGGCATCACTGGCCACAGAGATTTCCAGCTGGCAAAGCGAAACCCCAAGGATCCCGTAACACTATGACCAATTCTGTATTTCTTTTGATTCAAGAATTTAAACTTATTAGCAAACATTCAGTGAGACACAAATGAAATCGTAATAGTCTAAAGGAGTTAATAAATGTTCTTGACGTCATCAAGGAGTAAAATAAGTACAGGAGATTCTGGACAATTATCTCAAAAATTTTTATCAGTTCCGTATGAGATAGGAAAGACTCAATATTACCATTGCACAAATTTAACCAGGAAGTGGGGTGGGGTGGGAAGAAGTGGTTAAAACAGGAAAGTGATTAAGCTGGGCTTTACACTCTTTTGAGACCTTTTTACAAGTTCTCCAAGGTTCAACAACTCCTAGTTGAGGGACATCTTCAGGTTTCAGATGAGTTCTCGAAATCAGTGTGGATTCCTGAGACAATGTGGTATGAGGGACTCAGAGGAATGAAATCTCCATTCAAATTATGCTCTCTTCATCTCAAAAATTACAAATTTGGAATTAAAAAAGGAAGACCTTCCTTTAAGCTGTAACCTCCTAGAAAGTAAGAGACCATGTCCAGTTCACTGTTTTATTTATTTATTTTTGTTTATAGTATGGTCCCTGGCATGCAGGAGGAGCTTAGGAAATATTTGTTAAATAAGGAATTATAGCTTTTAATTTCATCAGAGGGACAGAGTAGGAAGGGGTAGAGACAGTCATGGGTCTGAGGGATGTGTTGGTTTCAGTCCTCTAATTCTATCACCACTATAGCTAGGTATTTCAGTAGTTGTTCAATACTACTTTTGTTTCAGCTTAGTCTTTCTGTTGCAACATGTAACATGTGCCACGGCTTCATGGCAGAATGAAGCATCCCTTCCTGGCCAGGTCAATGCTTTTCTGGGTTGGTGTCTTCCTGGCGGTATGGTCACTTTGTGCTGAGCCCTCAGGTGACATCCTGGCTGTCTCTGGCTTTTCTGCTGAAACCGGGTTTGCATACTGCCATGCTCCTTCCTGTGGCTACATCTCCTTAGAGGGCTTGTTGCTTTTGCTGTCCCCTTGGCAGACACCCCTGGGAAGTCTTTGTGATCTCTTGTTTCTGGCTTCAAACAGCTCTTGGGCTGCTGACCTACTGCTGTTTTGCATCACCAATGACTTAGCAGCAAAGATAACGGATATTGTGCCAGTGACAGAATTGAAAAAACAAATATATACAGTATTTCTGCATTTGTATATTTTTCAGGTATGTGAAGAGTAGGCATTTAATCTCTAATTGCTTCATCTTTAAAAACTACTCTTAGTTTTTTTCATTTAAAATTGCTTTTGTTGATGGTCTTATTTACAATATTGCTTTTGTTGATGGTCTTATTTATAATAAGAATCCACAATCTAACTGTGTATTAAATATATGGAAAAAGGAAACAAGTGAGTTCATCTTGATAGCTATAGGTTAGTACAACTGAAATACTTGGAAATCTGTGTAAGCAATTATTGCTCAAATGCTTTTTAAAATATTTGCATGGTTTAAGTAATTAACTAGTATTCACCATGGGTTTGTCAAATTCTTCTATAATTACTTAATAATTTAGGGGACACTATTCAAAACTAGTAGAGATAATAAAAGAAGTCTGCAGGATTCAGACATGTCTATCATTAAATATCTAGGCAGCAGGCCTTCACTTTTAAGGTTTGGACAGATGTCTATTCTAAATTTTGCAATTCCTAGGAACAACAATTTTGTAGTTTTTAAATTATAAATATCCAGTATACATCAAGGTATTCTTCTTTTTATACACCAAGGTTTCTATCTGGAATTTAAGAACATATTTCTCTGTGTGTCACTTATGGACATAAGAAACATTAGGTTAGAGTCTCTTAGTGGTAAATACCCATAAGTGAAAAGGTAAGTATTAGGACATGCTTCAGTAATCTCATTTCCAGATAATCTGATCCCTGTTCTTCAGCCTTTCCTTTTGAGCCTATTTTACAGTGCTTTGTCTCTGAGACTCTCAGTGTTCTTCATGATTCTGTTAAGTTTCAAAGCATGGAACGCTAATCAGTCATGATAGGACTTATCAGGAGCCAGACTATTTCTGACAAGAAAGAAGGAACTGAAAAGTAAGTTTTTAACAGATTACAAGAATCCAAACTCCCTCACCCCACTAACCCTGCTTGGATAGTTTCCCAGATTTAAAAACTTTCCGAAGTACAAATCTGGGTGGTTGGATTGAGGGGTAGAGAAGATTGGAGGTGGTCAAATGGTATTGAGGTGGGACTTAATAATATAGAAAAGGTTTGGCATCCAAGGATAATTTTTTAAAAAGTTTTAATAAAAACTGGAGAAAAGAATTGAGTTGGTATTGTCTTTCAATAGGAATTTTTTTAAAAAATTACAAAAATACCAAATTGTGCTGTAATAAATAAGATTATTTATTTAAATCTTGTTATAAGTAGTCTTAAACATAGTTTTGGTCAGTGTCCTTTAATTACCTTTTTGAAAACAAGGCCTTAAGAGTTTAGCATTCAGATATCTTTCTCATTGTATGGATAAGTTTAATTGGCCAGTGATAGGTGACCAAAGAACAGTATTGATGATGATGAAAGGGGAAAATTTGATGACCCCATTCCAATAATAATAAGGGAGGAGAAGGGATCACTTTGCTGTAGAAGCTAAATTAAATTTCATACATGTTTGAGGTGAAAATATGTGAGATGTGTTAAGTACCCCACTGAAGATGAAGAGAGAAGGCAAGGTTAGAATGTGAGTGTAGAAAATAGCTGTGTAGTGGTGAAAGCTGAAGCCACATGGGTGTATGACTTTTTAAAGAAGACACTTTATAGAGAAAAAAAGCTGAGTGCTCAGGATTAAACACAGCTGGAGGACATGAACAGGAAGAAGAACCAGTGAAGTAAACAAGGAACAACTGACTGGTCAGGCAAGTCAGATTAAGGACAGCCACAACTATATCAGGGAAGCCAAGGGAAGATTTTGTTCCCAGAGAATGAGGTGGTCCACATTGTCAAAACAGACATCAAGGAGAAAGAGAAAGAGGCATTTGTTCATTTCAGAAGTAACTGATGTCTCTGGAAAAAAACCACAATTACAATAGAGAGAGTGGTGAGAACAGGCTGAACTATGTAACATGTACTAGTGTCAAAAAAAGGTGTCAGGTTAGGGGAATAATCTGACTTGGTCCATTAAATCAGCCAGTTTGATAACTACATGATAACTACATGTTACTCCTTCTAACCCATCCACTTCAATCATTATTTTCCTTATTCAGAGCAAAAGACTATATAGCACACAATTAAATCTCTTTAAACTACAAACTGAATCAGGTGTTCCATTTGAAGAGAAATACTGAATGCACACTGCAAACTTCACATTCTCTGCAATGCAAGACTAGGGTGGTGTGCTTTCCTGCAAATGAGATGCCTTATCTCACACCAATGTCCCTTCTAGAGATACCCGATTTTTGTATTCCTGACTTATTCTTGTCCCACAAGTGGCTGAAGGGAGTCAGTTTGCCAAAGATACATATATACTGGGCTTCTAAATCTTTTATGCTGCAAATAACAGGAAAAAAACTCAAAAACTTTAAATATATTATTGACTTCATTATAATGGAACTTCGTATCAAAGGTGACCTAAATGGTCTTGTTTTAGAAACATTCTCATGTGACTCCATTCTAAGACAATGATATAGTCCACGTAGACTCTTACAGAAATGTGCAACTTCTCGTGCTATGCTTTGCGGTACCGAAAGACATAGGTGTAAACTATGCCCTGAAGAGATAAGAAGTTTACCAATACAGTGGGCGCGGTGGCTCACGCCTGTAATCCCAGCACTTTGGGAGGCCAAGGGGGGTGGATCACTTGAGGTCAGGAGTTCGTGACCAGCCTGGCCAACATGGTGAAACCCTGTCTCTACTAAAAACACAAAATTAGCTGGGTGTGGTGGCACACACCTGTAATCCCAGTTACTCGGGAAGCTGAGGCACAAGAATTGCTTGAACCCAGGAGGTGGAGGTTGCAGTGAGCCGAGATGGTGCCACTGCATTCCAGCCCAGGTAACAGAGTGAGTCTCCATTTAAAAAAAAAAAAAAAAAAGTTTACCAATAAAATTGGCAAAATGACGAATTCTGGGAAGTCTCACTAGCAGATAAATATTCCTTGAGGTATCATACTTCTTGGAATTTTTGCATTTATGGCTTTGAGATAATATAGCATCTAAACAGAAATAAATATTGTAATAATTCCAGCATATATACTGTCAAAAGATTATGTTATTATTTTCGAATACTCTTTTCTGATGACGGTTTAGTAGAGACAAATCATTCAATATCTTTTTGTTGCTATTTTCTTATCAGTGAAACAAGGGACCTAGGAGTTCTCTAAGGATGTTCTATAGAATCATTGATTTATTAGCAAAACACTAAGACTCAATAGATGTTTTAACTTAAAAAAATAAAAATTGAAAAGGAAACCAAGTTCGTATTTATTGCAGAAGGAGAAACAAGAAAGAAAGAAAATACAGAGAAGCCCCCCAAAATTGATATCAAATTTTAGCACTCAGAAATAACCACTCCAGCTTGGATATAAACTTTTGTAAAATTACAATTTCTACAGAAGGTTTTTTTTTTTTCTCCAACCCATTAATTATGTAACGAGATGCTTTCACATGTAAGCACTTTTTTGGAATAAGAGCTGAAGTTGGATTTATGGTTGGGCAATCACTAGGGTAACCTCAGATCCTGGTTTGCTTGTGACAGTCCTGGTTTGAGTGGGATTCTTGGGTTAGCCTGTTGTCTCAGCATTTTTATTAGCATCACCCCATTTCACTCAACCGGCAACGACAGTGAATTATATGGCAAACTAGTAATTGCTTGCCAAGGGACCAGCATTGTAGAAGCCATCCTATTTGATACAGCAGGACTAGCAACTTTATCCTTACGTAAATCCAGATTCTAACCAGCCAGCAATTTAAGTTCTCTCTTAATCATCTTTGGTTCATTCACTGAGTAAATACTAATAGCTAAGTGTCCACCTGGTAATGCACTGTAGGCTCCATGCAGGCAGTGAACAGAACAGGCTTGGTCTTGCCTCCAAAGTGTTTCATGGCCACTCATGTAGTCTAATGATTGGAATTCTACCAGGAGTTCCTCTGATCCCTGAATCTCAGACCACTGCTTGAACAGGAAAACAGTAAAGTGGAAGATGGGTCCAAGTGAAGGCTTTGCCTAAATTTAGGGAAGTCCTTCCAAATATTTTAATCTTTCCTCAACAAAATAATGTTGTATACTATTCTTTAAAAGTTTTTGAGTGTCTACTATATTGGAAACTCTGTGAACACATAAAAGGATGTAAAATATATGGTACCTGCTTCATAGAGCTACACTCAGTTAAAATACGAGGCATATGAAGCCTAACTCAGTTACAATATGAGGCAGTTAAAAATATGAGGCATATGAACACAGTTAAGTCCTGTGGCCTAGAATGCCTGCCATGATGTGGGTCCACACTCCCGAATTACTTTCCCAACAGAAAATTTTCAACTTTATCAAGAGCAAGTAAGTTTTAGGTGAGGTCCTGTGTCACCCATCTTGTGATGAAAGTCGAATGGAAAACAAAGGGCTGGGTACAGTGGCTCAAGCTTGTATTCTCAGTACTTTGGGAGGCTGAGGCAGGAGGATCGTTTGAGCCCAGGAGTTCAAGGTCACAGTGAAAAAAAAAGAAAAGAAAAAAGGATAAAAGAAAAGGGAAAACAAGAATTTCATATACATATTTATTGCATAGCCAATTTTTCATAGCTCAGTTTCTGGTAGTGCCACTTTTAATTGCCATGACCTCAAATCAACCTTGTTTTAAAAAGTACATTTTTAAACAGAGCATTTCTTTTTCTTAGACTATAATAAAGAAAATCAGCAAAATGACTATTATTTCTACTTCTAAAGGAAATGGAGTGATCAATTCTTGTAATCGGTAATTTGACAAAAAAAAATCCAAATAAAGATTTTAGTCCAGCCCCAAGCTTAATTTTCTTCATTGAAAATAGCCAGTCTCTTGTAAAGAACAGGGTGGTTTAAAGTCTGATATCTTGGAATGAATCTCAGCTCTGCTGCTTGCTAATTATCATTATGTGTAACTACATTTTATTTATATGAACCTCAGTTTTTTAAATCTGGGAAATAGGAATTTCAATACCAATTACTTCCATGGATTTTTATGCATCTCAAATAAAATGTACTATATATATTTGTAAGCTGTAGATCAAATTTATAAAGAAAGGTGATATTGTTGTTTTTACTACTAAAAGAATTTGCACAAAGTTGATCTCATCCTTAACCTGGTTGATTGATTTCTTTGTACAGCACATTCCTACCAGTTGAGGTGGCCTGCCACAAGGCTGTCTTCTGAGAAATAACATAACATTACAAGGCCAAGCAGGATCTTCGTGGTTGAATATTTTACCTGGCTAAGAACCACTTCTTTCCCAGAACTGGTAGAGAATGTGAACCAAGGTGCTGTTCTGCCTTAAGTGTAGGTCTAAATACAATTCTTGACCACCTTCCTTAAGGCACTGGCACCTCTTTTGATTCACCAATAAGGTTTATTCTTTATTGAGTCATTTCAGAAAATGGTAGGGGGCAATGGGGGAGGTGTTAATGTTTCAGTGGTTCCCTAATACCTTCAGAATAGAGAACAGAATTTTGTAATTTGGCTAATAAGACCTCTGTAGTTTGGGCTTCATCTGCCACCACTCCCTGCCTCAGATTCTCCACTACAGGCATACTGAACAAGGCCACCCGCTGCCTCAGATTCCCCACTCCAAGCATACTGAACCAGCCATACTTTCAATTCCTCAAGATGTGCTGTGCTTCTCCTCAGGTTTGCCCCGTGGACTTGTGGTTCCCTCTGCTGCTCTTCCCTGACTACCTGCTAATCCTACTTATCAGTTAAGTATCAACTTCCTCCACGGTGTGGAGATGCTTCTCTGGCCTCCCCACCACCCCATACTGGGTTAGGTAACCCAATACTATACCCTGCACAATCCCTGTTCACAGTCCTTATTATGCTCTACCCTAATGTCACATCATCATCCATCAACTTCTCTAAGCAAGAAAACTGGATTTCTGCAATGTCGTAGCCCAGCATGGTGCCCTGCAAATAGCAAGTTTTTCATAAATAGTTGTTGGGTAGATGAGTGAATATATGAACTCCAGAAAAGCCTGTATTGCCTGGGGCCTAGAAAACAAGGGCAGGAAAAACCAGATTCCCTACAGGAACAGCTTCTATGAATTAAAAGCTCACTCTTAACTAAGAAATGGGTCGAAATGTATCATCTATGCCATTAATACATCTTTCCAGAAATTTTGAAATACTTAAATTGGGATGCTTTCTTTGCAAGCTGCTCCTATGACTCAGATCCCAAGTAAGTGAGGGTATGAAGGTATGTAATCAGATTTTATAGGCTGGGCCTAAAAACACCTATAGTTGGAAGGGATGAAAGGCATGTTATAGGAAAGGCAACAAAAGCTGAATTCTGTGTGTATGTATGTATGCGTGTGCATGTTTAAAGCCCCCGGGAATGTATGTAAAAGCATGCCAAATTTTACTACTTTATTGGGTTAAAATAATTTTAATTTTAGTACACAAGGAAATGTCTATGTAGAAAAATTAAATTTTCCTTTTTTTTTTTTTTTTGAGATGGAGTCTCACTCTGTCTCCCAGGCTGGAGTGCAGTGGCACGATCTTGGTTCACTGCAACCTCTCCTTCTGGTTCAAGCGATTCTCCTGCCTCAGCCTCCCAAGTAGCTGGAATTACAGGTGTGTGCCAAATGCCCAGCTAATTTTTGTTTTTCTTGTAGAGACGGGGTTTCACCATGTTGGCCAGGCTAGTCTCAAACTCCTGACCTCAAGTGATCTGCCCACCTTGGCCTCCCAAGAAAAAGAAAATTTTCTAAAATTAAAAAATTAAATCCCAAATTTCCAATTTTGGTTTCCTTTAGGTAGTTTTGCATGTCTTTCATGCAGAGAGTTATTTATACCTTGACTTTAAATTTCACCACTCTTATAAGAGAACATATTTTTATAAAATTAGTCTAATATAGATTGTAATTTTTAGAACAAATAAAACTTTGGGATTTATAAGACAAAGAAATAAAATCTTCATATTCTCTGAAAAAGTAATCTTAACATAAGGAAACATTCTAGGTTTGTATGAGGAAATGTTTGTACAATTAATAAAAATAATTCATTAATATTTATTTACAGATCTTTAGTGAAAAATAGTGAATCTATATATTCCTCCCCATGGCAAAAGGATGATTGTGATCCTTTATATGATTTGTCAATAATAGCAAAGTCTGAGCACAAAGAAGCAGTAGGCAGTTGGGCGCAGTGGCTCACGTCTATAATCTGAGCACTTTGGGAGGTCCAGGCTGGCAGGGTGGGGATCACTTCAGCCTTGTAGTGAGGCCAGCATGGGCAACATGGTGAAACCCTGTCTTTACAAAACATACAAAAAGTTAGCCAGGCGTAGTGGTGCATGCCTATAATCCCAGCTACCTGGGATGCTGAGGTGAGATGATTGCTTGAGCGTGGGAGGTTGAGGCTGCAGTGAGCGATGATCAGGCCACTGCACTCCAGCCGAGGTGACAGAATGTGACTCTGTCTTTAAAAAAAAAAAAAAGAAAGAAACAGCAGGTCATTCCTTTAAAACATATGACCCAGAAGAAACAGAGTTCTCTGTACTTGCCTACTTTTCTTCCCTTGAAGAATCAAGACACTTATCTTTCCAGTTTACATGCTATTTCCTCTTCCTTACAGATTTTACACATGTGTGAAATTAATAGGCTTGATATAGTAGTAGTTGGGTCATTTTCATTTTATTAAATTATTAGTTTATGGAACTGAAGTCAGTGGCATACTGAGGATTTACCTTTTTTTTTAAAAGCATAGCTACACTTTTTGAAAAGGGCACCCTCTTGGTACTAAAAGCACAGTTATTGCCTAATTAATGATAAATACATTTCTTTAATACACTGTGTGATGGGGCAACTTCTGTATAAAATCCTGACAAATTAAGTCCTGAATTAAAAACATACTTATGGCAGTAGCAAATCAAAGTTAGTGGGATTCGCAAAAGTTTAAGATATAAGAACCAGCACATGAAAGAGGAAAGGTGATTTCTATCTCATTGCGTTTATGTATGTGCCACACACTATATCAGAGTCTTTGTAACATTGTCGTCCACATCTTCCAACAGTCTAATAAGGTAGGAATTACCATCCTTCATCCTAGGAGCCTTCAGAGAGGGTCAGTAACTTCTTCAAGTACATGGTTCTCCTTAGCAAGCTCAGAAACCTGGATGTGAGGTGGCTGGAAGCACAAGGATATTTGTAGTTCCCTTCTATTTCAGCAGTGAGTAGCTTAGGACAGTGGCAAAGTCCAGGGTGGGACCAGAGATGTGAGTACTAGAGGTGGCATTACTGGAGCAGGAGAGTGCCAGATGAATCATCTATAGATACTGAGTCACCAGGATGGCCCAGGCCACCTAGGGTGACCCCTTCTCTCTCCTCCCCTGGCCCCAAGTCCAATCTATCACCAAGTCTAGTCAATATCACCTCAGAATTATCTCTTGAACCTCCAACTTCTCTTCAAGTACATTGCTAATATGTTAGTTGAAAACACAATAATCATTTAAGTCTTTGCTACCTATATAACAAACCTGCACACGTACCCCTAAACCTAAAATAAAAGTTAAGAAAAAGAAAACACCATGATATCACACCTTCACTTGGACAAAAATCTCACTATCAGCTCACTCCCTAGTCTCTTCCCCTCCTCTCCTATAATAATTCTCCATAATAGAAGATGCAACTTCACTACCTATAACACTTTAATGATTACCACTACTTTCAAGATAAAGACCTAAATCTTAGCTTGTCTTACAGGCCTCTGCATGACCTGAATTCTGCCCACTTTTTCAAGGTCATCATTACCCCTCCTTCACTGTCCATATCTAGCTCCACTCATCTGATTTCCAGTCTCCACCTCAGTGCCTTTGCACATTCATTAACTCAGTCATTCCATGAATATTTATCTTGCAGGTGCTGCCCTCTCCCCCTTACATGCTGCTCCCTTTGGCTGGAACACTATTCTTGAATGGAGAGTCCCTCCTGGGCCTGGTGCCACCTCATCAGCCATCTGATTTCACTTCCTCAGGAATTCCCCCAATTAGACGGCATTCTTCTGATTACGCATTCACAACACCCCATACTGTTCTCTTGTAGAACTTATCACAGTTTATAACAATATTTGTGTGATTATTTTATTCAAATCTTCCTCCCACAGTAAAATGCAACCTCTGTGATTTTATGCATTCTGTTTGGGACCATTCCTGTTTGGTTCTCCATTGTACCCTCAGAACTTAATGCAGTCATCTATGTAATGAATACCTTCGAATGAATAAATGATGAGAGAAGATACTTGTTGAAATCTTTTCAGAAATACCTAAAATGTGATTTGTAAATGTATTAGTGATGAGGATAACAATAAAAATCAAATTTATAAAAAAATTCCAAGGACCTTCTAATTAAAGCCACATTGATTTTTGATTTTTAATATAAATAGTTAAAATAAATTCAACAATTTGTTCTATACAGAAAAAAATCCAGTAAACTAATGACAAATGATCATTTAGGTAGCCAGTGAGAGTCAAGAATCTGTCATGCCAATGGAACAGAACAGAGACCCCCAAAATAAAGTTGCACACCTACAATCAACTGACCTTTGACAAAGTTGACAAAAATAAACAATGGGGAAGCATATCTATTCAATAAATGGTGCTAGGAAAATTGGATAGCCATATCCAGGAGAATGAAACTGGACTCCTAACTCTCACCATATACAAAAGTTAACTCAAAGTGGATTAAAGATTTACATGTAAAACTCCCAAACTACAAAAATCCTAGAAGAAAACTTAGGAAATACCCTTCTTAGACATTGGGCTACTCAAGGAATTTATGACTAAGTCCTCAAAAGCAAACGTAACAAAAACAAAAATCGACAATTGGGACCTAATTAAACTAAAGGGCTTTTATATAGCAAAAGAATCTATCAACAGAGGAAACAGACAACCTACAGAATGGGAGAAAATATTTGCAAACTATCCATCTGACAAAGGACTAATGTCCAGAATCTATAAGTAACTTAAACAAATCAACAGAAAAACAAACAGACAACCCCATTAAAAATTGCACAAAGGCCGGGCATGGTGGCTCATGCCTGTAATCCCAGCTACTGGCAAGGTTGTGGAGGGAGAATCCCCTGAACCCAGAAGGCAGAGGTTACAGTGAGCCGAGATCATGCCACTGTACTCCAGCTTGGGCAACAGAGTGAGACTCCATCTCAAAACAGCAACAACAACAAAAAGAAAAACCAAAAAAAAAAAAAAAACCCAAACAGACACTTCAAAAGAAGACATACAAGCAGTCAACAAACATATGAAACAATGCTCAACATCATTACTCATCAGAGACACAAATAAAAACCATAATGAGATATCATCTCATACCAATCTTAAAATGTCAGAAAATAACAGCTGTTGGTAAGGTTGTAGAGAAAAGGGAATTTTTATATACGTTGGCGAGAATGCAAATTAGTTCAGTCCCTGTGGAAAGCAGTTTGGAGATTTCTCAAATAACCAAAAATAGAATTATTATTCTATCCAGCCATCCCATTACTGGGTATAAGCCCAAAGGAAAATAAATTGTTCTACCAAAAAGACATCTGCATTCATATTATTATCACAGCACTATTCACAATGCCAAAGACATGGAATCAACACAGGTTCCCATCAATGGTGGATTGGATAAGAAAAATGTGGTACATATATACCACGGAATACTATGCAGCCATAAAAAATGGAAATCACATCCTTTGTGGCAACACAGGTGCAGCTGGAGGCCACTATCTTAACCAAATTAATAGAGAAACAGAATCAAATACCGCATGTCCTCGCTTATAAGTGGAACTAACTTTGACTACACATGGACACAAGGATGGGGATAAACACTGGTGATCCCAAAAGGGGGAAGGATGAAGGGGTAAAGTTGAAAAACTACTTATAGGGCACTATGTTCACTACTTGAGGGACAGGATAATTAGAAGCCCAAACCCCAGCATCATGCAATAAATCCATGCAACAAACCTGCACATGTACCCACTGAATCTAAAATTTAAAAAATGAAAAGAGTCTGTCATTCAGATTCCTTTTCAGTAACCAGTAACCCAGATACTTTATGTTTTGATGTCTCCTATTCAAGACATCAAGACTTTTTTTTTTTTTTTTTTTTTGAGATGGAGTTTCACTCTTGTCACCCAGGCTGGAGTGCAATGGCACAATCTCGGCTCACTGCAACCTCTGCCTCCCGGGCTCAAGCAATTCTCCTGCCTCAGCCTCCCAAGTAGAGCTGCCCACCACCACGCCCGGCTAATTTTTATATTTTTAGTAGAGACAGGGTTTCACCAAGTTGGCCAGGCTAGTCTTGAACTCCTGACCTCAAGTGATCCACCCACCTCAGCTTCCCAAAGTGCTGGGATTACAGGCATGAGCCACCGTGCCTGGCCTCTTTTTTTTTTTTCAATTTAGAAATATACCAGTTTCTCTCCCAAAGTGGAGAGAAAGGGATGTTATCAGATGACTTTAGCTGAATGGAAATATCCCTTTTTTCCTATTTAATTTTTCTCCAATTTTACAGAGCATTTTTTTCATATTTTGTTTTACAGTCACTAAAAAATTTGGATTATCTGTAGTTCCAACTTCTGACCACCAATCCCACTCCAAAATCAGGGAGGCAGCAAGGGTTATGAGAAGTACACAGATCTCTCAAACAGGCCAATGTCTAAGAAGAGTATTTCTTAAAAATTTTTTTCTTTTCTTATTACAATTATGACTACATAAGAAGGGTATTTCTTGAATGGAGATCTGTGTTCTCTCAGACTCTAGTCTCAGTTGAACTCCAGTCTCAGCTCTGACACTAAATAGTGTTAAAAACTCAGGGTTCCAATTTCCTCTTCTGCAGAATCAAGGTGTGCCGTAGACTGGATCATGTCAAATAAAGTATTTCTAGCATTAAAATTTGATTTTTTTTAATAGTTGAAAAGAACAACATAGTTGCAGAACTTATATTCTGTCTCCTCTTGGAGTATATCACAAAGAAGCTTCAACCTTTGAATTTTACTTTTCTGTAGACAACTAATCCATTTCTTCAGCCAAGCATAAATTCCATCGTAAATTAATACATCATGAATACTTGAATAGTGGTCAGTTTTCTGCACAGTATTGTTGAAATGAAGTTGTTTTTGAGCCTGTAAAACTGAGGATCAAACTTTGATCTATGATGTCGCCCAAAATAAAGGCAGACTTTAAAATATACTTGAGAGAAAACCAACAAACAGTACTATACCCTACCCATCATTAAACTAGTGGTGAATACAATAAGGGCAAGTAATTATAGAACTCACAGGCAGGGGAGAACTCTTCCTTTTCCAAAATGCTTTCTAATTTAGCCTGCTCATGGCCTGCATGATAATCACAGTGGGGAGAAAATTTAAAAGTAGATGTTTAATAATGATTTTTGCTGTTCTCGCAACATACATCAAAATCATATGTGTTAGAGAAGAATGAACACCTCTAGTAAATGTTAACCATATTTGTTTACAAAGAAAGGAAATGAATTTCAGAGATAGTTCTAACTCTCTGTTCTAACTCATAAATGCCATAGGAAAACATTCTAAATCATTTTGATCTTAAAACACCCACAAGTATGCATTGATTTCTTAGAACAGAGAAAATTAAGTATTTTGAACCGAGGTTTTTCCTAGCTTAGGCTGATTACCATTTTTCCTCATTTACACTACGGCTTTTGGCTTTAATTACAGAGGTACTGTTTCATTTTTCCAACATTAAAGAATCTTTGCCTCACTGTATTCTATAATAATCCTCCAGGAACTTAAAAAGAGCATTTATTTCCCAGTGAATCCTGTCCTGCCTGATTTGCCTGAGAGTGAACAATGATGATGATTCAAGTGCTAAGTATTGGGAACACAGGATAGACCATTCTGGAATTAATGTGGCCATTATTAGCTTGCTGCAAGGACAGTAGAATTACCTGCCCCCTCCCCCTGCCACCCATGCTATTACTATTTTTTCCAGGGTGTGTATGGGGATGGTGGTGGTAGAGAAGTCATTTGAATTTAGGATGTGCCAACATAAGTCAACATGTTGGAAAGGTACAATAAGCCTTTCATTTTTCTTAGCATTCATCCAAGTATTTATTCATCCAGGGATCCATTCAATCATTAAACATTTACTGAGAACAAGCATTGTTAGGGTTGGAACACAGAGGTTAAACGCATAGCACCTGTCTTCAAGTGGCTAGTTCAGTGAGGGAAAGACAAAAATAATTACATTACAGATGTTTCTAGACTTATGATGGGGCTACATCTCAATAAACCCATTTTTAGTTGAAAATATTGTAAATCCAAATGCATTTGCTACTCTGATAAACCCATCATAAAGTTGAAAAATCTTAAGTCATTCTAAGTCAGGGACTGTCTATACATAAATGCTGCGATAAGGGGAAAATATTATATTGCAGGAGTTCAGAGACAATAAATCTAGGGGTAATTGGGGCCCAAGAGAGAAGCTCCCTTGAAAGATTTGACTTTGGAGAGTTTAAAAAGACAAGCAGAAAGCTAGGCAGGAGGCAGAGAGAGGGAGGGGAGGGCATTGGGAGACAGGTTGCAAGCAGATCAGACAACATGTCCAAAGGCTTGCTTTCTTTCATTTTGCTTTTGAGGACAAGGCTGTTGATTGTTTAAAATTAAAATACTAACCAGAGCGATTAGATTTAACACAAAGAGGCACACTTCCAGGGAACATAATAAACTCTGAAGACTTGTAAAACTAGCACACCTCTAGTGAGTTCAAGAAGCAGAGTGACTTTATTTTGGAAAGGGTTAACAAGCTTGTTTAGGTTATGAATCAACAGCACTGCTGGTCTGTTGAATTTGAAAACATCCCAAATTTGTATTATGAAAACAGAGGAGAATTAAAATGGTTCAGGGCAAGTACTGGTGTCTCTATAAAGGCAGCTTCCTAATTTCTTATCCTGGATTTAAGCTGTCACTAAGATCTTCCTTTTGCTTTGTCTACTGTATGATTATATGGACTGTTTATCCAGCTGAAGAAATATGTCTCTAAGACATAAAGTCTTTAAGTGATCCCTTTTGTAATAACCCAAATCTCTAGTAAGATTTTTTTTTTTTTTTTTTGGTGAGACTGGGTTTAGCTCCTTTACCAAGACAGGAGTGCAGTGGCAGGATCAGAGCTAACTGTAGCCTTGAATTACTGGGCTCAAGGGATCTTCCTGCCTCAGCCTCTGGAGTAGCTGGGACTATAGGCACACTACCATGCCTAGTTAATTTTTAAATTTTTTGTAGAGACAACATGTCACTGTGTTGCCCAGGTGGGTCTCAAACTCCTGGCCTCAAGCAATCTGCCCACATCAGCCTCCCAAAGGGTTAGGATTACAGGCATGAGCCACTAGGCCAGCCAGATTTCTATTATTTGACAAATATGAAGTCTCAAATGTCTTGTGGGATGCCTGCAGAGTATTCAAGGGATAATAGCAACTAGCCCTGACTAGGGATGGACTCCCATACTGGTAATGGCTTGTTCTTCTCTGACCTAAGGCAGATTACAAAGAGTCTGGTACAGCACCTACCAGCAAGCGCAAAGGTGCTCTTTGTTCAGGTTGTTGGGAAGTGCAATCAGGTGACCTTGTGTATTATTTGGTTACCGTAATTCTGGAAACAAGGAACTGTAGTCTATAGAACAGACACCTGGCTGTTCTGCAAGGCTGGATGCCTGTCTTCAGATGTTAGAAAATCAAAAACTTTATAATATGGGTATGCTGCTTGCTGCCTCCGAGAGAGGCACATCCATTCAAACACCAGGCATATCTGCTGTTGCTTCTGCCCTTCCTAAATCCACAATCTCCCTACAGAAGTGGTCCACAAATGACAGAGCCATTTCACAGACAAATCCTGTTTCCAGTGCAATGCTGCAAACATAGATTAAGTCATAACTTGGAACCCTTCCACTGAGAAAACTTACAAGAAGCAAAGCAACTTTTTAAAGCATAGCAAAATAAACATTTGCTCCATGACTTACTGAATTTGGCACATGAAAAATATGCACTTCCAGTAAACTTGGTGATTTAACTGAGGTACCGGCTTTACCTTCCTGGTTGCTCAAGGCCACCAGACTGCTCTGGGGGGCTGACCTCATTTCTACTTCTACCCTCTTCACTAAGTCTATTATTTGAGGCAAAGCATGTAACCTTTAGCTATTTTAGCTCCTCTAAGTGGGGCAATGCTGCTGGCTTTTACCATAGTCTTAGGAAAAATGTTGAATAATTATATTCTTTTCATGTAAACATTGTTTTGGTAGAACACACTGGAAAATTATGAAGCATCTAAATAATTTGAAAATGTCAGTTTGGGTTGAGGTGTTAACACCGGTTAGTCATCTAAAGAGATTTCCCTACATTGAGAGAATTTGTGGAAGGGGAGTGGAGGCATTGGAAATTTCAAATAAGAGATTTAATTCAACAAGAATTTACTGGGAACTCTGTGCCAGCTCTGTAATTAAGCTTTACAGGCAGTACAAAAGAACCAAGAGAGTGGGTCTTCAGGGAACTGGTTAGGGAACTGCCCCAGGCAATGTATGATGAGGTGCCAAATGAGTGAAAATATGGAATGCAATGAGGTGGGGGTTGCATCAGAAGATGTTACTATAAACTAGAGTGGGCATGGAAAGCTTCAAGGAAGTAGTCCATTTAAAGCTGGATTCCAAAGAAAGGTAAGGTTTGAAACATTTAAAAAGGAAAACAGAACTACAGATGGATATAGCATGGTAGAAGGAAGACGACAATGAAATAAGATCCCTCTGTATCAAATATGAACATAATCACTGCATGTGTTCATTTCATCTGATATACCTCAAAATAGTGCTTTCTAAGCTCTGTTGATCTGGTTACCAATGAAAAGCTCTAGCACAAAATGCATTCACTCAAAATAAATTTGGAGAATTATTTAAGGCCGTGCAACTCTTCTCCTTTATTCCTTTGAAAAAAATAATAAAGCTACCCTTTACTGAGTGTTTACTGTGTGGCAAGCACTGGGCTAAGCATATTATGTGTTATTTCATTTACTGGGATTTAGGGATGGCACTCTAACTGGAATTCAAACTTAGGCCTGTCTGATTCCAAGTCTAACTCTATGCTGTGATTTGCCCAAGACTAGTGTCGCCTGGATTCTCTATGGACCTTAGGGATTGTCAATGTACTTTCAGGGATCAGGCAACAGCTCTGTGCTGTGATGCTCCAGACTGTAGCTCTCACTGTATCTTCCAAGTATATTCCTGGCCCTTTCAAGGAAGTAATAGTAATAGCTACTTTTGGGGGGAAATGATATTATAATGCATGACCTACCCAAAGTGAATGAAATGCACTTTTAGAGACCACTGTTTGTACGCCATGTCAGCAGCAGAGTTTAAAAGACTCTCGTACAAGTTTAGGGGATGTCAACCTCTGTGCTTCTCCACTCTCATCCATTCAGGGGAGGCAAGTCCTGAGTGTTGAGAATACATGCAATAGGAAGACGAAAGAAAGGCAGTGTGTGACTTCCCCTCTGTCCACTCTGCTGGCTTTACTGCAGATAGTCTTGAAGATCCTGGACTGAAAACCTGGTCACTCGGAGGTCTGCACTGCCCCGTGGCACAGTTGCTGAAACCCCAAGTCTCCAAGGGACTGTCTTTGGCTCTCTCTCTTATCCCTTCTCCTCTGTCTTATAAATACAAACAGTATAGTTCTAGAGACTCTTAAATCTCACTTTTGAAGTGATAGTTCATTTTAGTATTCAATAGTTAAAATGTCTTTAGAAATTAATTAGAAAAAATCATACAAGCTCAAATAAAAGAGAGCATTATAGAAAAGTTTACAGTTTTATATTTTCATGTAATTTCTCTGAACTAAATAAATCAATCTAAAATTTTTCTTTCTGACCCCGTAACTAAAATACCCAAGTTTATTATGAACAGCCTTTTTTGAGGAATACTTCCACATTTTACCAGGAAGTTTGCTTTTGTCCCATCTGTCATTTTTTTCTATCCTTCATTATGTTAACTTCAGGGGTCTTCACTAGAGGGTTATGAGTTTTTTGCAGTCATGCTAAAGTCAATACTGGGAATTTTCAATCTCCAGATAAACTATTTTTGTTCTATTTTTGCTCACAGTACAACTACATTGGTAAGTGATGTTAGGCAAGCAAATTTTAACTTCCTTTTGATGTAGCAATATCAGATGGCCACAATTTAAAATTAAACCTTACCTAATGAACCTAATATTAACCCCACTTAATGGTGAGAGAAAAACAAGACAAACATTTAAAAATTTTATTTTGTGGTGATTTTGGAGAGATAAATTCAAATATACCAGATAATAAACACAATAGAAAATTTTAGGATAAAGGACAAAAAATAGCCCAAAAGGTTTAGTCTCAAAGATATTATCTTTGTGGTACTAGTAATGTGATGGAACTCACTGTAATGAATAATGGTACTCAGAATTAATACACACAAAAAAATTCTACTCAGTAAAAAAGTTTAAAAATAACTATGTGAATCATGAAAGGAAGTAAAAGCAACTGAAGACGGACACTGAGACTCTCCCTGGCTTCCTTCTACCCGTGCTCATTAATGGCCTTCTCAAACGTTTCAAGGCCTTCTCCTTGGCCACCTATTTAAAATGCATCCCACTGGCCTGCCCTTCGCTCTCCTGGACTTGGAATTTATCATCTTCTAACATGCTACATAATCTAGTCATGTTTATTTGAATTATCTATCTATTGTCTCTACCTCACCCACCCTCCACTCCCTGCTAGGATATACATTTCTCAAGGGCAGGCATTTTTGCATGTTTTGCTAACAGACAGATATTTTGTCTATTTTGTGATTTAGCCAAAGCACATACAACAGTTCCTGCAACAGAATAGATAAATTAATTAACTGATTTAAATGAAGCATCTTCTGGCTCTAATACAATAAATACTTAGCTCAGGGAATGGAGAAGTAATTATAAGTCAATTCAGAAAACGAGATTTATAAAACAAGGATGGTAATGTTGGGAATTGCCATGGTTTGGCAATTGCCTCCAAAATTCATGTTGAAACCTAATCCCCATTGTGGTGGTATTAAAAGGTGGGGCCTTAGGAGGTGATTAGGTCATGAGGGCTCTACCCTCATCAATGGGATTAGTGCTGATATAAAATGGCCTGAGGGAGCTTGTTAGCCCCCTTTTCCCTTTGCTCTTCTGCCATGTGAGGACA
The DNA here is from genome assembly GCF_000001405.40 of Homo sapiens. NCBI lineage: Eukaryota > Metazoa > Chordata > Mammalia > Primates > Hominidae > Homo > Homo sapiens. The sequence continues at coordinate 91,123,424 of NC_000005.10, read as the reverse complement.
CAGAGAAGGCACCATCTACGAGAAACAGGCCCTCACTAGATACCAAATCTGCTGGCACTTTGATCTTGGACGTCCCAGCCTCCAGAACTATGAGCTATAAGTTTCTATTGTTTATAAATTACCCTTATATTTGCTAGAGCAACCTGAATGGACTAAGACAGAATAATAACATAATAATGAACAGTTACTGGGTATTTATTACGTATAGCCACTCTTTTACATGTTTTACATATATTATCTCATTCAGTCTCCCAACAACCCTGTGAGATAATCATCTTTTTCACTTTACAGATAAGGAAACTGAGACACAAGGATGTTAAGTAACTGGCCCATGATCATAGGACTAGCAAGTAGCAGAGCCAGGATTTGAATCCAGGAGCATGGTGGAGAGGCTGTGCTTCCTAATGCCATGGAAAAAGGATGACCAGGGGAAATTGATTTTTGTATGTTCACTTTCGCTCCAGGAGTAGGAGAAACAGGCAGGAAGTCTAGGAGTCCCTCTTTAAAATGCCAGTATCCTGGCAGGAAGCACATCTGACACTAGCAGTGTGAAATCTTTAGCAGGGATTAACTGAGAGTAAGCCAAGCTCAGCAAAAGAACACAAGCTAGAGAGTAGCGGAGAGGGGGCAAGAGAAAGAGAAAAACATTGGCAGTTGGGTGCAGAGCTACTAAAGATAAACTTTTGCATATTCTATTTTGAAAATGTCACTAGTATGTGTTCTGTCAGGGACAACAATAATCATTTCCTGGCCTACATTTTGCCAGCCTACCCTCTGCCTTTGAAATAAGATTATAAGATACAATCCAATAAAAACTTATGGCTTCACACTGTTAAGTAATGCTATTTTATTTTTTCCCCCAAAATAATTTTCCCAAAAAGAGGTATGAAGTAGTAATGTGCTATGACTAGAGCAGAGAGTGCTAATAAATAACAATGGCTATTAGAAAATAAACTTGAACAAATAGGACTTTCTGCTTTTCTTTATGTGTGTTTGTGTGTATACAAGTACATCATCAGTTATAAAAAGGAGATGACTTTTCTGCTGAAGGAGTAAGTCCCTTGTTACCATTTGGGAAATGCCACTGTGAAATGTATTCGTTAAAAGAATTATATTTCCACAGCTATATTCTTGTTCAAGAACATCAAAGGGCAGAAAAGCATGAGGGGAAAATTATGACACCCCACTCACCTAGTGTGGTAACTCATACTCCACAAATAAGCAACATATAGAGTATTTATAAACAACTTTTGCTGTTGAATTAGTTTTCTCCTTGTTGTTTTTCACGGAAAGACCCAGAAAGAAGAGGAAAGTACCAGAAATTCACTAATTTGATTACAATCTAGTCTTTCTTGTTTCAGAGCCACCAAAACATTTTTAGATTTATTTTTACTGGTAAATACAACACTTTTGAAGTTCAATAACAAGTTAATGGTCCAAGTTTGTTTTTTTTTTCTTCTCTTTAAACCATACTGACCTTTATAGAAGCAAAAGAACAACATTTGACATTTCACGGAAAAAAAAGAAACATAATTTAGCAATTTTTCACCAATTGCTGCATGCTACGGCTTTAGAGTTGCTCAACTCTTTCCAGACACAAATGTCTCCCAAGCATGCTTCATATTCTTTTAAAATCACAAGTAAATAAACCAAAAAATATTTAATTACTTGAGCCTGTATCTCATATTTGGCTGATGTCATCTTCTCTCTGGGAAAAAAAAAATCCATTATAAAAAGGAAGAAAGGAAAAAACCACAAGGCCCAGATGACACTGGACATGCAGGACTTGCTTTTGTCTCCAATGCTGTGGTTCTGAACCGCAGCTCGAATCTTGCCCAAACTGCAGGTCCTGACTTGGTTACCCAGACTTCTGGCCCGACTCTCACACCATAAAGAAGAAACACACCCATCAGCTCCGGGGGTTGACATCCCTTTTGAGTTGCCCCATGTATTTACCTGTTCACTTGGCCTACTGTTTCACTTGGAACAAAAATAGCCTGTTGTCTCCATCCTAGCCACTGCACCCCTGGCACGGCTTCTGGTTGTGGTGAAGATTTCCAATAGTGTGGTACAAGGACGGGTGCATTCATGGAACAAGTTAGAAAGGAGCAATGAGCATCTCCCATGGTCTCATGATTTAGCACCTCTACTTTTGATTTATTTTTCTTACTTATAGTTGAGGACTAGAAATAAATAGTGTTCCCCTATACTCCCCATTCTACTCTGTACTTTCCTTTTTTATTTATTTTTTGAGCCAGAGTCTTATTCTGTTGCCCGGCCTAGAGTGCAATGGCATGATCTTGGCTCACTGCAGCCTCCTCTTCCAGGGTTGAAGCGATTCTCCTACCTCAGCCTCCCGAGTAGCTGGGATTACAGGTGTCTGCTACCATGCCAGGCTAATTTTTGTATTTTTAGTAGAAATGGGGTTTTACCATGTTGGCCAGGCTGGTCTCGAACTCCTAACCTCAAGTGACCCGCCCACCTTGGCCTCCCAAAGTGCTGGGATTACAGGCGTGAGCCATAGTGCCTGGCCCCATTCTATACTTTCATATCTCTTCTGTCTCCCACAGCATCTCATTCCCTTCTGTACAGCTATACTCCACATTGCCAAGCACAGCTAAAGAGGTTCTGGCCTGACTTAGAATGAGTGACTTTTTGCCTCCCCTGCATCTGTAGTACTGAGCCAGGTGGAGCCCAGTGTTTTGTACTAGTCTAGAACAGGCCCCGAATGTCCAGACTCTCCCTCCTCTCTTCTCAGATCAGCTATGGACTTGAGGTCACTCAAGGGGATGGATCATCCTGAGGCCACCCTGGGAGCTGGGGTTTGTTCCAGACTATGTTCAGAAAAGGGGTCCAAAAGCTCTGAAAACAACTCTGATTAGAAAAAAAAAATGTTCAGTGTAGAAAATTTGTAAAAGATAGACAAAGCTGGAAAAATTTCTTTTTCCTGATCCACATGGACTATGAGGGAATGCCTATTAGGTAAGCCAGAGGCCACAAACTGGCAGCTTGAATACTGCCTGCCGACAGTTTGTGACTGGCCCACATAGTGTTTAAAAGTTGTCTTAAATACTTGCCACCATTCACAAATTAGGAGGTTTCACATAAAAAATCTGGTTTCTGGCTTCTCTAGAAAAATCAGAAGATCTGGCTGACACTGGATCTGCTTCCTGTCCAGCAAATGTTTAACCGAAGCCACATAGCTGTTGCCCCTTTATCTCCCTTCATCCCTCTTTACAAGACACAGTCCCACTTGACCACGTGCTCCAGGCGAGTCTGCTTCCAGCCTTTGTAGACAAAGGAGTTTGCAGCGTCTGGTGTAATCACCCTGAGTATCCAAGTGATCACCTGGTGTAAGTGCTATGTTCTTGTCAGTAGCTCTCTAGCAAGATTTTGTTCTTACTAGTCTCACCTTTTCTACACTTTTTCTACTTGCCTGTGAGCTGCCTAAGGCTGGATAGGCACTCACTAGTAAGAACCATTTTCCTTTGCCAAAAGGGTCCGAAAGGCCAAGCAAAGCCAAAGTGCTGCAGTCTCTGCTGTCCTTCTGTCTGCAAATCCAATAGCTGTTTGGGCTGGAAAAGACTTGTGCTAGTGAGGAAGATCTATAACTTCTATAATTGAGCCAAGTATTTGCCAATATAAAGATACAAAGTCATGCCAATGGAGAGACTTTTGAGGGCCAAAGGAGAAGTGGATGTGTGTGGTTTTTTATTTCTTAATGTTTGCCCTAAAGTTGGCTACAAAGTTGATAAATATGAGGTATGATGCCTGAAGTCAAGATAAGAAAAGTTCTAAAACATTTACTTTGCTTCTACCTGCAACTATGGAGATTACATTTAGATTTCATCTTTGGAACAGCTGCCAGTTCCTTCCTTAGAAAATAGCAGAGGCTAGCTTTTGGTGACACACAGCATGAAAGCCACCATGGGGGTAGGCGATAAGTTGGTAACACAGAGGCAAAAGACAATTAGGGACGATTTTCAAAGTGCTTCAGGGCCTGCAGCTGTAAGACTCCCGTGGACTGCACAGCAGTGGTGTGCCTACATTTTTCTTCTTCGCACAGCTCTAAAAACATAAGCAATCAACTCTTGGCTGACTTCAGGAACCCAGTTGCCTATGTATGATTCCTCACAGCACCTGCCAGTATTAACTGCCACTAGGAATGTGCACTGGCATTCTGAAATGGCACAAATCTGGGTGTTTTATTATTTCTTTTTGCTCTTACTGAATTGGAAAATTCACCATGTCTCTAAAAATAAAAAAAATTCCCTGATGAATACTATTAGGTGGATTTAAAAACTTGTTTGATTTTTCAAAGCAGAGTTGAGTCCTTGTATGCTAAAGGCTTGCTCTCTCAGAGAACAAGTCATACATAGTTATCTGTGGGATTACTAACAGAGCTGTGAATGTATGAGAATGATCAAGATAGATGAAAAATGAAAACAATGGGATGCAATAGAAAACAGATGTTGAAAGGAGAAGAAAATGATAAGTTCTAGTTGATGAAACAGAGATGGAGACAGGAAAAGAAAAAGAGAATCCCCTATGAGTTCACAGAGATACAAGCAGTGCCAAGTTCAGAGGGCCCCTGACTGGTGCCATTCTCTATGCCTTAAGGATTAGATAAAGTTCTTTCACTTCAGTGCTCATTTGTTCAGTGTCTTAAAAAAAAAGTGCTCGAGGAATTCAATTCAGTAGGTTCTTAGCACTGTAAGAGGTGTTACAACTATGAGAGGCATGGGAGATTTTTAAATCATGGCCCCTGATCTCAAGAAGATCACACTCTGGATTACAGTTTGTGTTTTATGCATTTATGTATTATTTATTTATGTTAAATTCCTTTCATGCTGCTCTGAGCTCATTCTCAGAGTCAGTATCAGTGGAAGGAGCAAAAGCATCCGTGATAATGGTTCTGTCCTCCAGCGGAATAAACTCCCTGGTGGCTGTCTTTGGACTTGTCTTTATAGATAGAATGCAAAAGGCCAGAATTCAATAATTGCAGTGGTTATGGTATTTACAAAAAATAATTTTTTTGGAAGTTTTTTTTTTTGCCAATTACTTTAAACTGTTTAAATAGATCCCATAATAGCGTGGCACAAAGACTTTGCTCATGTGACCATCCCCCTCCCCCAAGGCCTTTTCAACAGTATTTCCCTTTATTCTCCTATCATAAGCTTCATTCCAGCCAGACAAGGATAACTATGCTCTCCCCACCTTGTACATTTTCCCATTCATGACTTCTATATGAAGAACCTGAAGAGACTTCCTTTGCCTCTAGACTCATCCAAATTTGGTAACATTTACAGCCTGGCTAAGGACCACATCTTTCCTAAAGCCATCTCTGACTTTTCTAGATATTCCTGTGAACTTATCAAATTATTATTATTGCTAAGAATAATTACAAATAACACTAGATAGCAACCACCACCCTGACAATAAGAGTAGCTAATATTTTCTGAGCACTGTTCCTGCTTTGCACACATGGCCATGCTTCACATGTATTATTTATACTACTCAGTCCTCTCAACAGTCCTAGTCCTAAGGTGGGTTCTATTATTATTCTCACTTTTTGAAGAGGGAACCTGAGGCTTACAGAAACTGAGTAACTTTCCCAATGATACCCAGAGTAAGTGATAGGGAATTATTGTCAGTATCATCAGTTTAGCATTTAACTATGAAGTGATTATTTGTGTCTCTTGAGTTGCTATTTATTGTACAGTTATTCAATTATTTTCAGTGTAGTATTTGAGTAAATGGTTTTAGTAAAAGGCAAAACTGAGGTTTCCAATATAATACAAAAGGTACTCTTCTTTCAGCGTTGCAGTGCATGATGAAGAAACTGATTATAGAATCCCTGCTCATATGTTATTGGGTATGTGACCTTGCCTAAAAGTCTCTAAGACTTTGTTTCTCCATGTGTAAAATGGCAGGAATAAAAGTCCCTACCATTCAGGTTGTCGCAAAGATTTAATGAAATAAGTACAATTCCACATAATAAACACTTAATCAATATTATTGTTCTTGTTCTGATTTTTATTATAATATATATTGAGGGCATAGAATAACCAGTCTACAAATACATACATGAACATAGTCTGGATAGATTAATGTTTCTGAATGAATGAATAAATAAATAAATATAAGATTTCCAGTGTTATGATATTGGTTCAAACAATAAACTATGTATAATTTACTTTATATTTTTGACATTACAAATTTTCCAAATAAAAATTTTACTATAAAATTTGATAATCAATTGTGCTATGAGGAATACTCTGATGAATTCAAATTCTTTTGTTTTCCTCAAATGCTTACATATTAGATTTTTCTTGCAAACCTTTTTAAATGACCATCTTAACATTCCACTTCACCTACTTCTTACCTACTATTATTTAGTCTTAGCTAATAATTGTATTCCTGATAGGTGACTCTGCATAGTACTCCTCTGCGTACTCCCTATTCTAGCAATCAACATGCAAACAAAACTTCCTGAAAATTCTTTATGAAGGTAATGAGCCAATCCTGATTTTACCAATTTTCTTCCTAAGTATCACATGCCAAATTAAATATTATCCACCTAGGGTAGTGGCCCCCTTTTTGCAATGCTTGACTATATTACCACTTTATAACTGAGAGTTTCCAAGACTGACAGTATGGTACTGGCCCAACATGTCCCAAAACATTAATTATGGAACAAAGGACAAATATAACAGGCAGATTTTATGTCTACTTCACATTTATATAGCACCCATACATTGAGGTCTTATTTACAAATAAGATCACTGAGTTGGTAGCTTAGTAAATGCAGCCTGTGACATCATTGGGCTTCTGAAGAGACCGAATAATCAGACTAACTGAAGGGAATTAGAGAAAACACTGCTAACTGATTTCAATGATACACTATGTGAAGTAATCTTACATGAAACACATATGCATGTATGGTATCATATTAGGGACAAGAGAAAGGCAGTTAATGTTAATACACACCAGTTAAGTGCTGGAAATTTCACATTCTTTGGTTGATTTCCATAGGTGCCTTGTAAAGTAAGTAGTGCTATCCTCATTTCAGAGAAATTACATAATTTGCCTACAATCACAAAACTAAAAATTAATAAGACAGGATTTGTATTTCAAGGTATTTTCAATTTGCTATTTCATGCCATTTCTCAAAGTAAAGAGAACATTATTTAAAATATTTGCAGAGGAAAATGGTGACATGGAATTGGTTTATTCTGCAGGACTGAAAATAAAACTTCCCAGACCTATCTATCTAAAGAGTTTAAGAAGAAAGTTCAGTTTATATTTGAATTCATGCTCTTTATATTTTTTTCAGTAGAACTGTAGTTGACATTTTTCTATCCATATTCTGAGAAGGCAGATCTGTTTCCTGGAGTGCTATCCATTTGGCGCAAGTACCTTTAGTTGTAGTTGCCCTTTGTGTTATTAGTCTGTTGTTGTTGTTGTTGTTGTTGTTTTAGATGGAAGCTCACTCTGTCACCCAGGCTGGAGTACAATGGCATGATCTCAGCTCACTGCCACCTCCGCCTCCAGTGTTCAAGCGATTCTTCTGCCTCAGCCTCCCAAGTAGCTGGGATTACAGGTGCCCACCACCATGTCCAGCTAATTTTTGTATTTTTAGTAGCCATGGGGTTTCACCATGTTAGCCAGACTGGCCTCGAGCTCCTGACCTCAAGTGATCTGCCCACCTTGGCCTCCCAAAGTGCTGGGATTATGGGCATAAGCCACTGCACCTGGCCAGTCTGTTTTCCCTATTGTTTTATTTCAGTTTTGTGAGATAGGTGTGGTCATTCTGAAGCTGAAATATCATTTCTGAAGCTCAATCTTCAATTGATGGATTACAGATTCTAAGATCTTACTCAACTTCCATATTTATTGTTTTAGTTTTGGTGATATATGAGAAAAAGTACAGTTCATCAGCTGACCATAAGATGTTGCATGCACAGGCTTCCTCATCATGATGTTCTTAGGATGCCGGCCCAGGAGTATATGCCTTAAAAGGTATCCACTAAATATCTGATGAATTTCAGCACCTCTAAGTATCTTCATTTATTAGTAGGCAATCAGTATATGTTAACAATTATTAGATATAATTTGTTGAAATAAATGTATTGAGATTTTTGTTGCTGGCTCTGATGGAGTAGTGTATATCAGATTAACCTCATTGAGTACAACTATGTAAACTGGAGAAAAATGTTTTTACACACACTTACACAATAACAAAAATAGGAGCATGAACAAAACCAATAACACAAGAACAAGAACAATAACAAAATGAGTTGAAAGGCATCAGAGAGTATTCAAAACAGCCAGTAGTTGAAGGGCCAAGATCCTGGAGAGAAGCAAAACCCATTTATTGGGGAGCCCTATATTCAGCGTTGTTTTTTCTTCTGAGGGACTTTCTAGTTTACAGTGAGATGCCTAGAAGCTGAACAGAAAATTGCAGCCTGGGATTTGCAGGAATCTGACAGGGTTGGGGAGACAAACAACAGAGTTCAAGTCCTCCAAGGCAGCCAAGACTTGAGGGGCCACGATTCCAAAGAAAAAGGAAATGACAGCATGTTCCACTTCTGAAGCTGCCTGTGCATGAGAGGAAAGGCTATGGGGACTAAGCAGAAAGCAGCTGCTCAGAAGCTAAGAAGCTCAGTAATGAATTCAAGAGTCTCATAGTATTGGGGAATGAAAAAATGGAGTTCAGAGACAAGGAGGGGAGGTTTCTACAAAACACAATAGGCTTTCACTGGAGTCCTGGGTCCCCTCAACAAATTTCCACTTTGTCTCAAGAGAGAGAAAACTATAAATAGATTGGTTAACCTTCACATGGCCTGAAACCCATTTCCTTCCCTTCCTCCCTCCCTCCCTCCTTCCCTTTCTTTCTTTTGACAGAGTTGCTCTGTTGCCGAGGCTGGAGTGCAGTGGTGTGATCTTGGCTCACTGCAACCTCCGCTTCCTGGGTTCAAGAAATTCTCCTGCCTCAGCCTTCTGAGTAGCTGCAATTACAGGCGTGTGCCACCACACCCAGCTAATTTTTGTATTTTTGGTAGAGATGGGGTTTCACCATGTTGGCCAAGCTGGTCTCGAACTCCTGACCTCAGGTGATCCACCCACCTCAGCTTCCCAAAGTGCTGGGATTACAGGCTTGACCCACTGCACCCAGCCATCTTTCTGTGTGGTTGTGTGTTTTTGAGACGAAGTCTCTCACTGTTGCCTAGGCTGGAGTGCAGTGGTGCAATCTCAGCTCACTGCAACCTCTGCCTCCCAAGTTCAAGTGATTCTCCTGCCTCAGCCTCTCAAGTAGCTGGGATTACAGCCTCCTGCCACCATGCTCAGCTAATTTTTTTGTATTTTTAGTAGAGATGGGGTTTCACTATGTCGGCCAGGCTGGTCTCAAACTCCTGACCACATGATCTGCCTGCCTTGGCTTCCCAAAGTGCTGGGATTACAGGCGTGAGCCACTGCACCTGGCATTTTTTTTCTCTTTTTTTGAGATGCAGTCTCGCTCTGTTGCCCAGGCTGGAGTAAAGTGACGTGATCTCGGCTCACTGCAACCTCTGCCTCCCGGGTTCAAGCAATTCTCCTGCCTCAGCCTCCTGAGTAGCTGGGACTAAAGGCACATGCCAGCATGCCTAGTTAATTTTTATATTTCTAGTAGAGATGGGGTTTCACCATGTTGGCCAGGTTGGTCTCGAGTTCCTGACCTCAGGGAATCCACCCACCTCGGCCTCCCAAAGTGCTGGGATTATAGGCATGAGCCACTGCACCCAGCCTATTTCTTTTTCTAATCATACAATATGCTAGGATTTATTAGGAATATATACAGAATATACTGAGGGACTATAATTATGGAACAACTGACTCTCTTAGAGGAGGTAAAGGAAGGCCTCAATGGGAAGGTAATCTTTGAGCTGTGGACACCCATTTTCTACTGGATCAAGGTGGTCTGCCTATATTCAATTTGCCTTCCAAAAGAAATTAAATTCTCTTAAGAGGGAAAAATTTGAACTTATCCTGAGATTGCACACTGACTGCCATCCATGGAAATTTCGCCTGCAACAGCTTTTGCTTGGCCTGCACAGTGTTTGCTTTTTTCATTTGCATTTGAGTGCTTTTAGGAGGAGTGTGAGTTCTCCAGTTCTTTTGCAGTCCCCACTGATCCCTATAGTCTCACAATAAGCATATTTCAGCCATAGAAGTTACCTGCTTGAGCCTAAAGGCATTTGGTACATATCTGAAAGCAGGTGAATGACATACAACAGATCTATACTGCAAACCAAGGAATGTGATGGTAGTTACAGAGGAGCTACAGGATCTGCACGAAGGAAATACCTGTGGGTGAATGCGAACATTCATGGGGAGAGCCTATGCCATAGGAGAAGAGTCAAAGACTAGGTTTACAGTCTCAGCTCTTTGGCCTCTCAGTTTTCTTTATATATATCCTGAGATAAACACTTCTTTTTGCTCATTTATTCATCTATAATGATTTGCATTTGTAAAATATTGCATAGTTTACAGATTTTATTTATACACATATATTTTTACACAATCCTTAGGACAAAATTTAGAGGCAAAATCAGCACCTCTGAAAAGCGGATAACTCACGTTGCTTGGTAAAATAGAGGTTGCTTGACACTTAACTGCATGCACCTTCTACTAAATCTGATGGCTGAACGTTACAAAATGTTGGTGTAAAATATTCATATAAAGTTTTTTTTTAAAAAATGTATTCTCCCCACCCCAACATTTGAGTAATATGAGAGAGAAGAATAAAGTTTTAGATCCTGGAAAAAATTATCAGTTAACATGAAGACAAAGAATCTGAATGACCAGGTAAAAACGAGTCCCAAATGTCATTTGCTTTGCTCTCCCAAACTCTCTTAAAGAGGACGTACGCATCTTGTTTAGTTTAAATCTTGTAGGTTTGCTCTTTCAAGTATTGGAGTGTGCTAGATCTTTTTGCAGGCAAAGTAAAGGCTCACAGAGCCCAGGAAAAGCATGTTATTAACACATTGTTTAAGATGCAATAAATGTGATCATAGAATGCTCAGAAAATGGAAAAATCACAGGAAAAAAACCTAAAAGATTAAAAGATAGCACGAATTAGAGCAGAAGAAATGGAGGCACCTGTTTGGAAGGAGGGAGCCAGGTATGAAAAGGTATAGTCTGTTCAAGCCCCTCATTACTAAAACTATATTTGTGGAAGATGTTTACTGGCAGATCAGACCTTGACACTTTTATTTAGAGAATCCAGATGAAACAAAAGTGAAAATCCTGCAGTCTATCTAAAGAACTATGCCTGGTCAATCAACAGGCTAATGAGCAGGCAATGTCAGACACTGTCACTCATTGTGAAATGGAGTTAGCTTGTTGCTCAAAAACACAGAGGTGTTTCACCAGCCCAGATGCTACTGAACACGGGGCAGAGAGGCATAACCTGATTAAGAAAATTTAAGTACACCTCCTTGTCTCAGCTTCTATATATTTATTTGTGAAGTTATAGAAACCTTTGGGGATGTTTTGAAAGGTGCATGAGGCATTCATTAGTCTCTCTGAATTCTCACTCTAGAAAACAAATGTAGTGATTTTTTTTTCACTGAATTTGACATGGCTCTGGGACAAATCAATGATAGAGTCCCAGCCTCCCTTGGCTTCTACATGTTTATTCCAGGGTTTTCTGGGAAGACTGCTTTTCCGCTCTTCATGAATAGTTCATGTGCTAGTCTCCAATGGAAACAAAGTGACATTTCTTATTACTGTTGGCTGTTGGAAAGCAACTGCAAAGGGAGTGCCTTGAAACAATTAGTCCTCTGTAACTGATTATTTAACAATGTGTATTTCCCAAGAGCTGTTTATCCTCAAAAGGAAGCAGCCAAGACTAAATATGTACTGTATCTAAGCAGACACCTGCACTGAACCCTTCTGGATACTAAGTGGGAATTGAAGGGGGATTATTAATTTGATCCAATATTCCATTTGGGATGGAATCTATATTTTCTATGAGCAAAGAAATACGTTCCATTTCTTACGATACCTCAAAAACTATTTTCATTTGGGAAAATCTCTTCATAAAAGATGGCTTTAATTTTAAAACTGAAATTCAACATATAGCAACGAGAGACACATAGAAAACAAGAAAAGAAAGGGTAAAAGGCAGGGTGGGGTGGAGAGTAAGAGAGCGAGTGAGAGAGAGAGAACTGTTTGTTATTTTAAATAAGAGAAATGTTTTATGTGTTTAAGACACTCTAGTGACCACCAAAGGACAATTTTTAAAAAACAGGTGGAAGAAACTGTTGCTATCTTTCAATCACTTATTTCCCAACCATTTAGCAGCTTAAGACATGGGGATAGGAATGAAAATGATTTTAACCAACTGGCTCTTTAAGTCTGAAGATGGACTATATATTTTTAGCTACAAATTCCATGTTGTAACTCCCCTCTCTGAAATAGGGAATGATTCAAAACGTGCCAGGGAACATCTCGAGACCAGATGCTTGTACAAACGAACATGTACAAGTCAGTCACAGAGAAACAGTCAAACAGTACTCTGGAGAATGCAGTCTCATAACTGACATACTGAGAAGTGTCATATCCCAACACTGTGCAAAGCTCTGCTCACTTGCCAGGTTAAGCATTCCAAGAAGAATGCGTTTCAGATTTTGGAAAGCTTCTATGCATATGAACCTTCTCCACAAACGTATTTTCTAGCATCTCCAAGCAGCTCATGTCTATTACTGCTGGCTACTCTCATTATCTTACATGGGATTCTCTCTACATGTGAGAAAATTGTCAGTAAAATTCTAACACAGTAAGTGTGAGAGAACTCCTAGAAGAAAACCTGAAATAAATGCTGTATTTCAGCCTGAATCTGACTGGTTCAGGTTAAAAAGAATATTTCAGCACATAATTAGAGCTAGGAGTGATATGCAAAATATTTAATAATGAGTGTGGCATAAGCATTGCCCAATCAGAATGGCTGCAGGTCTAGCGCTGCACTAGCATCCTGGAGGATCCCTGTCAGGAAGCCTAGAGATGCTTCTAACCTCAGTGGATGGAAGCCTGGAACACCTGCAAGGTTTGGACAGTAGCTATTTTCAATATTTTAACTGATAGGGTTCTGCCAGGGCCTACCAGCTGAGTATAAACCCCAGGTGATTATTACCAATAAATGATGATATAAATTTGGATATACCTTGGCCTGAATAGTTTAAGAAACTTATGACCTATAAGTATTAGCATGAATCCCCTTAGAAATGACAAACTCAACTCAATTTTTTTAAAATAGAGGTTATTGGATTAATGGAACGGGAAAATAAAAAATATTAAACATAGTTTCTTATGAATTTCTTGTGGACAATATAGAGACATTTGGTTATATGATAGATCACAAGTACTATTCTAATAAACTGAAATCACACTGATAAAGTTTCCTAGTTTTGTGACAGAAGCTGTCATTGGCCTTGTTCAAACTTATATCAATGAACAAGCAAATTTAGAAAGTAAGTATAGTGGACGTCTGTTACTTTGGCCTGCCAAGCACTGTTGCCCCCTTCTGTTGGTCAGAGAATCCTTTCTTCTGGCAGGAATTCCACTCCATGTGGTTTTTTATGAAACCAACTTGACTCTTTCCATTATTGGATGCTGTTCATGACCCAGGCCTGGCCAGAGTATCTGTTACCCTGTGATTTGTTCCTGCATGGGATGTGACCCAGGATGGTACCATCTGGTCTTCCATAGGATTTTGTTATCTAGGAATAAGCTTTTTCCTGCTGGGGCTGGAAAGCTGGCAGGAGGTGAGTCTTGCACCGTGGCAGCCACCATGATCAATGCACTTGGAAAGCCCATTCAGTGTTAAGGAAACATAGAACCCCAAGGCCTTTGGAATCTGGGCTCAGTAGGCATGTAAGTACAAAAGTACTTTTCTTCTCTCTTGAAGTCAGAGTCCCTCTTTTGACATAAAATAAAGCACAGTGAAAATCAGGATTTGTTAACCTCACATCATGGGGAAGTGGCAAAAACACAATTATCATGATCATGCTCACATGTTATATAGTAGCTACTGGAATTAGGAAACAATTCTGATTGAATAAACTGAAAGGGCATTTTCACCTTCATTCTCTATGTTCTGCTCACTCTTGATATCCAACAGTTTAATTTTTTAAACTATCAAGAAAATGTAAATAATAAGGATAGACCAATAAGAATTTGAGTAAAAGTTCAGTTCTTGGGCGAGAAGAAGTCCTTATCGTTTAAAGAAGAGTATTCAACAATAAAAATTAACAGTAAACATTTAGAATGATGATTTTTAAACCTTACATTTGCATTTGTATCCATAATGCTTTGCAAAATATTACACATACATTTTCCTAAATGTGCAAATGTATTGTAAGTTTGGTAGTTCACCTTTGAAATTTTAGGAAGTGATAAATTTTAGGTAAATATTTTAGATAATATTTTAAGTGATCAAGATTTTCTTACTTAAAGTGCATCAGACACTAAATATCAAAAAATCAGGCTACACATAGTGGCTCATGCCTATAATCCCAGCACTTTGGGAGGCTGAGGTGGGAGGATCACTCGAGGCCAGGAGTTCAAGACCAGTCCAGGCAACATAGTGAAACCTTGTCTCTACAAAAAAATAAAAATAAAAAAATAGCCAGGCATGGTGGTATGTGCCTGTAGTTCAGCTACTTGTGGGGATGAGGCAGGATTGCTTGAGCCCAGGAGTTCAAGGCTGCAATGAGCTATGATCACGTCGTTGCCCTCCAGCTTGGGAGAAACAACGAGACCCTGTCTCAAAGGAAAAAAAAGACTGTAGAGAAAGAGGACAGAGGTGGCTAGAGATCCTGAGATCTCAGATTCTAGAATGTGTGTTTAAAAATATTTTTTAAAAAACTTAAAATGATCAGAATACTATACAAATACCATCCCTTTCAATCATAGTTTTAGAGCACCTATGACATCATAATAATCTAGATAAAAAGTAAGTCAGTAATCTCCTCTGAGCAAAATGTAGTAAGCAAGTATAAGATACATAATATGCTTTTATGGTCACAGGTGTTGATAAAATCAGTAGAGAAATATGAAAGCCATTCGGGGGGTAAAAAAACAAACAAGTGTTTATGGAACATACTTAAAAAATCTTACTGTTAATACTATGTAGCCATATTCCATGGAAATGCCTAAACTGAATACCTCAAGCGATTTTTAAGTTAAATGAACCAAAATAAACTCCAGAGAAAGGATATTTTCCAAGTGTTTCTTAATAGGCATTACTTTTAGGACTGATTCACTAAGCATCTGGTACCAGGAATGTGCCAGTGCGCCAGGTAACAACCAACAGTAGTACAAATAATCATTGCTGCTTCAGTAATGTCACCTGGATTGAATTAAGCTCATTAAACATGAGTTTAAAATATTTTTAGTTTTTACTTATTCTTAGCTTCTAATAAGTTCTTCAAAGAAAGAGACCAAAATTTTTTCTTATATGTACCAGTGACATATACTATTATGTGTCACAGTCCTCCTTTCTTTACAAACCTCCATAAGAGCTCAATAAACTTTTCCTGTTTATGTGATTTGATAGGTTACCCAGGCTATCATTATAATCCTAAGGCTTATATTTATTTAATTACTGCTGACTGGCTCAATTACAGATTTAAGTTGTCTAATCTCCATTGGATCCCACTGATTTCTCTCTAAGCAATCCATTTCTTGATGATCTTTCAACATAGTTTAAGTTATTTCTGTTCTGTCTAGAAACTGCTCCATACCTTTTTAAAATTTTTATCTCATGCTTTGAACCCATTCCTCTCAACAAATGACCTTGCCTCTTGCCTTTAAGAGAAAAGAGAGGGCATTACATGCAAATGCCAACATTCCACACTTTCAGCTCCAGAGTAGTTTTTCATGTTCACCAATCATTTTTTCTTTCCCCAGCCTCAGAGAAAAACAAAAACAAAAACAAAAACAAAAACAAAAACAAAACAAAACGAAACATTCCTACTCCTCCCTCAGAGAAGCCCTCTATCTCTTCTGTTCTTCCTGCCTCGTCCATGATCTTGCCATGGCAACAAATCTTTCCTCCAGATGTCAATTTCTCCTTTGTTGGTTCTTGTCACGAGAAAACAAAACCAAAAAATCTCCTTTGAACCAACCAACCTCCCTTCCTAAGCTATTTCTTTCTCTCTTTGCAGTCTCTATTTCACTTTTTTTTCTCAAACTGTAGTTCCCAGACCAGCCGAATCAGTACCACCTGGAAACTTATTAGAAATGCAAATGATCAGATTCCACCCAGACCTACTGTATCAGAAACTCTGGGTGTGGGGCCTATCATCTGTGTTTTAACAAGCTCCCCATGGAATTCTGCTACACATAACGGTTTGGGAACCACAGCTGTAGACCGCATTGCTCCTCAGTTCTCATCCTATTTAACTTCTCTGCTACACTAGCCAGAGTTAGGCATTGCGTCCTCTTGAGCTTTCTTTTCTACCCGCAACTGCAAACCCTATCCAGGTTCTCTTCCTAGCTCTCTGATCACTCATTAACAATTTCTTTCATTAGCCTTATCTCTGTACCCAGTTGCTAAAACATTGGTATACAGTATTTAGCAACGTCTCCTAAATTTCACCAACTTCACTGCTTATTCCCTAGACCTTGCTATTTATGTGATCTCCATTTGGACTAAAGATGTCAGTGCCCAGCCATTCATTCAAACCAGGAATTTCTAAGTGATGTTCCTCTGTCACACTTTACCTTCCTATATTTAATTGGTTAACCAAATTTCATTAATAGTTATCTCATGCTCCTCATGGGTCAGAAGAATTAATATTGTTAAAAGAACCATACTAGCCAAAGCAATCTACAGAGTTGATGCAATTCCTATCAAAATACCAATGACATTCTTCTCAGAAATAGAAATATAAAATAAAATCTTAAAATTTGTGTGGAATCACAAAAGACCTCAAATAACTAAAGCAATCCTAAGCAAAAGAACAAAGCTGAAGGCATTGTACTATCAGAATTCAAAATATACTACAAAGCTATAGTAACCAAAACAGCATGGTATTGGCATAAACAAAGACACATGGACCAATGGAACAGAATAGAGAAGCACAAAATTAATCCACATTATCTACAGCCAACTGATTTTTGACAGAAGGCAGCTAGAACATTAATTGGGGAAAGGAAAGTCTCTTCAATAAAGGTCGCTAGGAAACCTGGATGTCCACATGCAAAAGAAAAAATCTAGACCCCCAACTCTCACCCTATACAAAAACCAACTCAAAATGGATCAAAGACCTAAATGTAAGACCCAAAACTATAAAATTACTGGAAGAAAACAAGGTGAAATGCTTCACTTTATAATTTTATAAATAGATTCATATTTATAAAAGGTTTATAAATATAAAAGGATATTAAATATAAATAAAAGATTTTACAGGCTATTAAATATAAATAAAAGGTTTATAAATATAATAAGAATCTATTTATAAAATTATAAAAATCTAAAGATTCTTATTTATAAAATCTTTCCCTAGACCAATGTTCTAAAGCATTTATAAAATGCTTATTTCATAAACAAATGGGATTATGTCAAACTAAAAAGCCTCTGCACAGCAGGAAACAATTAACAAAGTAAAAAACACAACCTAGAAGATGAGAGAAAATATCTGTAAACTATTCATCTGACAGATAATTAATATGCAGAACATACAAGGAACTCAAACATTTCAACAGCAAAAGCAATCTGAATAAAACAGGCAAATGATCTGAACAGTTATACAAATGACCAACAAATATATGAACAAATGCTCAGCATCACTAATCATCAGGGAAATGCAAAACAAAACCACAGTGAATTATCATCTCACCCCAGTTAGGATGACTATCATCAAAAAGACAAAAAATAAATGCTAGTGATGATGCGGAGAAAACAGAACTCTTCTACACCGCTGGTGGGAATATAAACTAGTACAACCACTATGGAGAACAGTATGGAGGTTCGTAAAAAAAATTGCCAATAGAACTACATATGATCCAGCCATCCCACTACTGAGCATTTATCCTAAGGAAAGAAAATCAGTGTATTGAAGAGACATCTGCACACCCATGTTTGTTGCTGCACTATTTGCAATAGCCAAGATGTGGAATCAACCTAGGTGTCCAACAACCAATGAATGGACAGGGAAAATGGTAAATTCACACAATGGAATACTATTCAGCCATAAAAAAGAATGACAGCTGGGTGCGGTGGCTCATGCCTATAATCCCAGCACTTTGGGAGGCCAAGATGAGTGGATTGCTTGAGTTCAGGAGTTCAAGAGCAGCCTGGGAAACATGGCGAAACCCTGTCTCTACAAAACAAACAAACAAACAAACAAAATTAGCCAGGCATGGTGGCATGTGCCTGTAGTCCCAGCTACGTGGGAGGCTAAGGTGGGAGGATCACTTGAGCCTGAAGTGGAGGTTGCAGTGAGCTGAGTTCGCGCCACTGCATTCCAGCCTGGGTGACAGAGTGAGACTCTGTCTCAAAAAAAAAAAAAAAAAGAAAAGAAAAGAAAGAAAAGAAAAGGTTGGTGCAAATGTAACTGCAGTTTTTGCCATTACTTTTAATGACAAAAATCACAATTATTTTTGCATCAACCCAATATTATTTATGGCAACATAGATGGAACTGGAGGACATTATGGTAAGTGAAATAACCCAAGAACAGAAAGTTAGACATTGCATGCTCTCACTCATGTGTGGAAGCTAAAAAATGTTGATCTCATAGAAGTAAAAAGTAGAACAGAGGGTACTAGAAGCTGGGAAGGGTAGGGGGAAAAAGGGGATAGGGAGAGATTTGTTAAAAGATATAAAATTACAGCTAGATAGAAGAAGTAAGTTCTTGTGTTCTATAGCACTACAGGATGACTATAGTTAACAATATTTTATAGTTTCAAAGTGCTAGAAGGAGGATATTGAAACTTCCCAACACAAAGTAATGATGAATGTTTGAGATGATAGATATGCTAATTCTTTTAATCTGATCACTACATGTTATATGTATCAATACGTCACTATGTACCCATAAATATACAATTATTATGTGTCAATTAAACAATAAAATGAAAAGTGTTTATCTCTGTAACAACTGTCAAACCTGTCACCTACTTTTTATTCCCAGGCACACTGCCAGAACATCTACAGTCTGAAATATAACAATAACCTACCTACTTAGAGCTGCTCTTTTTTTCAATATCCTCTCCTAAACATTTCCAGTTATCTTTCCAGTACAAACATGTCATCCCATTCAAAATGAAAAAAAAATTAATTGACAAAATTAAAAAAATTAGAACAATACAAAGAAAAATCACAACTTCGATGGCTTCCCCTTGCTTAAAGATTGAAGCTCAGCATCCCAAGCATGGAAAGCCGGCGTTTAAACCAATCTACCCTTTCTGTCTCCTCTCCTACAACTTCTTCTCTAATTGCAAGACCTTTCTTTTTCCTTCTCAACACGTTGCTTAATCTAGGCGAGATTAGTCATTTTCCCTTCTTGCAGCCTTGGCTAACAGTTTTCTCTGCCTGAAATTCCCATCTCTAACCATACACTCATTTATTATTTAATAAGCATTAAATGTGTCATAATCTCAGGGGCAAGTAAAATGAATGAAGTATATCAGGTCTGCTCAGGGCTTGGAAATTGCTGCCATGCAAATACTGCCTTCAAAAAAAGCCAGCAATTCAGGTTTTTAATGTGAAAATTCTCAATTTTAAAAGTTTGAAGCAACTATTTGAAAATCTAAAACAATCTTTCATATAACACTGTGTGTCTGCCAAGCAAAACACACCTGCAGGCTGTCAGTTTGGACCTTGTTCTTAGTTCCACTAGGCCCTAGGGATCTAAAGGTGACCAAGACTGAGCCTCTGCCCTGATGGCTCTGCCCTGATGGTCAACAGGCCCCTACTCACTCTCAAAATGCTCTCTTTACATGGCACCTGCCATACTAGATTCTTAGAGCTGATTGTTCACTCTTTGAATCATCAGATCCCAGAGAGGCCGGACTGTCTTCTTTACCACCTGGCAATAGTAAGTGCTCACCTGTAACTATAACCACAGACAGTTGTCTATATAGAAACTTGTAGCAACTTGGTTCTAAACTTTTAATTGTTTTGTATTTTCCCCTTCCTAAGTTGATAATGTCCTTGATTAGGCACCATCATGTAAGCTATGATCTAACTGAAGAGTTTGTCTGCTCAGGTGCAAACCTAAAAAATGACTGGAGTCACATTTCAATTGTATGCTACAATTCTGAAGGTGTGTATATGTCTGTGTGTTTGCCACACATGATCCTTGCAAGATGGTAGCCAAAAGAAGGACTATTTAGAGATAATTTAATAAATTTAAGAAATTCTTTTAGTCTAGGACAGATCGTTTCACTTTGGAAAACAAGGAAAATGTGTTCATTTGTTCCATTTGTTAATATCAGGGTGCAACATTTTTCCATTTAACAAAAGTACTAAAAATCTCAGCTTTCATTTTTGCTGCAGTTATATAATTTCTAGTTATCCAAGCATGCTTATAAAACTAATTTAAGCTGGGCACTGCTGGACTTAGGGGATGTCAGTCATGTTTTAGTGAACCAAACACTCTCATTTCACTAAGCATCACACTTAAGAGGGGACTGCTTGAACATCACTATTTCACTCCTCAATTGATCTAATTTCTAGACCCAGCCACAATCCAAATATGTGCATTGATCTTACATGACTGCCATTTGCAAAGTTGATAAACATCAATCCTACTGAAAAAGAAATATGTTTGTGTAGTTACTTCGATGTTCAAAATGAAGGAGAATAAATATTTTGTCTTCCCTAATTGTATAATGAGCAAGTTAGAATCCCAGTCATATTTCAAATGTTAAGGATTTAGGTTCCTATCATTTTATTTTACAACTCTATATGATGTTATTATGTACACAAATTCACCTGTGTGTGGATGCTTGACTCTTTAATATTGAAATTCTATGCCTTGTGTTCATTAAGATAAATGTATGTTGTCACTAACCAAATTGTAAGGCTTACCTGCAGACTGTTGAAAATGACAAAGAGAACCAACATCCAGAAGTGTCTGTAGGCCATGTGTAGTCCTCCCCAAAGCCATGTCACGGAAATCAGAGCAAAGAGATATAAAATCAGTGGAATTTCTAGAAATAAAAAAAAAAGAATTTTTGAGCTTCAGAATACTGCACAGTCACATGTATACACAGTTATTTTTGGCTTCTTTCTGTGGTATTCTAGTGCCCATTTTGAGAGAACAACCTTGGAAATCCCATTCTTATGCCAGAGGGGAGAAGGCACATTGCTGAGTCCACATTCTGTTTTGCAAATGGGGCTGCTGGTAGGCCCAGGGATGGCTGGGGGAGGATGAGAACTGTTCCTCTCCTAGACTACCACCTGCTGGACTGTTCAGTAAGTACCACAAAGCAACAATGGATTTGTAGAAATCTCCTTAAAAGACTGTTCCACCAGAAAATGGCAGGCAGTAGTGTGCTCCCGAAATTAGCATATTCCAACCAGGCACTTAAGAACAGAAATTATATAACATCGTGCGTGTGTGCGTGTGTGTGTGTGTGCATGCGCACGTGTGTGTGTGTTGGAAAAACCTGTACTCACATCTTTTTTCTGACTGAGAAGACACCAAAATTTATTGGTAAGTTTAAGAGCAAAGATGAAGTGACTGATTCATAATGATCAACTAAACTTATTCTACACATGTTCTAATGCAGTTTGTTTCAGACGTTTTCAGAATAGATTTTCTCAGGGCCAAGGGACTTTATTACCCTTTCCACTTGTCTATTTTGAGTTTTCTTTGCTATCTGAGTTTTAGAATAATAACCATATAGAGGCGATCTTAATATTTAAGTGACAAGTTATATAAGATTTAGAAAGTGAATCGGATCTTTGCAGCCACAAATAAACACATTTTCAAGCTGTTGAAAGACATCAGGGTAGACCACACCACTGACAACTTTCATGACAGACCTCAAAGCCCTTCTTTACCCACTATCATCAATTAACACCTAAAATCCTCGTCCACTATGGAAATTTAAACAGTTGCTTACAACTTTAGCAATTTTCAAATTTAATTTTACTTGGAAACAATCTCAAACATACAGAAGACGTGCAAGTAGAGTACAATGAGAAAGTTTTTTTTTCCCTGAATTAATTGAAAATTGTGAATCTGATCCCCCATTACCCTCTGAATAATGTGTATTTTCTACAAAGACATTTTCCTACATAAACATGATGCCATCAAATTAGGAAATTAACACTGATATAGTACTATCATTCTCAGATTCCATTTTATTATACCAGTAATTTCCTTTTTAGCAGAGAGATCCAGAGATCCAGTCGTGTATAGTTGACACGTCTTCGTAGATTCTTAATCCCAAATGGGTCTTCTGTGTGTCCTTGACTTTTGTAACCCTGACACTTTTGATGATTACCAGCCAGTTTTTCTTGCAGTGTCCTTAAATTTGAGTTTATTTGATTTTTCTCGTGATTAGATTTAGATTATAAGCCGTTAGAAATCACAGAAGGGATGCTGAGTTCATCTTACAGCATTCTATAAGGTGACGCAAGAACTCAATTTTTCCCGTTACTGAAGATGTTCATTTTGGTCACTTGATTAAGATGATGGCTGCACAAATTCTTCACTGTAAAGTTAGCATTTTCCCCTGTGTAATTAAGAAGTTTTATATGTGGCATTTCTTTGAAACTATGTAAATATCTTTTTCCTTATCAAATGTTTGATTTATCCACTTATTTATCTTCTAATGTAGACTAATATATTCCTGCTTATTTAGCATATTATCCATTATTCTTTCTTTTCCCCTTCCTTCCTTCCTTCCATCCTTCCTTCCTCCCTCCCTGCTTCCTTCTTTCCTTTTTTGTTTTCTTTCTCTTTTCTTTTTCCTCTCCTTTTCTTTCACATAGGGTCATACAAAGTCTTTCTCCATTGCCCAGACTGGAGTGTGGTGGTGTTGTCACAGCTCACTGCAGGCTTGACCTCCTGGGCTCAAGCCATCCTGCCACCTCTCAGCCTCCCAAGTAGCTGAAACTATAGGCGCATGCCACCACGCCCACTTAATTTTTGTACTTTTTGTATAGATGGGGTTTCGCCATGTTGCCCCGGCTGGTCTTGAACTTCCGGGCTCAAGCGATCCGCATGCCTTGGCCTCCCAAAGTGCTGGGATTACTGGTATAAGCCATGGTACCCGGCCACTATCATTGTTTATTTCGATGCCAAGTTGTCCCTAGCAGGAGCCCTTTCAAGATGGTTTCTGTGACTTTGGTTATATCCTCATCATTCTACTAGCAGTTGTTTGCTTTTTGGCCCAAGATGTTTCAAATATTCTCTGCCCCAGTCCTGGTTTCTTTTAGGGGAGAATGGTATTTAGAAACTGTGATCTGGGGCTAGGTATGGTCACTGCTGTTGCTGCTCCTAAGCTCTCTTAGTAGATAGAGGATACACATGCATATGCACACACAAACACATTTAGATCTGTTTTACTCTATCTATCTCTATATATTGAAATTCATTAGTTCATTTCAATGCTTCTAATTCCAACCCAACATCACGGGGTTAATTCCAGTTTTCTCCCTTTCCATATTTGTAACTTTTCTGTGTTGGTAAGAGATCTACTTCTCATTATTCTTGAACTCCTGGACTCAGGTGATCTGCCCACCTCGGCCTCTCGAAATGCTGGGATTACAGGCGTGAGCCACCGCACCCCGCTATTGCTTATTATTCTTAATATATCTACTGATTCGATCCACTCCCCTGCATGTAACCAACTTCCTATTGCTGTTACCCATTCCCTCGCTCAGGTGGCCTCCCAAACTCACTCAGTGTCCCACAATTCCAGCTGGGCAGCACTGCACCCCTCACATGGATTCCTTCCTCACAACGATTGGCTTCTGACACCGAGGCTTGGGCCCCTTCCTGCAGATGCACACCTTGCTCTGTACTACCTGGTGGCTGTAGATGGAATTGTTCGGGAAAGGGAGGAAAAAGAAAGAACAAGGAGAGGAGGCAAAGAGGGAGAAAGGAAGTGGTGAGGAGAAAGGGAACCCGAACACTTTTTTTTTTTTTGAGAGAGAAATAAGGCTTTAGAAGGGACCGTGCTGATATATGCCCTTCATCACAATATATACAAATTGTCAAAATTATTATTATAACTGTACAGGGAAAGTAAGACTAATACAAGAAGATTTACGTAGATGAATAATTTCTTTGTCACTAATGCTTTGCAGCAGGACAAGAAAATATACATTAAGATTTATTTAATTTTTAGAAAAATTCATTTTTATTTAATGAAATAATATAATTTGCTAAAGGGCCAGAAGGCTCATTTTTACTTCTGACAAGATACCCTAATATTTAGAAAACCCCTAAGCTGTGCTCACAAAATTTTCAAAGATTAGGTATCAAGTCTGGCAACTGCATTCTTTTCTTCCACTGTGTAAGAACAAAATTCTATTTATGGCTCTGGGCGGAGTACAAAGGGACATGCACATTTTGTATGAACAACTAGGAACCAATTTTCAAAGTTTGGCCTGCATGTTCATCTAAGTGCTTAGAGCAAAGCGAGTGGTATGTGCTGACAGAGCTTAGTGGAGAAGCTAAGGGAGCATACTGGGGCTCATGAGAATGTCCATGGCTTATATTTTCCTGGAATTCTGCAGAAAAGTATAGTAGTTTGGCACCCCAGACTAGAAACTCCGTAAGGAAAAAGCTAGTCATAAATAACTCAGCATACTTAATAGATCCCAGGCTTGCCTTCCAGAAGTACAACAATGATTAGGATGATGATTTCAGATAGAAGAAACATATCCAGAGGCATATCCAGATTTTGTGGGCCTGAAGCTTATATTAGGGAGGCTTCTTTAAAAAACAAAAGTTACAAAACCGTAATTAGGTGCAGGATCTTGGAAGGGGCCAAGGCTGGTGAAAGGACCTGAAACTTAAGCTACGTTAGCTTTATGGTTAATCTGCCTCTGAGGAGGCACCTTTAACCCTCTTTAGGGCCTAAGTCAAAAGGAAAGAGGTATTGGGAGGGGGTGATGGTGATGAAAGTTGGTTGGGGGGCATGTTGTTGTTAAACAGTGACTATAAATTCCATTTGGCAAACTGAAAAACAGTGCTCCATTCAATTGAAAATCACTTTGGTTTTATATTTCCTAAGCTGTTATTTCGCATTTGATGAACTACTAATAACTTCTCTGCTGTCTATAATTCAATATTTACCAAAGAAAGCATTTGTAATTGGTAATATTGGAAACAAGTTGTGTTTAGGAGTGAATTAGTGAAGATAAAACAGAATCATTTCAATGTTCTCAATAAAAGGAGGCCCTAAAAACACAGTGTTGCACCCAAGAAATGAGTATCTATATAAGACTGTGCTATATAAAATAAAGGACTCCTACAACTTAACAACAAAATACCCATTCAATCCATTTGAAACATGGACAAAGGACATTTCTTTTGAGAAGATATACAAATGGCCAATAATCACATGAAAAAATGCTCAGGATCACTAGTCATTAGGGAAACGAAGATCAAAACCACCGTGATACCATTTCATACCCACTAGAATGATTATTATCAAAAAAACAAGAAATAGTAAGTGTTGGTGAGCATATTTAGCAATTGGAACCCTTGTGCATGCCTGATAGAGATGTAAAATGGCACAACTGCCGTGGAAAACAGTTTGGTAGAACCTCAAGATGTTAAACACAGAGTTACCATACGATCCAACAATTCCACTTGTAGGTATATATTCAAAAAAGTGAAGGCACAGGTACTCAAATGGATATTTGCACACCAATATTCATGGCAGTATCACAATAGCCAAAAGGTGGAAACAACCCAAATGTCCATCAACAGATGAATAGATAAATAAAATATACTATTTGCATATAATGTGATATTAGTCAGTGCCACGTTCTGAATGTTTGTGTCCCCCCAAACTTTATATGTTGAAACCTAATCACCAATGATAAAATTAGAAGGTTGGACTGCTTGGAGGTGATTAGGTTGTGAGAGTAGAGCCCTCATGAATGGGATTAGTGCACCTATAAAAGAGGCCCCAGGGTGCTGTCCTGCCCCTTCCACCATGTGAGGACACACCAAGAAGGCATCATCTATGGACCAGAAATCTGGGCCCTTGCCAGACACTGAATCTGCTGGCACCTTGATCTTGGACTTTCTGTCTCCAGAACTGTAAGAAATACATTTTTGCTGTTTGTAAGCTACCTGCTCTAGGGTATTCTGTAATAGCCTAAACATACTGAGATACTGAAGCTTAAAAAGGAATAAAATTATAATATATGCTACACCATGGATGACCCTTGAAAATGTTATGTGAAACAAGCCAGACATGAAAGGACAAATAATAATTCCATTTACACGAGGTGCCTAGAATAGGCAAATTCAGAGGCAGAAAGTAGAACAGAAGTTACCAGGGGCTGGGAGGAGTGCAGAATAGTGAGTTATTGTTTAATGGATATAGAGTTTCTGTTTGGAGTGATGAAAAAGTTCTGGAAACATGGATAGTGGTGACAGTTGCACAACATTGTCAGTGTACTTATGTGACACTGAAGTGTACACTTAAAATGGTTTAAGATGCTAAATTTTGTTATGTATATTTTACTACAATTAACAAAAAAGAAAAAAGACTATGCCAAGTAACTCAGGCTGTGTCAAGATGAAGTTCCACTGCAGGGAGAAAAAAAAATCAAATCATCACAGTACTTAATTTACATACTTAAATTAACAAGGAGTCACGAATGTGAAAACCAAAATAGTTTGAAAAGGTTTTAGTGAAAGAAATTACTTCTGGAAAGGCAAAGAAAACAAAACAAACAACAACAACAAACAACAAACCAGCAAGTAGATACGTCAATTAGTGCTACTATCATTAAGAAAGTCTACTCATGGGAGTTAGTAGATTCCATTGAGATTACATCACATCTCTTTATTTTTAGTGAAAAATATTATTTCCACGAATTTAACTGCCATTTTTAAAGAAAGTATGGTGTTGTATTATCTGTTTTCTTTGTAATTGCAGCCTTGGCTTTATTGCTATGCACCACTGACAACAATAATGGCTTTATTATGGAAATCACACTCCATTTACATGAAGCTGAAATTTATTCTATGTTTACAACCTTCCAAAGTACTTGTTTTAATTTTACCTCACTGACCTTCTGATACTAACAATTTGGAATGTGCTACTAAAACAAACCCATCAATGTAAAACATAGAACACAACTGTGAAAAAATGTGGATTTAAGATATCAGCCAAGTGCAGTGGCTCACGTCTGTAATTCCAGCACTTTGGGAGGCTGAGGTGGGGGGATCACCTGAGGTCAGGAGTTTCAGATGAGCCTGGTCAATGTGAAACCCTATCTCTATTAAAATACAAAAATTAGCCAGGCATGGTGGCTACTCGGGAGGCTGAGGCAGGAGCATGACACGAACCTGGGAGGTGGAGGTTGCGGTGAGCCAAGATCGCACCATTGCATTCCAGCCTGGGCAACAAGAGTGAAACTATTTCAAAAAAAAAATTTAAATAAAAAGATATTAATGGATCTATTTCCAACAGTAGGCACACATTATTTTTAAATTAGAAAGATAGATTGAAACAAAAGGGTATCAAAGAGCCTTATTTCTAAAACATAGGTCTTTATTCTGAAATTCACAGATACTTAGAGACAAGGATGTTTCCGTGATCTGAATATTTTCTTGGTGAGAAAATATTGGTGTCCTTGAGGTTTCCTGACAAGGATTAACACCAGTTCCGCAGCAGTCAGCCCCCACTGTTCTCAGCAAATAAACTGAGGGTCATACAGGAAGGCAATAAGGCACATATTTCACAGAACTGCCAAATCACCATGAGGATACTGTGCATGGGAGAGTGAACAACAAAGTTAAAGACTGGGGTCAGCCTGAGCAACATGGCAAAACCCTGTCTTTACAAAAACTACAAAAATTAGCCAAGTGTGGAAGCGCATGCCTGTAGTCTCAGCTACTCAGGAGGCTGAGGTAGGAGGCTCTCTTGAGCCTGGGAGGTGGAGGTTTCAGTGAGCTGACTGTGCCACTGCACTCCAGCCTGGGTGACAGAGTGAGACCCCGTGTAAAAAAAAAAAAAATACTGGGTTTGCAAATTGTTCAAAGAAACACCCTCCACCTCATTTGGGTAGCTGGCATTCCTAACCCTTAGTCATTAGTTCTATACTCAGATCTAATTTTAGAATTTCCTTGTCTTTTCAGCAGTTCTCCAACTCACTTCCAAAAGAGCTCTTGAAAACCCATTCAGATAATAAGAAACTCACTCTAGGTCCTTTGGCCTCTGTCTCCAGATACGGTTGCAAATATTTGTTGCAGCAGGCTAGACTCTATCAACACTTATTATGTGCCAGGTTCTTCATTTTATTAAGATATCCTTCCTAAATTAATAATCTCCAATGTTATCTTCCTCCAAGCACATTAGGGCCAACTCTTTCTGAATCTGCATCTTCACTTCTCTTAAGCTCCAGGCCTGGAGATCCCCAAACCACTTCAAACAGAGTTCCTCCACAGCTGAATTTAGTATCCCTCTTCTCATCACACTTTTTCCTCCTCCTGAGTACTGGTATCACCATTCGCACCGATTTACCCTGATGCCCCATTTTCCTTCATATGCTGCATCAAATTAGTCAACATATTTTGTCTATTTTATCTTCTAAGTTGCTCTGAAATTTGTCCTCTACAATCCTTCCTAGAACATTGTCTTTCCTGAGGACTTCATCTCTTTTAGTGAACCTATTTTGACAGCTTCGTAGGTAGAGCTGTCTGTTCCAATTCATCCCTCCTACTCCTATTATGGCCAGAGAAACATCTTTTTTTTTTTTTTTTACATAGAAGGACTCTCACTCTGTTGCCTAGGCTGGAGTGCAGTGGCCTGATCTTTGCTCACTGCAACATCTGCCTCCTGGGTTCAAGCAATTCTCCTGCCTCAGTCTCCCGAGTAGCTGGGATGACACGTGCCCACCACCACGCCCAGCTAATTTTTGTGTTTTTAGTAGAGATGGGGTTTTATCATGTTGGCCAGGCTGGTCTGAAACTACTGACTTCGGTGATCCGCCCGCCTCAGTCTCCCAAAGTGCTGGGTTTATAGGCGTGAGCCACTGTGCCCGGCCCAGAGAAACATCTTTTAAAAAATTATGGCTGGGTGCAGTGGCTCATGCCTATAATCCCAGCACTTTGGGAGGTGGAGGCTGGCAGATCACTGGAGGCCAGGAGCTCGAGACTGTCCTGGCGAACATGGCGAAACCCCATCTCTACTAAAAATACAAAAATTAGCTGGGTGTGGTGGCGCATGCCTGTAATCCCAGCTACTCGGGAGGCTGAGGCAGGAGAATTGCTTGAACCCCAGAGGCTGAGGTTGCAGTGAGCAGAGATCGCACCACTGCACTCCAGCCTGGGTGACACAGTGAGACTCTATCTCAAAAAAAAAAAAAAAAAACTTACGTATGTATACACGTGATACACACGTATGAATATTTAAAAGTTCATGTTTATATGTATTTTCATATATGATCAGGCCATTTAAAGGCTAAAAACCCTTTAACTGCCTCCCATATCATAAAAGATAAACCTCACCACCAGTCCCTGCCTACTTCCCAGTGAATGCTCTCTAGTCTTCCAGGCACCCTGAGCACACTGTATTTCTTCATGCCTGTATCTCTTTGTCATTACTTGTTACGTGTCTATCTCTTTCACCAAGGTTATTAAGTGCACTAACTCAGTCTATCTTACTTATCTTTATATTCCCAGTGCCTAGCACATGGTCTGGCATAAGTAAGTCACTTAATGTTTGTTCAATAAAAGAATTGTTGATGTGACTTGTCGATATGACCCTGCTTTTTACTGCTGCTCTTTTCATCTGAAAGCTTGAATTTCTTTTTAGAGAAGCCCTGGACTTCGAAAGTACAAGAATGAAGAGAATGCATTTCAGGGAAAAGTTAATTTGCTTTGCAGCAGTGGGTCTAAGGTACACTAGTCGTTTAAGATATGATCCATGGAGGAAAATAAATGCTCTGTGGCAATATTCTGAATGAGGATGAACTCGAGGGATAGATAGATCTGCATCTGGCTTCCAATTCTATCACTTTTGAGCCTGTTGGGTGGGCCTCAGCCAAACTCCTTAACTTCTCTGTACCGTAAGTCCTGATAAAAAATAAAGGATAATTGTAGAAATTTTAATAATTCATGCATCAATTTGGTAAGTATTAGTTAATGCTGATAAGACAAATTCCATGTTCCTATTGAATACCTACTGTGCTAAGCGCTGGAAGTAAAGAGATGAGCCAAGGCAGAGGCAGCCTCTACCTGTGTGGATCTGCACTCCAGAGAGGGAAACCATGCACACAAAGCACTCAGCACAAGGCCGGGCATCAGGCACATGTTCAATAAGCACTAGCTACTATCATCCTAATTCTCACCACCATCAGTTTAGTCACGTTAGGAAAAGAGCACATGGCTATAGATACCCTGCAATTGTTGCTTGTATTGTTCTCATATGGGTAGTATTTTTCAAAGAGCAACCATGGCCCTATTTAATTGACTTCATCTCTCATCTTCTATAGTTTTCCAACTTTATTTTTCTTACTCTGCCCCTAAGTTTCCCTCCATTCCCATTACCTTGCTGCTTCTCATCTTGTCTCATTCTATTTCTTCCTTTGTAGGTTTGAAGTTCTAAAGTATCACATAGTAAAGAAACATGTTTAAGTTTTTTATATATATACCAGAATCTCCCATATTTGTTTGGCTATAGAACCCTTTTGTTTATCCTGATGTAATCAGGTGCAAGCCTAGACTTTGAGGAGTATTGTTTTCAGCATGCAGACCTGAAGTTCTATCACATTCAAACTGTCACCAAAAACTTCCTGACTAACCAACTTAAAATGGACCTCTTGGGCCAGGCATGGTGGCTCACACCTGTGATCCCAGCACTTTAGGAGGCTGAGGCGGGTGGATCACCTGAGGTCAGGAGTTCGAGACCAGCTTGGCCAACATGGTGAAACCCCATCTCTACAAAAATTACAAAAATTAGCCAGCCTGGTGGCAGGCACCTGTAATCCCAGCTATTCGGGAGGCTGAGGCAGGAAATTGCTTGAACCTGGGAGGCAGAGGTTGCAGTGAGCCAAGATTGCACCATTGCACTCCAGCCTGGGTGACAGAGCAAGACTTTATCTCAAAAAAAAGGACATCTCAGCATCTTCTATTTTCCCTGCCACTCTCTCTTTTCTAACTCAGTTTCTTCATAGCACTTACTGACATCTAACTTACTATATGATTTATGTGATGGTTACTTTTATGGGTCAACTTGACTGGGTTAAAGGAAGCCCAGATATCTGATTAGACATTATTTCTGAGTGTGTCTGTGAGAGTGTTTCCAAAAGAGATTTGCATTTTAATTCGCAGACTGGGTAAGCAGATGGCCCTCCCTGATGTAAGTGGGCATGACCCAACACCTTAAGGGCCTCAATAGAACCAAAAAGGTGGAGGAAGGCTAGCTTCACCTTTCTTCTGCTTGACTGCTTGAGCTGGAACATTCCTTCTTCTGCCCTTAGCATTCCCGGTTTTCAGGCTTTCGAACTAAAACTGAAATCTACACCATTCACCTCTGCCTCTCAGGCTTTTGAAATACACCACCAGCTTCTTCAGTCTCCAATCTGCAGGTGATCTCTTGTTGGTTCTGTTTCTATGGAGAATCCTAACACAATTTACATAGTTGTTTATTGTTTAATACTCTCCTAGAATGTGAGCTCACAGAAGCATTGAGATAATTCTCAAGCACTAGTTTAATGAATTAAAAAAGACAGTTTCTGATTCTAGTTTAATGAATTAAAAAAAGGCCTATGGGACTGGCTAAGAAGACATGCTACAGTTAAAAGTAAAATTGACAAGACATGCTACAGTTAAAAGTAAAATTGACAAGAAATTGTAACCCCACTATCTCCTTCACTCTTTAAAGAGTAGGGAAGGTGCACAGAGAAATGTGGATGTCACAGCAGGGAGAGAATTGCTTTTGGGCTGCAGGAGCTTGATAAAAAATTTGAGTTTGTGGCTTGTAAACAAAGCTGCCTATGAGTAACATTCCCATAGAGACACTTCAATGGGATTGTTTTTTAATGGGAGGGAAAAAGAGAGGGAGGGAGAAAAAGTGTGCTGCAAGCATTGAATGCTTCCCAGAAACAATCCACCTTATCTAAGATTTCCATAGACATATGTCAATTCCAGGGCCATTGAGAAGTCAAATTTACTGTATAATACTGACTTTCAAACTCTGACCACAAACCACGGTGAGAAATGCATTTTACATGTGAACTACACAATCTTGAAAGAAAACTTTTATGAAACCCAAGTTAATGTATGACACACTTTGATTCCTATCCTATCCTATCCTATCCCATCCACTCTACTCTCTCCCATGCCATCCTATTCCATGTAAAATAGGTTGGCAGTGGGACTCATCAATGCACTGTGTGACCCACAATTTTTAAATTTTTGCTTTAGAAGGTAATTTAAGCAGCTTGTACTTTAGAGGTAAAGGTAGGAACAGTAAACATAACCACAGTGGAGGCTTCCACCGACTACCTTCTGACATGGATTTACCCTGACCCTTACTGATATGTGAAGGATACAAGCATGATTTGGAAAGATCTGTGCAGGTGACACACTAGATCTGCAGGCAGAGAAGTGAATCAGTATTGGCCTAGAGTATATTTTCCAGGGTTAAAGAGGAGAATGTGAGCAAATTCTCAGTGGAGTCTCAAGGTTTTCTGGGAACTTAAAACGCAGTACTTTGTCAAGAGCTGACTTAGGGCTCTCCTGGATGCTAAAAGACAGTCCAGTGTCAGGTCTACTTTGAATGTGATTTATTGGGGTTGAAAAAAAAATGGTACAAGCCTAGAATTATGGTCTTGCCTTGCAAAAGCTATATATAATTTTCAATTTGCAGGATATAATTTTGAATCTAAGGAGAATAACCAAGTTAGATGAGACATACCCACACAGACCTCGCAAAAACTATTATTAGAGTAATTCTATTTGAACCATGTACTTCAAAAGTGCCAGATAATATTTTGCTGAGGGGGGATCAAATAGATCTGTGATTCTTAAGGAAAAGGTTAAGTGCTCTGTTTTCTTCTAGTGAAGAAAAAAATTATTGAAACTATGGGAAAGGGAATTATCATTTGGGTTTACAGCTGTCGTAGTAATTTTCTACACATTTCATAAATGTTTCATAAGGTGGAATTATGAAAACAAGTTCTTAGAAGATTAGAGTTCTAAAACAAATATGAAGTCAGCCAACTAATGACTGAAGACTGGCTTAACCTAGTTTTCTAACTACATTACCAGTTACTCAGCTATTAAGGAGCTCAAAACTCAGCTACAGGCATGCTCAGGCAGCTAACAGCAATTTTCCAACACACTTAACTTTTGTAATACAATGAAAATGTACAATGCATCTTTAAACTTGCCTATGTCTGTATTTTGAATCTGGCTAAATGGTCTCATAATTTTTGGACATTAGATGACTATGTATTTGGCCATGAATAGCCAGTTATCTTTTACAGATAGTTTGATAAGACATCAGTTAGCACTCATTAAGAGTTAATAGGCTCAAATTCAATGCTGAAATCTTGAGTCAAATATGGCATGATGTCTCAGGAAAATTAACCCTAAAGATAACCCTAATTGTGCAAGAAAATATTTGAATGAGTTATCATAAATGTCAGTTCCCAGAACTATTTTCTGATAGACCCTCAATCTGGATAAATGCCAACATACTTCAAAGCTGCCTTTGTTTCTTTAATTTGGTTCTCTAACCATCACACACAAAACTGTAATACAAATTTAAAATTTGATTTGATTTTTTTTTTACTTCCCTTGCCATATCACTGTTCTAAAAGGTCTACTTGAGTTAAATCCTTTGACTCTCTATTAATGTGATTAACTGCATCTCTTTTCCCAACAGCTATCAGATTATCAAAGTATTGTCTGGTCTTAGAAATAATGGTATTTCCCAACAGCTGTATGTATATTACTTACTCTCTGTTGTTAAATAATTATATTTTTAATTAAGCAAATGGATACAAAACTCACGCAGAGCTGTTTTTAGGCATGTACAACAACGACTGACCACAAAGCTCTTTGATATCTGTGTTATATAAAGGCTTATTATTATTACCCTTTTAAACAATGGCACAATACCCACAGGTGTGGCAGGGATTTTAATGCATAAGGGAGTGAACTAATATCTTATTGCTCATTCTTACTAGCAACATTGGACTAAGCCCTTACAGAGAAAAAAAAGGGAAACAATGGTGTTCAGAAAAAAAAGGCAATTCCTGGATTGAATGCTATGTATATACTCTAGGGAGAAAGAGGCTGTCTAATACTTGTATATTAGTGATCAAAGTGATTTGTGCCCAATGATAGACTATCAAATTTGATTTCTGTATTTGCTTGTCAATATTACATGTAGACCTTAATTTTTGTGATATTTTAATTCTAGGATTTTTTTTCTCTTTTTTAAATGTAGAGTTTAAATTGTTAATGGTTAAACTGGTTCACAGGTGTGTCTGATATTATTAGCAAATATATGGTAGATATTAGAGCTTCTTTTTGCCCCAGGCTCATAACTACATGCTTCCATTTTTCTTTTTAAGAGTAGAAGCATCAGAATCTTATTTAACTCTGGGTACTATGAGTTTGACATTAATAGTTTAAGACTAATGAATGAGCAGCCATACAGTTTTTTGGTCACTATGCTTCCTAAGCTTCCCAAATGGAGCTATTTCCACTATTCAATTTCATGTTTAATAAACTAGGCAGATCTTGCTACATTCTTGTTTTGTTTCCATGCACTTATTTTTTTACCGGGTGGAGTTTGTCCAGTTACAAAGTCTGTGAAAGATGTTTGTAAAAAAAATTTTTTTTCATGGTAGCAAAGCAGCTTTAATATAACCATGGATTAAATATTTATTTGCAAATACTCTGGCATTGGGGGAAAAAGATGGGGAGAAGGAAATCACATGTCTTGGAGATTGTATAATTCAATGAGTATAAGAATCAAATGATGTTTATTTCAATTACTTATTAATTTATAAGTATTCTGTTTTACAGTCTCTATAAAATTGTACAACAGAGCTTTATGTAACTATGCAACACATTTAAATTTTTCCTATAAGCAAATTTCCACTTCTTCCTTGAAGTTGATGAATCCTAATTGTAAATCACATTATTTGCCTTCTCGAAGGCTATTTATGATAAAATTTAAAGCTTGCCTCTGTCAAATTCAATTAAAAGAAAAAGATCTCTTTTGAATATAAGCCCTCAGCCAATTAAATGTTAAAAAATGCACTGAGGTTAAAAAATATGACTGGGTGGAATTTATTCACAAAAAAAGGCAGAATGATTAAAAGCATGGACTCTGGAACCAGGCTACTTGAGGGCCTTCACTAGCTGTGTGACCTTGTATTAGTTACTTAACTGCTCTGAGGCTCAATTTCCTCATCTGTAAATTGAATATACTATTAGTGCCTCCCAAATAAGGTTTTGTGGATTGTGAGGATTTATTGGTTGAAAAGTGGAACACTTCGAACAGTTCCAGATAAACTTTGGCTGCTGTTTGTTATTCAAGAAATATATTTCTTCAGCATCAAAATGTATTAGATAAAATGTGATAGATAAAATGTTGAATTACATCTGGATCTGCTCTCAATGATTATATACATTCACTTCGGGAGGCCGAGGCAGGTGGATCACCTCAGGTCAGGAGTGCAAGACCAGCCTGGTCAACATGGTGAAAGCCCATCTCTACCATAAAAAAAAAAAAAAAATTAGCCGGGCACAGTGGTGCATGCCTGCAGTCTCAGCTACTTGGGAGGCTGAGGCAGGAGAATCGCTTGAACTCGGGAGGCGGAGGTTGCAGTGAGCCAAGATCAAGTCGAGTGCACTGTACTCCAGCCTGGGCGACAGAGTGAGACTCCGTCTCAAAAAACAAAAAACAACAACAAAAAGATTATATAGTTGTGCATATTACATATATATTTGTATATACCCTATAAGAAAAGGTAGGAGATAAGTATTATAAGAGAGATTTATAAAAGTTACATAAAAATTCAGGGAAAACAAGAGGTTCTTCCTATTGATGATTATCAGGGAACTTTGGGGAAAGAAGAAAGAATTTTGGCTGGGCCATGAAGATGGGCCATATTTGAACATACAAATATTGAGGCAAAGGCAGTGAGAGCAGCATAAAGAGAGGCAAAAAGCAAATGCATAAATTACTGTAAGTTGTTCCTTTTGGCTGGTGTTAAAGGTTCCCATGAAGGTGAGTAACGAGATGTTTGTAGCACTAGGTCATGAAGGAATATTGAGGGCCAGGTTAAACAATACATAATTACTTTACAGAAAAATGGAGTGCCATTTTAAATTTCGGAGAAGAGGTGTGGCATATTCACATAGCTTAAACTCACAGGAAAGAAAATAGGTTGGTGGAGAGAATGCTAGAGGCAGGGACACCAGTTAGGGAAGGATTGCTGTGGTCTCAGTAATGAAGGCCTGAGGTAGGGGAATGGCATAGGAGTGGCCCCTGCAATGTAATGAAGGGGTAGGCACAGAAATTTAGAGACAGAATCTCTAGTAGTACCCTCAAATCAGAAAAGAGTAAGAGAGCTTAAAAATATACAGATTGTGGGACTTCATCACCAGAGATTCTAATTTAGTAAGTCTATAGTGAGACTCATCAAACCATAATTTCTGAAAGCATAAGCAATTCTGATGATCAGTTAGTTTGACAGCCACTCATCTGAGAGTATGAGTATGAAGTGAAAGAAATTACCCTAGCTTTTAGGTTAGGAAAACCAGAAAAAGTATCAAGAGGAAGAAGAAAAGAAAGGAGTGAAAGAATAACACTGAGATCAGAGCAATTAGGATAAGGCAGAGGAGCAAAGTTGATGACAATATCTGTACATCTTAAGGACAAGCGATCAGAGAGAAACCCAAGTGAATGTATCCAAAAGACATTTGAAAATGTGAGCTTATATTTGGAGAGAGAAGTTAGGCTCAAGTTGATAGATCTGAAAATTATCACTATGATATAAAAAATGCAAAGGCAATCCCTGGAAAATACATATACTTCAGAGTTTTCAGGCATAAGAAGAAAGGGCTATGACCTGGGAGTTAGCAGGAAAATACTTGTAAAAGAATAGGGTGTCGTGAAAACCAAGAGAGATGGACTTTTCAAGGAAGGCTGGTTATCAGTACTGATTTCTACAGAAGAATTGAAGGATATGCAGATGAGAAGAGTGGTCAGTGGATTTGGTGTCCAACGTTATGAGTGATGAAAGAAAGAGAATAAGCAAGGTACTCTGAAGGCTTAACTGTGAACACAAGGTGATGAGAACAGGCAACTTGTATGAACTACTCTTCAAGAGTAGTTGTTGGTTAAAGAAAGAAGAGAGGCAGGGCAGTAATTTGATAAAGCAGCGGCATTACGAGTAAGCTCTTCTAGGCAGTGTAAAGTGATACATATTTCTAGATGGACAAGAAAGACCTACAGGAGAGAGAAATATTTAAGATGTGAGGCAGTTGTGGAAAATTCAATGAAACAAGTTCCAAGAGTAGGAAAAACAGATGAAAGGCACAATTGGGAGAGCTGGCTTTGGTGAGAATGAGCTACTTACTTTCTCATCTAAGATGAAACGAAAAATGGCAAAGAAGAGAGACGGCAAAGAGAAATGATCAGAGAACATAAGGAAAGTCGTGTGAGATAACAGCATGTTGTTTTCATGTCTTGACTAGACAGTGAGGATAGAATGTATAAAACACAGACTTCAGGGCAGTAGAATCTGTTTCAAAGATCGCTTAAGACTTATCAATTAAAAATAATCCAAAGGATGTCTCAGAAGCAGAGATGGCTTAGTTAAGAGTACTTATAATAAATAAGTATCCGTTACAGAGTAGCACTAATTGGCTGACAAAAGAGAACTGTGTGGCATAGAGTGGGTTGGTGATTGGCAAAATTTCCTTTTTTCTATATATATGTGTGTATACATATATAATATTTTTTAACTGTACTTAAAGTTCTAGGGTACATGTGCACAACGTGCAGGTTTGTTACATAGGTATACATGTGCCATGTTGGTTTGCTGCACCCATCAACTCATCATTTACATTAGGTATTTCTCCTAATGCTATCCTTCCTGCAGCCCCCCATTTCATGACAGGCCCCGGTGTGTGATGTTCCCCACCCTGTGTCCAAGTGTTCTCGTTGTTCAACTTCCACCTATAAGTGAGAACATGTGGTGTTTGCTTTTCTGTCCTTGTGATAGTTTGCTGAGAATGATGGTTTCCAGCTTCATCCATGTCCCCACAAAGGACATGAACTCATCCTTTTTTATGTCTGCATAGTATTCCATGGTGTATATGTGCCACATTTTCTTAATCCAGTCTATCATTGTTGGACATTTGGGTTGGTTCCAAGTCTTTGCTATTGTGAATAGTGCCTCAATAAACATATGTGTGCATGTGTCTTCATAGTAGCATGATTTATAATCCTTCGGGTATATACCCAGTAATGGGATCGCTGGGTCAAATGGTATTTCTAGTTTTAGATCCTTGAGGAATCACCACACTGTCTTCCACAATGGTTGAACTAATTTACACTCCCACCAGCAGTGTAAAAGCGTTCCTATTTCTCCACATCCTCTCCAGCACCTGTTCTTTCCTGACTTTTTAATGATCGCCATTCTAACTGGCGTGAGATGGTATTTCACTGTGGTTTTGATTTGCATTTCTCTAATGACCAGTGATGATGAGCATTTTTTCATGTGCCTGTTGGCCACATAAATGTCTTCTTTTGAGAAATGTCTGTTCATATCCTTTGCCCACTTTTTGATGGGGTTGTTTGTTTTTTTCTTATAAATTTGTTTAAGTTCTTTGTAGATTCTGGATATTAGCTCTTTGTCAGATGGGTGGATTGCAAAATTTTTCTCCTATTCTGTAGGTTGGGTGATTGGCAAAATTTCTTAAGGAGGAAGCCAAGCTAGTGAGGAAATCAGGGGGGCTGGTGAAAATATCCTTAACAGTTCCAATCTGAGGTTCCAGATTGTATTTTTCAAGAACAACTAAGGGTGGAAGGAAGGGAGGTTACAATGAGGATGAAGAACAAGTAGGAGTAAGAAACCGGCAGAAGGGGACAGAAAGATGGTGTCTTCAGAGAGATGTGGAGAGGAAAATGGTGGCCTGGGAAGAGAGAAGATCATAAGAAATGGTAACCACAGTAACATGAATAGGAAAATGATGGTATAAGCAAAAAACACAGATTCGAAAATAGGAAAAATTATTTTGTAAAACAATATTTATTTCTCTCATGTTGCCCAAGCCAGAATGCAGTGGCTATTCACAAGCACACTCACAGTGCACTACAGTCTTGAACTCCTGGGCTCCAGTGATCATCTCACCTCAGCCACCTGAGTAGCTGGGACTATATGTGCATGCCACTGTACCCAGCAAAAGAAATTATTAAGCAGGGACATAGTGGCCTTGAAGTACAAAATATGTGAAGAACAAAAATATTTCTGACATCTTATTAGAGGAGTGATCTTTAGCAACTGACTGCAAGGAAAGTGATACTTAATGAGGCAGGCTATTTCAGTTATGCTAAAGCAACTGAGAGAGTACTTCTGTGAGGATCAAAGTTTGTTACCGCCTCTGGCCCAGTGATATTCACACTTCACCTTTAATATGGTATACTTTTCTCTGAAAACAAAA
Organism: Homo sapiens; assembly: GCF_000001405.40. NCBI lineage: Eukaryota > Metazoa > Chordata > Mammalia > Primates > Hominidae > Homo > Homo sapiens. Next base: position 91,083,526 of record NC_000005.10, on the reverse strand, counting down.
AACAAAAAACAAAAAACAACATATTGTAAAAACGTCACTTTCTTCTATTCACTTGAGTTTTATAATATGTAAACTGTTGAGTACAGCATTAGATCATGGGTATTGTGCTAACCATTAATTTTTTTTCTTTTTATTATTATACTTTAAGTTCTAGGGTACATGTGCACAACATGCAGGTTTGTTACATATGTATACATGTGCCATGTTGGTGTGCTGCACCCATTAACTCGTCATTTACATTAGGTATATCTCCTAATGCTATCCCTCCCCCATCCCCCCTACCCCATGACAGGCCCCAGTGTGTGATGTCCCCCTTCCTGTGTCCAAGTGTTCTCATTGTTCAATTCCCATCTATGAGTGAGAACATGCGGTGTTTGGTTTTCTGTCCTTGCGACACTTTGCTGAGAATGATGGCTAACCATTCATTTTTAAAGAAATTTATGATTCAATTGCTAATTCCCCAAATTACCTTTCCCTACTTCCTGTTTCTCTAGTACTGGTAAACCCATTTTCCTTTATTTCCGGATCTCCTCTTTAATAATGTACCAGTTGATTCATGTAATTAAAGTATGATCATACAAAGGATTGTAGACTATATATTTCCTTAAAGAACTATGTAGGCACTGAATCATAAATTAGAGGTAACTTTAAATAATGAAAATAACAACAAATAATACATGGAAAAAGTTGCAAACCAAGAATGGAAATACAGGTAAGAACCTGGGAGAGAGAGCCATAGTGTGTTACAGTATCACCATGTTGATACCAACTAAAGTGGCTCATAGACGAGGTTGAGAGAGAAACACAGTGCTTTCGTTGCCATACTTATTCCAAGATAAAACAGCCTCAAAAATTTTTTCTACTCTCTAGTCAAGTTTTATACATACTATTTCTGAATACAAATCTTAGAGAGATACATTTTAAAAAATCGGTAACTGTATTTTCATTACCCAAGAGTAGAATGGAAGACTTCGGTCATCCATTTTTTAAAAAGTGCTCTTTTAAAAATGCTCTGTAAAAAAAATTTTAAAAATTAGCTGGTCATGGTAGCACGTGTTTATAGTCCTGGCTACTCGGGAGCCCAAAGTGGGAGTATCTCTTGAGCCCAGGAGATTGAAGCTGCAGGGAGCTATGATTGTGCCACGGCACTCCATCCTGGGCAATACAGTAAGACTCTGTCTCAGAAAAAAAATAGGATCTGCCAGGAAAATTAAAATTTATTATTAATTTGGAGAACAATGGCAAGGAAATAGATAGGAAACTTACTTAGCCTGAATACAAAACTGATAAACAATGGGAATGTTTCATTAATTCTCTGGGTCAAACATGGTATGGCATGGCAGTGATATGCACATGTCAATAAGAGATGCCAGCCACATTAAGGGTTAAAGAGTGTGCAACACACCTAAACAACAACATCTTTGTTACCCTCAGATATTAGCTTTAAGTGTGTATCACATTAGCATATCTTCCACTAACACCTTACTGAAGCCTATTTATCATGGGTATCAAGATGGAAATTAGTTTCAATTCTATTCCGTCTCCTCTCTCATCACCATAAGTGATGAACTCAGCAAGCAACAGTGAATTTAGTTGTGCTATTTAAGTCAAGTTTTATCAGAAGTCATATCACTTTTAGGTGGCAGCACTAGTTAAGTATGGTTAGGACATTAAAGACTATGTGGAGAAGTAGTGAATATTTATTTTATTTTTTAAATTTTTATTTATTTATTTACTTTTGAGACAGAGTTTCACTCTTGTTGCTCAGGCTGAAGTACAATGGCATGATCTTGGCTCACTGCAACCTCTGCCTCCCGGGTTCAAGACATTTTCCTGCCTCAGCCTCCCAAGTAGCTGGGATTACAGGCGTCTGCCACCATGCCCGGCTAATTTTTGTATTTTTTGTAGAGACGGGGTTTCACACTATGTTGGCCAGGCTGGTCTCGAACTCCTGACCTCAGATGATTCACCTGCCTCGGCCTCTCAAAGTGCTGGGATTACGGGCGTGAGTCACCATGCCCAGCTCCTGATTTTTTCCTTTTATTCTATAGCCTAATGATTGTCATTAGATGATTTTATGACATGGCCAATTTTGCTTTTTAGAATGCTTCAGTGTGGAATGGGGATAGACAAGAATTGAACAATATTGGTCTCAAGACAGCTGTAATAGTCTAAGGATGAGATGATGGGAGACATCACCAAGGTGCTATGGACTGAATTGTTTCCTCCATCCCCCAAATTTGTATGTCGAAGCCCTAACTCCCAATGCAATGGTATTTGGAGATGAGGCCTTCAGGAGGTAATAATCTCATGAAGGTGGAGCCCCCATGATGGAATTAGTGTCCTTATAAGAAGAGACATGAGAGGGTTCTCTCTCATCCATGAGAGGAGAGAGCAAAATGTCCATGCAAGCCTCGCCAGGACCTGAATCAGCTGACGCCTTGATCTTGGACTTCCAGTCTCTGGAACTGTGACAAATAAATGTCTGTTGTTTAGGACACCCAGTCTATGGTATTTTGTATGGCAGCCTGAGCTAATACACCAGGCAAAATCATGAAGAAAGGGAGGGGAACATTTGAGAGATATTGATGAAGTGTAGAGAAGAAAGGAGTTACATATCTGACTGCATTCTGTACCAATTACATATTGAAAGGGTTCTTATACTAATAAAAATACTAACACATATTGAGGACTTAGTATGTTTCAGGAACTATACTAAATACTTATATGAATTAAAATTTTATCTTTCACACAACTGTACGAAATTAAATAGTGTTATTACACCTGCATTACATATGAGAATAGTGAGGAAAACTAGGGATGTTTTGGTACCATAAAGAGGGGCAATCTTTCTTGGAAATCAGAAGATTAAGTAGAAGATGAAGGAGTAATTTTCCAACCCTGATCACTTCAAGTTTTTTTTTTTTTTTTTTTTTTTGCAGGGTGTGCGGAGCTGGGTGTAAAGTCTAATACTACTTTTATGAAATTAGAGTTCTCTAAGTTTAAAATTTAATGTTTACATGTCACTATTACCAAGAAGAGTTTTGAAAACAAAATGGTAAGGGCAGAAGTATTGATGTGAACAACAATGGCAGCTCTGGAGAGCTTGTGAATCAACCTCTGATTCTAATCCCACAACTGAGCAGCCCTGTAAATGTGAAAACGTTTCTAAGCCTCTCATTTCCTTGATTTCCTTGTCTGACTAGAGGAAATCATACCTGCTTAATAGGCTTCATGTAAAAATTGAGATAAAATGTTTGATAGCAAACTAGTTGACTATAGTTAACAACATGTATTGTATATTTCAAAATAGCTAGAAGAGATAACTTGAAATGACCCCAGCACATTGAAATGATAAATATTCAAGGTGATGGACATCCCAAATACCCTGACATGATCATTACACATTCTATGTATGTTACAAAATGTCACATGTACCCCATAAATATGTACAGATATTATGTACATATATATATATATTAAACTGAGATAACATACGTGAAATTCTTAACACAGTGCCTGATGAATGGTGAATCGTAATGGGTGGCAGTGATGATGACAATAACCATGATGTGGACCACCAAGGTGCAAAGGGAGATGCACACCTGCACTTACATGCAGTGCCAGCCCTTTACTCTTTCTCTCACCCCCGTCCCATATCCATGCTCTATGCCCTCTGTCCACCTAGAAAAAAGATGTCAATTAAACATAATAGTTTAGTACTGAAATAGCCAGAGTTGGGGATTACCTTTGTCCTCATCCATCTCCAATTGAGACTGGTAAAAGGCAGCTCACTAAAGTAAGAAATCCAGGAAACCTGAGTTCTAGAAAGGCCCGGTCTGCCACAAGTGGTCAGCCCCTTTTCCTTCTTGGCTACATTGTAAATCAGGGGTGTTTCAACAGAAATTTAAACCTTCTCTCAAAAATATGATTTTCCTTTTTACTTTTCATGATGATGTGCAAAGCCTTAGGCAACTCCTGATGTTATTGTTCTAGGAGTTTTTCATGAGCAGTATCAAATCCTAAGTGTTTTCAGAAACAATAATGAAGAAAACAAACACTGAATGACTACACATCATCTTCCAGGCAGAGAGATTTCTGATATGAATCTTCGAGGATTGAGATCAAAAACCTAAGCAGAGAATGGGCATCCATATGTATGTGTTTTTAACATGTGGGATTTCCCCCACCACTATTGGCAAAATGTGGGAAGAGTGAACTGTGCTTCACAAAGATTTTTTCAAGCTTGAGTGGGAGTGTCTGTTCACGGTTGAGTGAGAAGCTGGGGTTTTCCTTAGGCCCCAAGGCATTGTTTTTTTAAAATGTTATTTTCAGAAATGGAGCTTGGAGTAGACTGCAAACAGGCATCTAACTGCCAAGGACATGTGAAACCTGTAATGTTGGTCATTCTGGATCCTATTCAAGTACATACTGTTACTGGGTAAGATCACTTTTACTTTACTTTAGCAGAAGCCCCAATTCTGCTTTAGGAAAAAAAATCATATCATGTTTTCCCATTTTTATTTATAAATCCTGAAGGTTTCTGCAAGCAGTAACATTTAAAAGGACAATGACATACTTACAAGTTTGATGTGAGAATAATGAGGATATTGAAACACCAGAATGTTTCAGCTACTGACTGCTTCAAATAAGCTAGCACCAAACTTAGTGACTTAAAATAATGTACTATTTCTCCCAATTCTGCAATCTGGGCTAGGCAGGTTTTCAACTCTGTGTGGTGTCCATTGGGGATGGAACCTACAAGAAGCCTTCTTCACTCACATGTCCATGTCTGGAATCAGAGCTGGTTTGCCTGACACAACTGGAGGCTGGCTGAGCCTGCCTTTGCACATGTCTGCTGCACATGGCCAGCGTGGGGTTTCTACCACCGTGGTGGTCTCTGGGTAATTGAACTTAGATGGTGGCTTCCAAGAGGAAGGAATCTAAAACTGCCATTCATCTTAAAGTCTAGGCCCATTATGAAAAAGCATCACTTCCATCACATTACATTGGTCTAAGCAAGTCCAAAGACAGTCCAGATGTAAAAGGATGAGAACTAGTCTCCATCCTTTGATGTGAGGAGTAGCACCTACATAAAAGGAGAAAAGTAACTGATGGCAGCCATCTTTGGAGACTGAAACACAGTTTATTTTATTTACCAGGAGCTCTTTCCTTTCCCTCTTTTTCCTTTGGATTTCATTTCCTTTGCTCTATTTGAAATTTTAAAAACGACAAGAGTAAAAAAGGCACTCAACTTTAGGATGTAAGGGATGAGCATTTACAATATTCACTATAAAAAGTTTTCAATAATTTTTATAATAATAATAAAATATTGATTTATATTACTATTGTTGTTCACTCTAAGGTTGAAGAAATGGAAGCATTCATCCTCAAATAATGCTCCCATGTAAGAGATGTGGCCATTACAGTACCAGGAGATTCTAAATACCTCAGGTTCACATTACATGACTAGCTGGATCCAGCCACATTTCCATTTTCATATATCATATTGAAACCTATGTGTGGGATTTTTAGAAGAAGGGGATTTGTAATCATCTACTTTCTTTCTTGATTGAAATGAATTTTCCTCTCCTGATCCATGAATCATTCCTCATATAAGAACTGGATCATGAATCAGAAAGGAGTCAGTAAATTCTAATGAGCCTAAAAAGAGAGACATGCTTATCGTTGCCAGAGATCAAAACCAAGCCCGAAAATTACAGGCTTTGTTTAAAATGCTGCTTGAGATATTGAAATTTAGTTCAGGTACATACCTTTATCATAACTCATTCTCACTGCACATCCACCCACTGAAGGGAAGAGGAGGCAAGTGATTCTCATTAGGAGCCACTGACCTTCAACAATTTGGTTCATGGCAGTCAAAGGGCCACAAAAAGCCGAGTTGTCCTGTCCCAGGCCATGCTCAGGGAGGGAAGGGGTTGACAGTGGGCATCTATAGCACTGAGTGTATTCCATTTATGAGGTGCTTATTCTTTGTTCTCCCCATTCCTTTGGGTTTCACTGAGTTTATTTGAACTCTGTTTGAAATTAAGGGATGTTGAGAACAAAAAAGTCACTCAAAATACACGGTGTAAGGGATGGTTACTTGTATTCATTATAACCAGTGAACAAATGTGATGCAAAGTTGCTTCTGTTGTCAGGCACATTTAATCCACAAAAAGAGTGATTAGCTTGGAGCTCAGTTCTACAGAAATCATGGAAGATTTTGAGCCTAACAAAATGTCCTGCATCTACCTGCTTCTGGACCCCAGGAGATATCAGGTCTATGGTTTTGGCCTAGTCTACCAGTACATTTGGTGTTTCTGCTTGATTTCTGTTCTATAGAGATGCCCACGGTATTTTTAACATTCTTTTGTTATACGTTATTCTTTGGCTATTCTGTATATACAGTAAGGCAGAAGGCAAAACGTGAATTTACAGTACCACCTTAACTGGATATTTTACAAGTCAGCACAAGAGAATTTTAGCAAAAAGTTTCAAAGAGAGTGTCAAGTGCTCCGTGGTAGAGTAAATAGAAGAAATACCTAATGTAAATGATGAGTTGATGGGTGCAGCAAACCAACATGGCACACATATACCTATGTAACAAACCTGCACGTTGTGCACATGTACCCTAGAACTTAAAGTATAATTAAAAATAAAAAAAGAATTATCTGGAAAAGAAAAAAAAAGAAATTTTGAATTTGAGTTAAGTGGAGCATATTCAAGTAGAGGTGAGTTATAGTATGTTGAATATAAAAACACAAAAGATCAGGTTGAGGGCAAAGCTGAACATGTAGTTTTGGGAATTATAGAGGTAAAGCTTTAAAAAATATTTCTTATAAAAATAGTCCTAATAATAATAACTTTTGAGGAATATTTACAAACAGATCAGAGAATTAAGTCATTTAATTTCTACTTTGATAATATTACAGTTTCTCTTCTTAATGCTATCTTTAGCTTGGGTATCCATTTTTACAGTTATATAATTTTGTGGTACATTGATGATTATTAATTTATTCATTTAATTAATAAACATTAATTATGCTCCTGCTATCCACTAAGCACTCTGCAAGGCCCTGGGGATACAGAGATGAATACTAAATGGTTCCTGCCCTCAAGGAATTAATAATTTATTAAGGAAATCCACCAACCACACACACCAAAACAAGTGACCACTCCATTCTAAGATAAGTGCTACAATGACTAAAGGGACAAATACTTTAAAGGCATAAAGAAGGGAATGAGTAATTCTTATTTGGTGTGATTCCATAAAGAGGCAATTCCTAAGGCTTCACAAAAGGGGGAGAATATTGAAAGTTTCTAGAATTTCTGTAAAGAAGTAAAGTGATGTCCAGGAGAATTAACTTGTGATTGTCAAGCACATCACTGTTGTTTAGATTCTGAAGTTATTTTGGAAAGCTTTGTAGAGCTAATAAAGAATATGGGAAGGTGATAAGCCCCTTGCATCTGTCTCTCACTCATCTACATTTTCCCATATCACTTATTGAGCACGTGGGTTTTACCAACTAATGAGGAGGAGCTCAAAGTAAAGATTTCTTTACATAAGCAAAGATGGCAATATCAGGAAAATTTAGGAAAAAGTAAATAGATTGGCATGTCAGAATGCAGGATAATAGTAACTAACTTGGGAATGGAAAGATGGTCCTGGGTCAGACCGTGGAAACTCTTGTAAGCTAAAGGGACTGGACTTTTTTTTGGGGCAATGAGAGAAACCTTGACTGAAATGCTGGAGAATGAGAAAATCCACTTTATATTTTTAAAATGTAGACATCTGAGATAATGAAATGGAGAAGAAAAAGAGTAGAACCAGAGATACCAATCAGAAAACTGCTGTGGAAGTCCAAGTATAATGACTATTAGAATAAATTGCCATGGGAATAGGGGAATTAGAAATATCACACTTTTTAAATTTGTAACACAACAATAGGGCAATGCTTCTATTCACATTTTATTGCAAGAGAGGGTTCCCTCATTAAGATACAACTGTGCTGGAACTTTTGCCTTATATTCAATGCTTGAGGGCTATCTTTTTCTGATAATCAGGGTACTGTTTTATCTACTATATCAGTAATGAAGCATATTCAAGAGGTGCAGGGGTGATTTAGGCATTCAAAGAATTAAGTCACTATGTTAGGCCCCTATGTTAGCATTATTGAAAACATGCAAACATTGGCACTTTTACATTATATATAAAACAATAAATCTTGTCACTTAGAGGAAAAAACAAACCACCATTCTCCCCCCAAAAGAATGTACATTTTAATAAGATGAATCCCAAGTTGATTAAAAGCATAGCTTCTGAAATGGGACCTAATTAAACTAAAGAGCTCCTGCACAGCAAAAGAAATTATCAACACAGTAAAAAGGCAACCTACAGAATGGGAGAAAATTTTTGCAAACTATGCGCTCACAATGGTCTAATATCCAGAACCTATGAGGAACCTAAACAAATGAACAGGCAAAAACCAAACAAGCCCATTAAAAAGTGGGCAAAATACATGAACAGATACTTTTCAAAAGAAGACATATGTGCCATGAAGAAGCCAACAAGCATATGAAAATGCCCAACATTGCTAATCATTAGAGAAATGCAAATCAAAACCACAATGAGATACCACTTCACACCAGTCAGAATGGCTATCATTAAAAAGTTAAAAAATAACAGATGCTGGCAAGGCTGTAGCGAAAAGGGAATGCTTGCTTATACACTACTGGTAGGAATGTAAATTAGTTCAGCCATTGTGAAATGCAGTTTGGCTGTCTCTCAAAGAACTCAAAGCAGAATTACTACTTGACTCAGGAATCCCATTGCTGGGTATGTACCCAAAGGAATAGAAATTGTTCTACCATGAAGACACATGCACACATATGTTAATCACAGCACTATTCACAATAGCAAAGACATGAAATCAACCTAAATACCCATCAGTGGTAGACTGGATAAAGAAAATGTGGTACATATACACCATGGAATATTATGCAGTCATAAAAAACCGAGATCATCTCCTTTGCAGCAACACAGATGGAGCTGGAGGCTGTTATCCTAAGTGAACTAACAGAGGAAGAGAAAACCAAATACCACATGTTCTCACTAATAAGTGGGAGTAAATATTGAGTACATATAGACACAAAGACGGGAATAAGAGACACTGGGGCCTACTTGAGGGTAGAGGGAAAGAGGAGGGTGAGGACTTAAAAACTACCTATTGGATACTGTGCTTATTACCTGGGTGGTGAAATAATCTGTACACCAAACCCCCATGAGGTGACATGCAATTTATCTACATAATAAACATGCACATATACCTCTCAACCTAAAATAAATGTAAAAAGAAAGAAGTTACATTTTTAAAAAGTAATTTAAAAAATAAAGAGTATTAAAACTGAAAAAACAAGCATAGCTTCTAGATAACTTCTGTGTCCCGTGAAAAAGTAGAATTTATACATTGAATATTTTTTATTAAAGGAGTTAAGATTAATTAATTAACCTTAAACAATATTCCTCGGCTGGGCGTGGTGGCTCACGCCTGTCATCCTAGCACTTTGGGAGGCTGAAGCAGGTGGATCGCCTGAGCTCAGGAGTTCAAGACCAGCCTGGGCAATGTGGTGAAACCCCATCTCCACTGAAAATACAAAAGTTGGCCAGGCATGGTGGCACATGAATGTAGTCCCAGCTACTCAAGAGGCTGAGGAAGGAGAATTGCTTGAATCTTATAGGCAGAGGCTGCCGTGAGCCAAGATCATGCCACTGCACTCCAAGCTGGGTGACAGAGTAAGACCCTGTCTCAGAAAAAAAAGAAAATTCTGCCAACACAATGATTGCATGCTAAATGAGAAAGAATTAGAAAAGAGATGGCTAGATACTGCTATGCTACAAACTATCCCACAAAGTAATACAAACGAGTGTCTTTTCTTTATACTACAAGGAAAATCCTTTTGCATATTAACTGATCAAGTTCAGGAACTAGAACTGCATTACATTAGAGTGACGCCCTGTAGCTACTGAGCCCCTAAAAATGTATTAGACACTATTCTAGAGACCTTATATATGCTACTTGCTTAAACTTTGACAAGCACTTAAAACGTGAGGAATTCCTCTAAGACTGTCATTCATTTGGCTTTAGACTTGTAAAACTTTAGAAAAAAGAAGACTTCTGTTCCTCATTGGCCCAAGAGGGATCCTCTACTCCCAGCTCTTAAGCTGCTCCCTAATATCCCAGTCACTCACATAACATTTTACAGAGCATTTTCTGTATGTAGGTGTGTGGCTATTGCTTCTAGTTAAGAAAATTCCTGAGGGACTCTAGTCTAAAAACAATAATAAAAAGAATCAGATCATAAAAACCTCTGTTAGGTATGATTCAAAGGGAAAAAATGAGCTGTAGTGAAAGCCAATTTGAACTAGAAAGGCTTGCACTCTTAAGTAACCAGACATGTGTAGCCACTCATGTAGCTGTCTGATTACATGTTTTTAAACATCTGTCAGCACAACCAGAGCTCTGCATGCACACTCATGAGCACTGCGGAGGTTTGTTAAACTGTGCAGAAGTCTCAGAATCGGAGAGAAATGAACAGATTTCACAGGTAGAACACAAGTTATTATTGCTTCACTTAATGAAAGCTTGGGAAGTGGCTCCCAAGGCTGCGACTCATTTACTTGGATATCAATATCTTAAGGACAAAATTGGAATGAACAATAAAACCTACAGAGCCCTGAAGAAAGGGAGACATCAGAGGTACCAAGAAGCAGGAGAAACTGGAGAGCTATAGCTTAACTTGTGGCTTCAGAGCTGAAAGATGAGCCGAACTTCCCTCTTTTTGATAAAAAAAATTCAGTGACATTTTCCCACCATTAAAGCGTTTCCATCTCCAAAGTACAAATATAGTTCCTTTCAAACCTGCAGCATTTGTCCTTCCTCTGAAGACATCATCATATGCTTTCCACTGTGGCTTCACCTGGTAGGCATGGATGAACACCACGAACACCACCACGAGGCACGTCAAAGGAACAAGAGCTGCAGTGAACAAAGCAGCATAGACGTTTGGAATAAAACACCTGGAAGAGAAATGAGAAGAAGTAACTCAGACACTTTCAGCGCAAATATTTCTAAATGCAGAATGTATCACATCACTACTTTATACTAGCTCTTTGTATCCAGATGCTGGCAACATCAGATTTTTGGTTTGCCAAACTGAAGTTTTGTTTGAGTACAACATCTGATTAAATCTAGCCCACTGCTTCACACAGTAGGTTCCCTGGAACATTCACCTCTTGTAAAGTTCAGAAAACTTCAAAAAAGCTTATGGCCAAATAAATTTGAGAGATGCACACTATATACATCTCATAGAAGTTAAGGGTACATATCTGTTCATTTTAAAAAGGCCACAGAAAGTCATGGAGTCAAGAGATCTGGGCTCTGAAATCAGGCTATTAAATCCAGCACCACATCTTAAAAAAAAAGAGTCACTTTAGATATACTTTTTAACTTCTCTGAACTGTCTCTCATCTTTAAAATAAGGATTATAGGCGGGGTGCAGTGGTTCATGCCTGTAATCCCAGCACTTTGGGAGGCCGAGGCAGGCAGATCCCCTGAGATCAGGAGTTCGAGACTAGCCTGGCCAACATGGTGAAGCCCCGTCTCTACTAAAAATACAAAAAAATTAGCTGAGTGTGGTGGCAGGTGCCTGTAGTCCCAGCTACTTGGGAGGCTGAGGAGGGAGAATTGCTTGAAACCGGGAGGCAGAGGTTGCAATGATCCAAGATCATGCCACTGCACTCCAGCCCAGGTGACAGAGGGAGACTCCATCTCAAAAAAAAATTAATAAAATAAAAATAAATAAATAAAATAAGGATTATAATAGCATCTGCAACAAAAGTTAGTTGTCAAGATTAACCGAAATAATTCACATACAGCATTTAGTAAATTTTGTTTAACCCATCATTTCTAGACTTCAACGAAAATTAAACCCTTCTCCTTTTTCACACACACATGCACACACAGATACACAGACATATGGTCATGCTATAGGACTAATGTGCCCTGGAACACACTTTGGGAACCACTGATCTAGTCATGCCCAGCTTATGTTTCAAATTAGTTGGTGGATTCCAGGGAGAGTACCAGGTTCCTTTCTATTTCCTTCCTCTATTTAACCTCAAAAGAAGAAGAATGCCATCAGGATTTATGGCCATGGGGCTGATGACAAAGTCACTGTGTCCTATCAATGACTGATCATGTCTGCAGGGACCTCTCTTGACCTCTCTGGCCCCTCAGGGTAAAAGGTCACAGAGACCATTGTTGCTCCTGCATAGGAGGAGGCCAAGCTACCTGCTCTCTCCCCTCCACCCCCTCTCCCTTCTCTCCCTTTCTATTTCCTTCCCTCTCTCTCCATTTGGAGTTTTCTTCCTGGGAGGAGTTTTCTTCCTAACAGAGGAAATAAAGGATGAGGGATCATATCACCATTAGGGAGCTAATAAGAAAGCGTGAGTTTGCCTTGCTTTTCCAGCTCCAGAATCCTTTGGAAACCACAAGAGAGATGGTATTGTTTAAAGGCAAATCTGAGGATTCCCAGGGCTCCACTCTTGTCATCTCCACAATCTTGTTTTTTGAATGACTGACAGTTTTCTTATTCCTTAACTATACATTTCCCCAAGAGCCATCTATTCTCTCTTGAAAATGAAGATAATTTTTCCATTTAGAAGCTATACTGCACAATTATATTTATTATTACCAGAGTTTAGATAGGATAGTGGGGTCCAAGGCAAACTTAGATTATTTATTTATTTTGGTAATACTGAAATTATCGGCAAAATGGTTTTAGAGATATAACTAGAAATTTTTACTTATGGAACATAACATCCACTTGCGCTTTACATAAAATCTTGCATGAAAATCTCAAATGGAGGAACGTTAAACAGGTTCTCAATATCTAAAACTGCTTCTGAAGTATTCTTATAAGGGATATACCTCCAAGTTACAAGACTATACTTTCAATTACAAGAAACCTTAATAGTAAGAAGTGCCTCTTTTGAAGTATTTTCCCCACCTCCTCTATTTTTCCAAAATATAATATCTACAAACCTAGATTATGATACAGCCATAAACACTAGACTTTGAAGACAACTCAGGGGGAATCACGCATAGCCTGTTTAGAAGGAATCCAAAATATAAGTAACCAGGGAAACACTCATTCTTCTGATTTGGGAAAATAGTGTGTTAACTTTTTTTTAATAACTTCAACCTTTATTTTAGGTTCTGGGAGTCCATGTGCAAGTTTGTTACATGAGTATATTGCATGATGCTAAGGTTTGGGACATGAATGACCCCATCACCCAGATAGTGAACAAAATATCCAAGTTAGTTTTGTTATCCTTGCCCCCCTCCATCCCTTTCCCATCTATCAGTTTCCAGTGACTGTTGCCATCTTTACGTCCAAGAGTACCCAATGCTTAGCTTCCACTTATAAGTGAAAACACGTGGTATTTGGTTTTTTGTTCCTATGTTAATTTGCCTAGAATAATGGCCTCCATCCATGCTGTCGCAAAGGACATGATTTCATTTTTTTTTTTTTTTGTGGCTACATTGTATTCTATGGTTTATATGTACCACATTTTCTCTATCCAACCCAGCATTGTTGGGCACCTGGGTTGATTTCATGTCTTTGCTATTGTGAATAGTGCTGTGATGAACATATAAGTACTTGTGTCTTTTTTGATAGAACGATTTATTTTCATTTGGGTACATATCCAGTAATGGGATTGCTGGGACAAAGAGCTGTGTTCTAAGTTCGCTGAGAAATCTCCAAACTGCTTTTGACAGGGTCTGAAGTAATTTATATTCACACCAATAGTGCACATGCATTCACTTTTCTCCACCACCTTGCCAATATCTGTTGTTTTTTGGCTTTTTAATAATGACCATTCTGACAGGTGTGAAATGGTGTTTCATTGTGGTTTTGATTTGCATTTCCCTGATGATTGATGATGTAGAGCATTTTATCATATGTTTGTTGGCTGCTTGTAATTCTTCTTTTGAGAAGTATCTGTTCATGTTTTTTGTCTACATTTTGGTGGAGTTATTTGTTTTTTGCTTGTTCAATTGTATACGTTCCTCATACATTCTGGATATTAGACCTTTGTCAGATGTATGGTTTGTGAATATTTTCTCCCATTTTGAAAGTTGTCTGTTTACTCTGTTGATACTTGTCAATTTTTGTTTTTGTTGCAATTGCTTTTGGGGTCATAGTTATGAAATCTCCATGGACATTGTGCCAGGGCCTATGTCCAGAATGGTATTTCCTAGGTTTTCTTTGGGGAGTTTTATAGTTGTAGGTTATACAGTTAAGTCTTTAATCCATCCTGAGTTAATTTTTGTATGTGGTGTAAGGAACGGTCCAATTTCAATCTTTTCCATATGGCTAGCCAGTTATCCCAGCACCATTTATTGAATAGAGAGTCCTTTCCCTGTCATTTGTTCTTGTCAGCTTTGCAGAAGATCAGATGTTTGTAGGTGTGTAGCCTTTTTTTTCGGTTTTCTAACTTATTCTATTGGTCTATGTGTCTGTTTTTGTATCAGTACCATGCTGTTTTGGTTACTATAGCCTTTTAGTATATTTTAAAGCCAGGTAATGTGATGCCTCTGGCTTCGTTCTTTTTGCTTAGGATTTCTTTGGCTATTCAGGCTATTTTTTTTTTTTTGTTTCATATGAATTTTAGAATAGCTTTTTTCTAATTCTATGAAAAATGATGTTGGTAGTTTGATAGGAATAGCATTGACTCTGTAGATTGCTTTGGGTAGTATGGCCATTTGAACAATATTGATTCCTCTAATCCACTAGCTGGAATGCTTTTCCAATTGTTTGTGTCATGTATTATTTCTTTCAGCAGTGTTTTGTAGTTCTCCTTGTAGAGATGTTTCTTGTCCTTGGCCAGAGGTATTCTTAGGTATTTTTTTTTTGTGAGTGCCTCAATTTTATATTAAAAAGAAATATATTATTAAAGGCCTAACTCAGATACTAGTTCTTTTTTTTTTTTGAGATGGAGTCCCGCTCTGTCATCCAGGCTCAAGTGCAGTGGTGCGATCTCGGCTCACTGCAAGTTCCGCCTCCTGGGTTCACACCATTCTCCTGCCTCAGCCTCCTGAGTAGCTGGGACTACAGATGCCCACCACCATGCCCAGCTAATTTTTTTGTTTTTTGTTTTTTTTTTTAAGTAGAGATGGGGTTTCACCATGTTAGCCAGGATGGTCTTGATCTCCTGATCTTGTGATCCACCTGCCCTGGCCTCCCAAAGTGCTGGGTTTATAGGCGTGAGCCACTGCACCTGGCCACTCAGATACTATTTCTAATTAACATAATCTGCTTATTTTATTTCTCACGTAAACAAGGCATATTTCAAGAGATATTTCTACACATACTCTGTATCTGCAAAGGGATATAAAAATGATAAATTTCTTGGCTTTTAGAATTTAATTTTGATAGCATGAAGCCTGAATCATTACCTGAACACTCATCTGTATGCAATAAGACCTGATTCTTCCACATGAAGGGCACATGATTAAATAAAATGGGCAAACATTAATGGTCTTAATATTGAACACACTCCTGCACTAAAAACAGTGGTCATGCTGGTTACTCATTCTTATGCATATTGGCTTCAAATGGTCACTTATTTTTTTCATGTGAATTATGAATTCCATTGACAGCAAGTAGCCTAAAGATGCTTTTACAAATTCAGATACTGATGAAGAAACACAGGTAGGTTTCACTGCCTTATTTGTGTCTTGAAAAATGTCATCACAATTCAATTTGGGACAGCAAAATAGGGAAAATTACTGACTCAATTATTGAATTACTCTAGGAATATAAAGATTTTGTACAGAGTGCTATAAGAGCAGACTTTGAAAGGTGACCTCCAGCTGATGACACATCATTTTGACTAAAAAATTAAACAAGCAATGTGAACCTTTGGGAGGTTGGAAGTAACCAGACATATCCACTGCTCCACTCAGGAAGAGAAGGGAACTCTCTAAGCGCTAATGATCTTAAAAATCTCCTTTGCGGCCAGGCGCGGTGGCTCACGCCTGTAATCCCAGCACTTTGGGAGGCTGAGGTGGGCAGATCACCTGAGGTCGGGAGTTCAAGACCAGCCTGAACAACATGGAGAAACCCCTTCTCTACTAAAAATACAAAATTAGCTGGGTGTGGTGGCACATGCTTTTAATCCCAGCTACTCGGAAGGCTAAGGCAGGAGAATCACACGAACCCAGAGGCAGAGGTTGTGGTGAGCTGAGATCACGCCATTGCACTCCAGCCTGGGCAACAAGAGCGAGACTCCGTCTCAAAAAAAAAAAAAAAAAAATCTCCTTTGCAATTCTCCCTACTTATAGGATGACTTGACATTGATGGCTCATCCTTTCAGAAAAGGGGCAGGAAAATGACCCAATCCTGAAGCCATCCCCTTTTCTCCTTTTATTCAGAGCTCCACAAGTCATGACTTCTCAGAAGTAATAGGCCCCTGAGAGTACCTACTCCATGTTCATCCTCCACTTGGTCAATGTTGGGCCAGAATGTTAAGGAGGAGGGCTTGCTCCCACAGCATGCCTGTTCTCGTTGGCAGCTCCTCTTGCCTTCTTCTCTATCTACAGCATTGCAGAACTGCAGGGCCCATCCCCTTGCTCACTGCTGTCCAGCCAGGACTCCATCCCAATCTCCTTCAAACAAAAACTGCCTGCCTTGTGTACTACCTCTTAGGGTTCAGGGAGTCAGACACTGTTGTGAAACACTTAACATTTGCAAAGGAGGCAGGGATATCAGGGTAACCCATGGTGCAGATAACAAATGGGCTGCCACTCCCTGATGGTCCATGGAGAGGAGCTGGGACCAGCTATGATTCCACATCCCCAAATTATGTCTCATATACTTAACACCTTCTTGTTTTAAATTACCTTTTAACTCTTCTTTTAAAGCTGATAGGTATTATTTTCTGAGCAATACTGTCTGAATAAAATTTCTACTGCTGTATAATAAAATTTCTCCCAAATACTTAAAAATGTTCAAGATAAATGAACTATATTCTACCCTTGAGAGAAAAAAAAAGTAGCCTCGCCAACCAGAATTTCCTCCAGTCCACCCAAATTAGAGGTACAGTATATTCAGGTAGTTAGTTTGAGGATTAGAGCACATAAAGTGATCAGGGGTGTTAGGAAACTGTGAATATCATGTTAGAGTAGCTTTTGAAATAAGGCTGGGAATGAATTCTTGGAAAAACTGAATGTAACATAAGAAATAAGCAGAAAGAAGGCAATGCCCGCACCAGGGCTGTGGAAGTAGCTGATTAACGTGCAGCTATTGCTTCAAGAACACATCTGGCAGATATGAGAAGAGAAAATGAGACAACGGCCATGTGGATTTGCTTCCTTAAAAAGGTGAGGAGAATGTGTTCTCTGTAATTGCAGCTCAACCAGCTTCAAAGAACTTCAGGAATCTCTCTCTCTTCGGGTGTTGAATAGTCTTTTGGGGTCTTACAACCACATAACTTTTACTGTTCCTTTTTAAACTTTCATGGATAGATTTTCTTATTAGAACCTACAGACAATTCTAATTCACTTCAAAGTCTTGTCAGGACTTCATCCTTTTCCCTATATTTCGCCAGATGAAACAAGTAGATGCTGTTTCATTACCTTCAGTTTTTCCTCCTCTGAGTCTACCCTCGGAGCATTCCCAATGCTTTAACTCACTTTCTAATTTAGTAAGATTATTATCTCTCCTCGGTAATGCTTTATACTTACTGAAATGTTTTCACTTGCGTTACCCAATTTGATTTAAAAAAATTTTATGTGGGCGGCATGGAGTATTTCAACTTCTTTATTCCTGTCTGAAATATTCGTAAGAAGGAACTCAGAGGCAGAGGGGTCCAGGAGAGACATGAACTCCGCTTACAACCACTAAAAATACTGGAATGGATGCTGGGAACTCCCTGTGCATGAGATTGTGATTTGAGTCCATTTACATTATATTTTAAAGAACAAGTTGACCCTGGCAAACTGGAAAATCTGAAGGAATCCAGGCAGCTGGACAGCCAGGTTACATCTGGGTTACATAGGTAATGAAAAGGACCCAGGTAGTGAAAGGACAATAAATGTTTCCAAGGTCTTCTTTGTGAGTACTTCTAAGACAAGGATAATAGTCATGATTCACAGGCTCATGTGCCAGCCTCCCTCAGAGGTCTCCTGAGTATTTCTTCAATGATAGCCTCTACATTAAAAGATACATTTGTCACTTCAACTTTTTCTTCTCTACATGGAAATTCATAGTGATGACCTACTTTATATGGGGAGTACATGGGATGATCTAGCAATCAAGAATTGTTCACCATTTATCACAAACTGGTTTCTAATTTGTATAGAGAGTACAGTATATCTGCTTATTGGTTTTATTAGTTGAAGAATACAGATGTTATTAATTCTGTAGATGCTTATCCTTTATAAAGTCTAAGACACTATTTATGATTTCAATATTCCTTTCCTTGTATACTCAATTTACATTCTTTCCAAAGATAACGCTCTTATTTAACATACATTTTTATTCGCCTGTGAATTTATGCATGCATGCATTGTGTGTGTACGTATTTCCTGGTCAATCCAAAATGGCTGGAAAGACTTAGAGAAACACTTTAAGCACATTAATTTTTTTAAAGGAATAAATTTATGAAAACATCAGAGAAAAGGAGAAATACAGCTTGGGTTTAAACAGTTGTAAGGTAGGAAAATATATTCCTCTTCCTGTCTTTCTGTTGTAGAGCATACAGCAATTTTCATATCCAGGGGAATCAACTACATTCTAAAATGCATTTTTGTTTAAGTTTATACTTTGAACAACATCAAGATTAAACTACAGATAATCTCTACAAAGTGAAATGGAACATTAAGAAAGCAAAGAGAGGGAGAGGGGAACAGTTTTTCCTAAACTGGACTGGCTGGATAATTAAGACTAATTAAGTATTACTACTACCACTACTACTACTGCTAGCAATCATTTACTGTGTGCAGGGTATGAAACCCAATCCTCACATGCATTATCCCACTGAAACATAACTAGAACCCATTATTGTTATGTATATATGGGGAAAATAACACCTAAATTATAAAACGTCAAATTGCTAGGACTATAAACAGGCTCACTGGCCTTCACTGTACCTCTACAATTTGACAATTATTTCCACAATTCCAGTATAGACATATTCAAGTTAGTGGTAAATATGCCAGTGTTCTTTTGAGGACAGGGACTGTAACATTTTCTTTACATTTCTCCCAGGGCTTTGCACAATCAGATCCTTAAGAAATGCTTATTGATTTAACTGGTTCTTAGCAGTTTTTGAAAACCTCTCACTTAAAAATATGGCATAGAAAATCCTGTATTTCAAGTGTCCTCAGCTCAATCATAATCCAATCAACATTTAAATATCAATCACATACCAGCTACAGTGCTGGGCATGGAAGGGCATATAAAGATGCCTAAGGCATGGTCACTCCTATCAGGTAGAATATATTTACAATAAATGCACAGCACTTCTGAATCTAGTCTTCTACTGGAATTTGTGTTGTTCTTCCATCAGCATCACCACCATCACCACCACCACCACCACCACCACCACCAGCTCCCCTATGGAGCTCCTGAATCTCATCTGCAGTTTCACAAGTTTCCCAGGTGTTTCCTATGTGTATTAATCCTGTTTAGAAAACAAAGTGCACCTCACTGCCAGCCTCATTTAATTTTACATAAACATGTTCTTTGAGGCTGAAGCAAATTTGACTGATTTTCAATGTGAAATGAAAACATAAAAACTGTTCTTGGAGTTATTTCTAAACAGAACTAACATCAGAATCATCTGAATCATCAGAATCTTCTATTTTGGAAAAATCTGATTCATCAAATGAATCTTCCGCCAACTGTTCCAAAATGATGTTAACATCATGCGTAGGAATGCTTCATGTTCTAGGATTTGACAATTTAAACGATAGGGAATTACTATATATTGTAAATGAAAATACCACTACTAAAAATAGAATGCTATGAATAGAATTATGTCTTTTGTTTCCAAAATCCATATACTAGACAGATATGAAAATAATAAAAGCGAGATATTTTGTGGCGAAGTTATCTTGGGGTAAACACTGTAGCCACGAGCACCGCTGCCAGGCATTCTTGGAGCAAACAGGAAAAGGGTTTAAAGTTTGAGAAAAACAGTTGGTGCAGTGGCTCATGCCTATAATCTCAGCACTTTGGGAGGCCGAGGTGGGCAGATCGCTTGAGCTCAGGAGTTCAAGACCAGCCTGAGCAACATGGAGAAACTCCATCTCTACAAAAAATACAAAAATTAGCCAGGTGTGGTGGCACCATGCCTGTGTTCCCAGTTTCTCGGAGGGTGAAGTGGGAGGATCGCTTGAGCCCAGGAGGTGGAGGTTGCAGTGAGCCAAGATCGTGCCACTGCACTCCAGCCTGGGTAACAGAGTGAAACTCTGCCTCAAAAAAAAAAAAAAAAAAAAAAAGTTTGAGAAACACTCTTCTAGCACACTCTTTAGACATAAAGTAGCTTAACCTAATTAACTAGTTAATCTTTACATCTCTTTGGTAGGGAGCCAAGGGGCTATGGAACTCCAAAAAGAATCAGACAGAGATTTCACAGCACATGGTGGTCACAACAGCCTGAAGAACCAGCAAGAAAGAAAAACAGCTGAAAGCAAAAGGGATAGAAAAACAGAGATCTGTGATATTTAGAAGCCTGGGCTGTTCAGATGCAATGTTCAGAAGCAATCTGAATGTTGCAGAAAAGGAGAGCTAGCAGTAAAGTGACAGAGGATACCGCAGATCTGCAGACTGGCCAAACGAGATGGGAAGGAAAGTGCTGGGGTGCAGTGGGTGTGCTACGACGTTAATATTCAGTTCTGCTGCATCTAAACAGCTGTTGAAGGAATAAGGTTTCTGTGTGAGTGCAACAGACATATTCCACAGTGACCTGTGCTACTCAAAGTTTCTGGAAAGGGGGACCCCTGTGCTACATCCTCCACCCCCACTCTCCCAGCCACAGATGACTAGTTCTGAGATGAGCACCTGCCTCAGAGACAACGATTCTTGCTTGCCCCTGACTTATAATTTGGTGACTCTGCTCTAAAAGCTGAGCTGAGCCAATCTGTCTTTTGCCCTTGAGAATTTGACAGGGACAGTTGCACATTATTGGTGGACACTAGAGTTGATGTCAGGGCAAATGGCCATATTGGAGCAAACAAACAAATCTTCAGAATAAATGAACAGAGAAAGGGGAAGAGGAAGCAAGAGAAAAGGGGAGAGAAGAAGAAGAGGGTTCAGATGCAAGTAACAACACACAAATGAGAGACTCTGTGGTCTCTAAAAGAAGAACAATGTGGCTCTGGTTTCTAGCATGCTAGTTCTAGGTTTCCTGAGGTCCAACTGTACCACTTTTGAATATCCACGGGAATGCCTGTGGTATACTGCTATACTCCCACCCCCCTTCAACTTGAAATAACTCTTGTGGATTTACCTGCAACTACAATGACCATAGTTAAAACATAGCTAGTGAGCAAGTGATAGAGAGAAAAAGGGAGTGAACACACAACTATTCTTTAAACAACATTGCTCTTGAAGATGCACAGGATCACTATCATGTCTACCTGTTTTAGAGCACACTCCACACCATGGTGAGAATTGCTAACTAACTCTACATATTGACAAATCCCTCAAAAAATGCCAAAGGACCAAGGAACAAGAATTGGGCTCATTTTTAAGTGCTTAAAATGTACTTATATGCTTATATTGCTTGAAAAGATTGAGGAAAGAAAAATGGACACATTACAGCAATATTATTTCATCTAATTCGAAAAGAGCAGGTATTTGATTTCATTTGATATTAAACTAAGATTTTGAAGTAGTCAGATATACTGGCTACATTAAAATACCACCTTATATTGTAAATAATTAGCTCTTGGTTAATAAGGAAGAATTGCCCACATCCCTGGCTCATTAAGGAGTTAAATATATTTACATATAATTCCAAAGGCAAATAATGGACTCCAACTATTAGTAGGTTAAAGTCTTTTTCCAAGAAACTCAAGTCTGAGCAGCCTGTTCCCTAAGCAACTTGATAAAACTGCTGAAATAAATCCACTGGACACCGCTTGCCAACTTCATTCCAGGTAGGTTCCAGTGAATCAAGCCCCATCAGCATTTCATCAGAATAAGGTCAGGCTGACTTGTTATTTTTTGTATGTATGAATGCTCTATGTTCTCTCATAAAACAAAATTGTTTGGTACTGGAAAATATCGTTGTCCTAGAGTATTCAAGGTGTCCTGTTCTTACCTCTTGCTCCAAAAAGAGGGCAAAAGGTGCCTGGAAAGAAAAGGCTGGTTACCTAATGATTTTCTAGAAAAGGGAGAGTTTCTAGCCTTTCAGAGCCTGCATTCTGGATGGGTCTATGCCCAATGAGTGTCACTCTTGGCCACTATTCATGTTGTAGATGTCTGACTGGCAAAAAAATCCTCACAGCAATGGTTTGATTCCTCAAAAGGGCAAAAATCATTTTGTAGAAGGATAATTAAACGTTTAATTATTCATCACATTTTAGAGAACAGTAGCCACATTACACTGACCTGGAAATTAGCCCCATATGTGGCTTTATGTGATAGTTACAAATGCTCCAAGAAAAAACTTCTAGAGCATCCCCTGCAGGGGTGAACATTCAGTCACACCCATATTTGCCATCTTTAGTCACATTAACATTTGCAGCACATTGCAATAACTGGTGATCCTAAATAACTTAAAACCATTAAGAAATCATCGGTTAAAGTTAGTCATACTCTGTTTAAAATACACTATACATTTCTTTGCACTATTATTAAAATTTTAATCATGAAATTCTGGAAATAGTAAGGTAACTTTCAATTATTAAGAAAACAGTGGCTTGGTGTGGTGGCTCATGCTTGTAACCTCAGCACTTCGGGAGGCTGAGGTTGGGGGATTTCTTGAGGCTAGGAGTTTGAAACCAGCCTTGACAACATGGTGAAACCTCGTCTCTATTAAAAAAAAAAATATATATATATATATATATACACACACACATATAAAATTGCCAGGCATGGTGGAGTGTGCCTGTAGTTCCAGCTACTTGGGAGGCTGAGGTGGGAGGATGGCTGGAGCCATAATCATGCCACTGCACTCCAGCCTGGGCAACAGAGTGTCTCAAAAAACCAAACAAACAAACAAGCAAAAGAACCAAAACTGCTGCCCCGCCCCCCAGCAACAAACAAACAAACAGCAAGAAAACAGTGACAGTGTGAGTAGATGAGGTTATATGTCCATCATTTTAAGGTTATTATCTTAAGTTGTAGATGACTTATGTCTCAAATCCAATACTCAGCTCTGTTGCAGAGCCCATTTCAATCCTGGTATCCTAATTTTTTAATTGAATAAATATGTAAGGACGTTGGTGTTTGCTGTGTAATGGGTTAGTACATAAAAATGTACTAAGATATCTAAACCCTAAATATGCTCATATTGGATTGTTGCTAGTCTATGATGTTACTATTAATTAGTATTTATTTATCATTTTTATGTGTCCTGCAATGTTACAGTTAAAACTGGAAACTTAAGAAATGTAAAAGGCCAATATGCAAGGGATATTTGATAAATGTTAAAAAGAAATATGGGCCAAAAATCTGGAGAAAACTTGAGATAGAGGTCATGAATTAATTTCAGAAGAGGAAAGTAAAACTAAAAGGAAATACAGGCTAAAATTTTATCCACTTTATGGGGAATTCCCAATATTGAGGGGGAAATGACACATTTCACTTTCCCTGAAGCTTTGAAGTGGTAAGAATTAGATCATACATATGTAGAGGCAACATTTTAAAAGTCCCAATTTGAACTGCCCTAAACTAGACACGTCTAATGAGCTAGATAGACAGATGTCAAGAGAGCTCCTTTATGATTTTTGTAAAGAAGCTTCTCAAAAGAAAATGATCTTGCTGTTGAGGGTATAATGTAGGGGGAAGGACAGAGTGAGGAGAAGCCTTTTACTGATGGGTTAGAATAATTCTGCTTGCAAAAAAAATACTGGTAATAATGAAGGCTCTGAGGCCAGATATTTGGAAGGATCCCAGGTACACCTCTTATTGACTTTGCAACTATGTAGCTTCTCCACATACTCAGTATGTAGCTTCTCCACAGCTCAGTTTTCCAAAAAATAAAATAGGGAAAACAATGGCATCTACCTTACAAGAGTGCAGTGAGAACCAAATGAGTGAATACATGTAAAGGTCTTGGATCAGAGGCTGGCATGCCGTAGGTACTCAATAAAAGATAACCATGATCACTGTCGTCTATTGCTAAGCCCAAATCCTCCTATGTATACAGTATACAAGATTTAATTTGCATTAAAAAAGAGAAGATACCAAATAGTAGAGAGGAAAGTGTGAACATTCATCACATTTATTTATGTGTCAGAGAAAAGTGCTGTGCAGTATGAGTTCAGTGAAAGAAAACAGTGCCTCAGTTGGGGTAGTCAGGAGACTTTGTGGAAGAGGCAGGTGAAATCAGCTCTTTCTCTCTTGAGTTCTTTACCGATCAGCAGGTGTGTAAGGTGACTCAGTCATGCAATTATGATTGTCTGCCTGTGTCCACAGCACGTCCGCATGAGGGGAAGGAGGAAAACTTTCCCTTTGCTACTTTTCCTCATGACTCATGTGTGTTTCTGCAAAATCAGTGTTGAAACTTGGTCCAATTTGAAAAGTCAAGGTAATGATGGGTCATTCAAAAAGAGGCACGTAATAAGGAAGCCCAACATGACACCATCACACCACCAGTGACTGACAAACCAGTCTGGCCAGTGGTGTTAGCAGCAGTAAATTGACTATTGGTTCAGGGGCTTTTCTAGGGATTTAAACTTAGGGTTTCTTATCTTCCATACTACTGTCCCACTCCCACAAAGCTTCCAAAAAGAGGGCAAAAGATGCCAAAAAAAAAAAAAGGTCAATTACCTAACGATTTTATGGAAGAGGGAGGGTTTCTAGCCTTTCAAAGCCTGCATTCTGGATGGGGTGACTGCTGGAAGATCTCAGTGTTGACTATTGGAATGCAGGCCACTATTAATATCCCTGCCATTCTGAGCTGCCCATTAGAAAGATAACAGCACTTCCTTCTTTAAAAAATAAGTTCCTTCATTGAATCTGAGCACTAGAAGGGATAGTAGAGGTCATGCCACCCTCCCTCCAGCATGATGGGTGAAGAAACCAAGTGCAAGGACTTCTGAGGCCTGCCCAGCACCTGACTGTTTAAACTCCTGGTCAGTGCTATAATGAGGCTTCTCAGCGTAAGTCAGACTCCATGGAAAAATAACCTAAAATGTTTTCAGGGACCATATTCTGCAAATAATCTAAAATCCCTTGTTAAGCAAATGTCTGAAACATTTTATTCTTTGCATATGCATTCCCAGGGGTTAGGGGACTATTGAATAAATCAAGTGTTTAGTGAACATCACACTAAACATGCTCATTCCTAAGTATAATACTCACTAGTAATACCTGGGCAGCACAGACACACGTATTCCTTCCATAAAACAGTTTTCAAAGACACCACACATCAACATTTTTGCATAATACAAAAATTCATGTAAAATAATACAACTAATTCCGTTAGAAGGAGAGAGAGCAAAGCTAGGAGGAAAGAGCAATGAACCCAAACCAACATTCTGTCACTCACAATCCCCTCTCCCACCAAGGCCCTTTCCCCATCCAAAAAAAATTGGCTTCAGTTGAAAAATATTTTATCATAAGGAATTTATTTTTGTCAACAGGATGTTCCTGTTATTTTCAAGTCTTGTAGTTTCAACAACAGGATTTCAGGGCAGTGAAATAAAATAGGAACAGCAGAGTAATTTGAATTTCTGAGCATACTCATGCATGTATAAGAAAAGTCCAAATAGTCTAAAACTGGCTTTAAACAATGTAAGGCTGTCTCCTTATGCACTTTCTAAATTTCTTCTCATTAAAAAAATGATGATCTAATAGACAGTAAATATTTTTGACTGATATTCTTAAGTTTTTAATTGTAGCCAAACTTCTTAATTGTGGAGCTGGGCCAGCTAATATCTTCAAACACTTCCCTTTATGATGGTACAATAGTTTATTTGTTCTTTTCTTTATTTTTTTTCTTTCTTCAAATAAATCTTGCATGTGCTACAAAATGGAAATAATTTAAAAACACACTGAAAATTCAAAAGTGTGATATCCATCCCATTTGGGAAGGTATCATGTGCTTTTAAACAACACAATTTTCGTAAAGGTCAGGGCTGCTCTTCCTTACTCATATAGTTGGCCTATTACCTAGGTGTGTGGAGAGGAGTCAGGAGAAAATATTAGGTTGGTACAAAAGGAATTTCCATTGTTGGAATTTGCCATTTGATAATGGAATACATTCTTAAATAAATGTGGTTATATTATACATCATTTTAGTGGGCATTTCTCGATTTATGGTTTTTTTGCTAATGACTTATTACTTGCTGTTTGTTTTATGTTTATTTTAGACTATGGAGATTATGTTAGACAAAAAGTAAATTCGAGCGATTTTCTTATTCTAGTTCAAAATATCTCATAAAGCAGTGGAGACAACTTGCAACATCAATAATGCATTTTGGCCCAGGAGTGGCTAACATATGTACAGAGCAGCGGTGGTTCAAGAAGTTTTGCAAAGGAGACGACAGCCTTGAAGATAAGAAGCCTAGTGGGCAGCCATCGGAAGTTGACAATGACCAAGTGAGAGCAATCATCAAAGCTGATCCTCTTACAACAACACAAGACGTTGCCAAAGAACCCAATGACGACCATTCTACTGTCATTGGGCATTTGAAGCAAATTGGAAAGGTGAAAAAGCTGGATAAGTGGGTGCCTCATGAGCTGACTGAAAGAAAATTCAAAAAAAAAATTGTCGTTTTGAAGTGTCATCTTCTCGTATTCTATGCAACAACAATGAACCATTTCTCAATCGGATTGTGATGCGCGATGAAAAGTGGATTTTATAGGACAACTGGCGATGACCAGCTCAGTGGTTGGACCGAGCTCCAAAGCACTTCCCAAAGCCAAACTTCCACCAAAAAAAAGGTCATGGTCACTGTTTGGTGGTTTGCTGCTGGTCTGATCCACTACAGCTTTCTGAATCCTGGCGAAACCATTACCTCTGAGAAGTATGCTCAGCAAATCGATGAGATGCACTGAAAACTGCAACGCTGCAGCTGGCATTGGGCAACAGAAAGGGCCCAATTCTTCTCTACAACAATGCCCAACCACACGTCGCACAACCAACGCTTCAAAAGTTGAATGAATTGGGCTCTGAAGTTTTGCCTCATCTGCCATATTCGCCTAACCTCTCGCCAACCGACTACCATTTCTTCAAGCATCTCGACAACTTTTTGCAGGGAAAATGCTTCCACAACCAGCAGGATGCAGAAAATGCTTTCCAACAGTTCATCAAATCCAGAAGCACAGATTTTTACACTACAGGAATAAACAAACTTATTTCTTGTTGGCAAAAATGTGTTCATTGTAATGGATTCTATTTTGATTAATAAAGATGTGTTTAGTTATAAAATGATTTAAAATTCATACTTTTGCACCAACCTCTAAATTAAAGACTTGCTTAAAGATTCTGTTGCCTGTTGTCACATAGAACAGAGACTAATCTCACTGGGTTGGATTATGTGTGGAAATACACCAAAACTCACCACTGTCTGGGTCATTCTGAAGTGAAGAAAAGAACATGATAATTTCACAAAACAGTGAGAAAGTGAAGAGCTTACCGATGTGAACTCTGAATCAGATAGCCCTGGCTTTGAGCACCAGCACTGCTTTTTAATAGCTTTGTGACTATGGGTGAAAGAAATTACCTGTCTGAGCCTCATTAGCCTTATTTGTAAAATATAAATAAAATCTATTTTTTCCCCCATAAATTTGTTGTGAGGGATAAATGAGGTAATCAAAGTGCTTAGCATATACCTAGCATGTGATAAGGAGTCAGTAAAGGACAGCCATTATTATCATTAACTTTAGTATGCAAATTGGTTTAATTTCTTTGCTGTAACACTGTAATGTCTACTCATGTATAGAAATCATATATGACACTTAACTGTATTCATATTTCATTTTACATGCTATTCAAATGTTTGGTTAATATATATATATATATATATTTGCAACAGCAAGCTTATCAGAGGTCTTAATCCACAAAGTTGTCATCACCTCTAATCCAGTGTCTAATACCATTTCTCAGAAGAGCAAACATTTCCTTTAGAGCACTTATAGCAGTGAGTTAAATGTGAAGGCTCTGGGTTGGTGCTCAGTCATTTGAAAGCAAGAAAAACTTACAACCTTTTTATAATATGTGTTTAAATGTTTATTCGGTTCTGTCAAGGTAACTCAAAACTGTCTACAGTAAATCCTACGTGTAAAATCACAGAAAGGGGAAATGGTAATTAAGCCTTCATGTTGGGATGTAGATTACTTACCTACTCAGGGATGTGTTCTTTATGGTTGCTGTTTTGATAGGTGGGGAAGCACACTCAATCTCAGTGGCCTCCTCTATTGTGACTTTGAAGATGAGGCAGTTCTATTAAAGGTTCTGCAGTGGTTTGAATGTTTGTATCTTCCCAAAATTTACATGTTGAAATCCTAACCCCCAACGTGATGGTATTAGGAGGAAGGGCTTTGGGGGAGTGATTAGGTCATGAGAGCAGAGCCCTTATGAATGGGATTAGAACTCTTATAAAAGAAGCCCAAGACAGGCCCTTGCCTTCCTGACAAGGGAGGTTATAGCAAAAAGATGGCTGTCTATAAACCAACATGGGATCCTTCTGCCAGTGCCTTGATATTGAACTTCCCAGCCTCCAGAACCAAGAGAAATAAGTGTCTATTATTTACATGCTACCTGGTCTATGGTATTTTGTTATAGTATCCCAAATGGACTAAGACAGGCTCCTAACATGTTACTTCAATATCCAGGCAGCAGTAAATAGCATCCTCATGATTTTTTGCCCCATACTTTCCTCTTCAGCAAAGAGGGACTAGATCTTTTTTATGCTTCTTTATTATTTCTACAAAACACAAAAGATTAACTGATGTGCCTAAAAAAGGTTTTAAGTTGCTTATAAAGTTGCTCAACATAAAAAAATTAAAAATGAGAGAAATGAGGCAAAAAAGAAATAAACTAGGATTGAACTAGGAGTGGGGTATCAAAATGCTATCTGCTAATAATAGGTTATACATTCATCCCGGTTTGCTCTCTTTAGCAGCTGTTTCAGAGTCTTTGTCTCTCTCTCTCTCTCTCTCTCTCTCTCTCTCACACACACACACACACACACACACACACACAAACACACACAGAGTAGTTGAAATGAAGCACAACTTTCAGTATGAAAGCAGCAGGGCTATTGTGCCATATAATGGACAAAATTCTTGATCTTATGCTAACGGAAAACCCACTACTGACTTCTACATGACTGCTATTCATTATTCATTCATTGTATATGCATTTATTAAGCAGTAACTATGTGCATGCTATTTGCTATGCTCTGGACATACAGTGATGAATAAGACATGCTTCCTGAGCTGGAGATCAGAGTTTGGTATGGAGAAGAGGCTCACACTATGCAGTAACTTAGACAGTGTTTTAAATGTGATAGCAAAACCACCTGGAGTTTGGCTGGAGCGCAAGGAAAGGAGTGAATTATTATGTGCAGGGAAGTTAAGACAGTGAAATCTTATTTGCCAAGAACGAGATGAGATTAGAATCAAGAAGGACATTTGTTACTTTAACAATATGAAAATGAATTGGACAGTCTTGGGAGAACTATATTCTCTTTCTGGACAATGGCAAAGAAAAGAAACGCTCAAAAATTTCTCAACTTTGTTTCCTGTTGGTTCAGGAATCATCTGTGCACTTAAAAAGGGAAGCAGGGCTTGAGATTTTCAGGAAGATAACAATTATGATTAATCTTTGTTTCTCTGGGGCCATAAAACTTTCAAGGTCAAGGATTTGTATATGTGCTCTGATTCTGAGGGGTAGGGACCACAATTAATAAACACATAGAATTAAAATAAAGGCTTGAGGGTCCAAAGATACAAGGACTGTGCATTTTACTAATTTTAGAAAAAGGGCCTAGAGAGACTGAGTGACATATATCATTTTGTAACCCCTCCAATAAAGACTGTGTGAAGGGTGATTGCAGAGGAAAGCCCAAGAGAGCTGTAATATAAGGATTTCAAAAGAACCCCAGACAGTTTAGCAATCAGAGCTACATTAGGAAGGAAGCAGTGATTAAACCAATGTTCCCTTTGGAGGTCCCTTCAACCCAATGAAAATGACAAGGAATGAACCATAAGATCAAAGCTGAGTGGAGGGGCCTTAGGAAGTGTAGTAGAGGTAAAATAATTCACCACGCCCTGAAAAATTCCACTTTCCTTTATTAGCCTGCAATGAATCAAAACTTAACAGCTGAAGAAAGCATTAATATTGAGTAGATCAGCAAACTGAAGAATACTATAGAAGCATGTTTCTGGGGGGAGGAGAGGCCTTTGATACTGTTTATTCCCTGACTTTTTTAATCTAAATTTGCCCTTTATTGATACAGAAAAGTTTCTCTTAAACTACAACTGGACTGTGACATAGACATCTTTAACAAGCCTCAGGATACTTAAAATGCTAGGTCTAGGCTGGGCGTGGTGGCTCACACTTGTAATCCCAGCACTTTGGGAGGCCAAGGCGGGTGGATCACCTGAGGTCAGGAATTCGAGACCAGCCTGACCAAGGTGGTGAGACCTGTCTCTACTAAAAATCCAAAAATTAGCCAGGCGTGGTGGTGGGGGCCTGTAATACCAGCTACTCGGGAGGCTGAGGCACGATAATCATTTGAGCCCGGGAGGTGGAGGCTGCAGTGAGCTGAGATCACTGTGCCACTGCACTCCAGCCTGGGCGACAGAGCAAAATTCTGTCAAAAAAAAAAAAAAAGAAATATGCAGAGGTTTTCATTTTTTTCAGTGCTATCAACAAAACAGTGCTATTAACAAAACACTACAATCCATTCAGTAAATGCTACTACAAAGCAATTTTGGAAAGTTAGATTCTAAAATACACTTTTTTTTTTTTTTAGAAGAAATGTTCAAGAAAACATGGAAGGTATCAGGCTATCACACAACCTAAGATTTGATGTCTTATTTCTTGTAGCTCCCTTTCTTCAATCCTTATAAAAACTCACTGCAGAGACCCTAATGTTAAGGCTTATATTTGCTTAAAGTTCAAAGTGGAGCACTGCCTCTAGATTAACTATTGAAAAGAAAAAGAAAAGGAGATTAATTTTAAAAAAGAAAAACCAATAAGTTTGTTCTCTAGTTTTGGCTGTAATAATTATTAAATAAATAGTGCCAAAATACAGATCAAATAAAGTCACAAGTGGTCTTCAGTCTATGGTTAGCTAAAATGAATATCGTAAACAGGATATTCTTCCACCTTTTATATGAAAGAAGTTTTTATATAGCAAACATAAGGTGAATTGTTAATGACATCAGAGTGAGGTTCTCATCATTGTAAAAAAGTCCACTTACATAAACAAGGATGCCAAATATAGATGCTCATTGGGATGTAACCCCATTTTAAGTCAAAAATATCCTAAGTAGATCAAGACCATCCTGGCTAACGTCGTGAAACCCCATCTCTACTAAAAATACAAAAAAATTAGCTGGGCATGGTGGCGGGCACCTGTGGTTCCAGCTACTCGGGAGGCTGAGGCAGGAGAATGGCATGAACCCGGCAGGTGGTGCTTGCAGTGAGCCGAGATCGCGCCACTGCACTCCAGCCTGGGCGACAGAGTGAGACTCTTCCTCAAAAAAAAAAAAAAAAAAAAAAAAAAATCCTAAGTCAAAATGCATTTAATACCCCTAACCTACTGAACATTATAGCTTAGCCTAGCCTACCTTAAATATGCTCAGAAAACTTACGTTAGCCTACAGTTGAACAAAGTAATCTAACACAAGCGTATTTAATAATAAAGTGTTTTATATCTCATGTAATTTATTAAATACTATACTGAAAGTGAAAGAATGATTGTATGGGTACTCAAAGTACAGTTTCTACTGAATATATATTGCTTTTGTATCATTCTAAAGTTGGAAAACTGTTTAGTTGAATTATTGTGAATCAGGGACTTCCTGTATAATATTTAGAAGTTGAATATATTTAAAACATGCATATAATCAGTATCTTCAGTTTATGGGATGAAATTCATACATTTAAAAGTCTGGGTGCCATAAGGAGCCTTTTAGGGTTTTTGGATTCTGTATCTCATGTTGTGCTAAGTTTATATGCAATCTTTAGTTTAATCTTCACAAGAAATCCATAAGACAAGCATTAATTTTAATCTCCATTCCTTCCTGACTATTGAGCATTGGCTATAGGTCAGAAAATGTTCGAGGCTCCAGGGTTAGAGAAGTGAACAACCGCAGCTGCAAAAAGTCCTTGCCCTCCTGGAGCTTACATTCTAGTGGATATCACTTTGTCTGGATCCTTTTGAAATATTTAATTTTATTTTTCAAGACAGGGTCTCACTCCATCACCCAGGCTGGAATGCAGCAGTACAACTGCATCTCACTGCAGCCTCAACCTTCTGGGCTCAAGCAATCCTCCCACCTCAGCTCCTGAGTACCTGGAACCACAGGCACACACCACCATGCCTGGCTAATTTTTAATTTATTTTGTAGAGCCAGGGTCTCTCTATGTTGCCAAGGGTGGTCTTGAACTCCTGGGTTCAAGCAATCCTCCTACCTCAGCCTCCCAAATTCTTTTTAGTCTAACCTTGTTCAGAGCTAAGTTATTAGAAAGACTTTTTTAAAAAACAAAAAACTGTCTTTTAAACCCAAGCCAGAATCCAACACAGATACCTGAAATACAGAAAATATGAAAATGCATACAAATAAATACATACTATACCTGATATTGATAATGATATCAACAATGCCATGATGGAAAAATAAAATAGGATAAGGACATTGTGAAGTGCTGAGAATTGTTAATTTTATATGAAAGGGTCAGAGGCACAAAGTACACTATTTAGAAGCCAAACTGAGATTTGAGATTTCCTACTACCAAATCAGGGAGCTAGACCGCTGATGTCTCTTTCAGAACAACGGGAAAAGATATACTGAATTAATATTGCAGTGTTCTTATTAACATGCTGTTGTTTCAAGCAAATTAATGCTAGTCCTCAAATGTCAAGATACCACCCAAGGAATACCTTATCCAACTGGAAAAGAGTCCTAATGCTTTATTTCCAAAAAATGTAGACCCTTAGTGTCAGCACAAGTACCCAGATTGGTATAGTTAATTATTTTTCTAATTCCTTACCAGCAGGATCTGGAGGAGGACATCTGGAATTCTCCCTGGCAGGCCCGCACATGACTCATGTCAGAGGAACAGTTGCATTAGATAACTGATAAGTCTGTAAATTTTTATGAGGTGTTTCCAAACCTCACATACAGTTGTCCCTCAGTATTTGTGGTGCATTGATTCCAGGGCCTCCTGCAGATACCAAAATCTAAGGATGCTCAAGCCCTAAAGTTGGCCCTGTGGAACCCGTAGCACTGTATTGTCATTCTTGCTTACAACCAGTTTGTTTCTTTCATCTAAAGCACTCCCCCTTCAAAAATAATCAAGATACACTGGTTATGTGAGCTTTATATTTGTCTGAGATTGCCATTTTTCTTATGAAAATTCATTTCATTTGGTTATAGTCATCCCTTAAATCCCAGTGTTTGCCTAAACACAAGCTATCCAGAATTACATTGAGTGATAATATTTGTCTTGATTTTGAATTAATATAAAGGGCAACAAGTGTCCAGGTATGGCCATTTAGTGTAAAATTCGTGTATTTAGTTAAGTATTTAATCATTTATTCCAAATGGGCTAACTTGTTCCAAGTAGATCACCATATGGAAAGTTTTAAGACTTTTTTTAAAATGCTGAAATAATCTGCTGTTATCCTAACTGTAAGGTCCACTGAGCCTAGACTTAACTATTTCAAAAGAATGAAGTAGACATCCTGGATCATCAGACAATGCATTTAAACAGAGACTTGGCCTGACAAATCCATAAACAAACATGTGAATTTATGGGGATAAACCAGTGACAAATCCATAAACAAACACAAGCTTTATGAGAATAAACCAGTGCTGTGTCACATAAACTCTAGGGTAAAGGAGAAAGGTTTACTAGTTTACCTAGAAATTATTCTTAAATCTTTAAACCATATCACTTTTTAAGATATATTTTGTTAACATGGATAATTATCAATTGGTTCAGTTCAGTGGTCTTGGTTTATTTTTTTTTTTTAAGGAAAAGCAGAATGCATGATAAATATAGGCTGCAATATGAAAGTCACACCAATAGGCCTGGGTTTTTAGATAAATTGGTTATAATCCGGTCACCATCACCCATCTACAGGTGACTTAATGGAATTGTAGGCAAAGTAACTAGAGTCAAATAAACTTCTGTTAGTGTTGCCTAACTACTGAAGATGCAAAAAAAGCTGTATCTTTTTTGCGACTTTCATTTATTTAAGTCACTTTACAAAAATTGATAGATCTTGCTGTTAAACTGGAAGTTTTGATCAAGAACCTAAGGCATCAGGTATCGAAGTAAGCTGGAAGACAGAAAGCATCAGAGCAACTTGTGAAACTACGTGGCTGAGAACAGGCTAGATATCTTTACATGTCAAAGGAAAGAGAGAAAGAAAGTCAGAAAGAGAGAAAGAAAGTTTAGAAAAGGAAAGGATTAGTTTTATTTATTTATTTTTTTGGCATGCACTTGTATAGGAAAAAGAGAGAACAAGATACCTACAATTGTGCTATGTAGAAGTAACTGTGTGTCCCCTGGAGCTGAGGGGAAGGGATGAAGAGTTCTGGTTTTGACCCTCTTTGGAAAATCTCCAGTGTGAGAGAGAGGCTGGCTTGCTACTCTAGCAGCAGGCTAGAAAAAGAGGTGGTTAGGTTGGGTAAACTTGCACTTCAAAAGTTTATTGGGCCAAAGTGTTGCACAGATTTATCTGGTACATTGCACAAGAGAAAGCTAGAATAATATGATCCTAGTTCTTGTCTGATAGAACCTTCTGGAAGGGCCATTAGGCCTCAGCAGAGACAGGCAGAAGGTACTGAGTTGCTAGAGATTGTGCAAATCATAAGCAACTGTCCAGAGGATGGCAGCCAACTTATGACAGTACCAATCAAATAAATGTGCCAGTATTTTCCTGCCTCTCTTCCATATTCTTCCTCCCCATGTTCCAACCCAGAAGAGACAGAAATAAAGATTAATTAGCAGAAGTGTAAAGAGGCAGGGAAAAAGAGGCTAACCACACGCTCTTCCCTATTCATAAACTTTATGCCTTAGTAAGTCCTTGCTGTTGGAAGGATAGTAGTTTTAACTAAATAAAGTTAGCTACTTTGACAATCCCATGGGACTAGATTTTTAAATAATTGCGTCAAGACTATCTTTGTGATTTACAGTAATCACAAGGCTTTCTATTTCCAAAGAATTATTAGAGGTTTCAAGAAGTTTTCTAAGGTTTTATTCAGTGGCAGAAGACTTCTTTCATTGAATAAATTATAAAGAAACAACCAGTGACAAAATAGTATCACTTTATGATTAGACCTCATGAATCCTAACACATTAGTCACACTGTGATGGTTAATACTGAGTGTCAACTTGTTTGAAGGATCAAAGTATTGTTATTGGGTGTGTCTGTGAGGGTGTTGCCAAAGGAGATCAACATTTGAGTCAGTGGACTGGGAAAGGCAGACCCTAACCTTCATCTGGGTGGGCACAATCTAATCAGCTGCCAGCATAGCCAGAATAAAAGCAGGCAGAAGAACATGGAAAGATGAGACTGGCTTAGCCTCCGAGCCTACATCTTTCTCCCATGCTGGATGCTTCCTATCTTCAAACATCAGACTCCAAGTTCTTCAGCTTTGGGACTTGGACTGGCTTCGTTGCTCCTCAGCTTGCATACAGCCTATTGTGGGACCTCATCTTGTGAACATGTGAGTTAATACTCCTTAACAAACTTCTCTTTATACACACATCTATCCTCACAGTTCTGTCCCTCCCTCTAGAGAACTCTAATACATACATGTAAAGAGAAAAATTATGGAAAAATAAAGGATATTATCTTTTTTATAACAATAAGGGAACTGTTTGACTAAGAAATTTGTTCACAGTTACTAGGCGTGGCAACTAGAGCGCAAATTCAGATCTTTGAACTCCCAGATCAGTACTATTTTATTCTACAATAGTCACCACATTGTTTTTCATAGTGGTTGTACTAGTTTACATTCCCACCAGTAGTTTAGAAGTGTTCCTGTTCACTGCATCCACGCCGGTATCTATTATTTTTTGACTTTTTGATCATGGCCATTCTTCTAGGAGTAAGGTGGTATTGCATTGTGGTTTTGGTTTGCATTTCCCGGATCATTAGTGATGCTGAGCATTTTTTCATATGTTTGTTGGCCACTTGTATATCTTCTTTTGAGAATTGTCTATTCATGTCCTTAGCCCACTTTTGGATGGGATTGTTTGTCTTTTCTTGCTAATTTGTTTGAGTTTGTTGTAGATTTTGGATATTAGTCCTTGGTGAGATGTATAGATGGTGAAGATTTTCTCCCACTCTGTGGGATGTCTGTTTACTCCACTGATTGTTCCTTCTGCCATGCAAAAGCTCTTTAGTTTAATTAAGTCCCAGCTGTTCGTCTTTGTTCTTACTGCATTTGCTTTTGGTTCTTGGTCATGAAATCCTTGCCTGAGCCAATGCGTAGAAGGGGTTTTCCAACGTTAGTTATCTTCTAGAATTTTTATAGTTTCAAGTCTTACATTTAAGTCCTTAACCCATCTTGAGTTTATTTCTATATAAGGTGAGAGATGAGGATCCTGTTTCATCCTCCTACATGTGACTTGCCAATTATCCCAGCACCATTTGTTGAATAGGGTATCTTTCCTCACTTTATGTTTTTGCTTGCTTTGTCACAGATCAGTTGGCTGTATTTGACTTTATTTCTAGGTTCTCTATTCTGTTCCATTGGTCTATGTGCCTATTTTTATACCAGTATCATGCTGTTTTGGTGACAATGGCCTTATATCATAGCTTGAAATCAGGTAATGTGATGCCTCCAGATTTGTTCTTTTTGCTTAGTCTTGCTTTGGCTCTGCAGGCTCTTTTTTGATTCCATATGAATTTTAGGATTGTTTTTTCTAGTTCTGTGAAGAATGATGATGATATTTTGTTGGGAATTGTGGTGAATTTATAGATTGCTTTTGGCAATATGGTCATTTTCACAACATTTATTCTACCCATCCATGAGCATGGGATGCGTTTCCATTTGTTTGTGTTGTCTATGATTTCTTTCAGCAGTGTTTTGTAGTTTTCCTTCTAGAGGTCTTTCACCTCCTTAGTGTATTCCTAAGTATTTTATTTTTTTGCAGCTATTATAAGAGGTGTTGAGTTCTTGACTTGATTCTCAGCTTGGTCGCTGTTGGTGTATAGAAGAGCTACTGATTTGTGTACATTAATTTTGTATCCAGAAACTTTGCTGAATTCTTTTATCGGTTCTAGAAACTTTCTGGAGGAGTCTTTAGGGTTTTCTAGGTAAACAATCATATAATCAGTAAACAGCAACAGTTTGACCTCCTCTTTACTGATTTGGATGCCCTTATTTCTTTCTCTTGTCTGATTGCTCTGGCTAGGACTTCCAGTACTAAGTTGAAGAAAAGTAGTGAGAGTGGGCGTCCTTGTCTTATTGCAGTTCTCAACTTTTCCCCATTCAGTGTTATGTTGGCTGTGGGTTTGTCATAGATGGCTTTTATTACCTTGAGGTATGTCCCTTGTATGCCAATTTTGCTGAGAGTTTTAATCATAAAGGAATGCTGGATTTTGTCAAATGCTTTTTCTGCATCTGTTGAGGGGATCATGTGATTTTTGTTTTTAATTCTGCTTATGTGGCATACCACATTTATTGACTTGCATATGTTAAACCATCCCTGCATGCCTGGTATGAAACCTACTTGATCATGGTGGATTATATTTTTGATATGTTGTTGGATTCCGTTAGCCAGTATTTTGTTGAGGATTTTTGCATGTATGTTCATCAGGGATATTGGTCCGTAGTCTTCTTTTTTGGTTATGTCCTTTCCTGGTCTTGGTATCAGGGTGACACTGGCTTCATAGAATGATTTAGGGAGGATTCCCTCTTTCTCTATCTTGTGGAATAGTGTCAACAGTAATGGTGCCAATTCTTCTTTTTGAATGTCTGGTATAATTTGCTCATTTTTATCTTTGCTCAGGCTGTGTTTCATGCATGGAATGTTCTCTTCTCCTTCCAAATTACCTAATAAAATGCTTTTCATCCTTTAATGCTTGGCAAAGCATCACTCTCTTCTTGTGTTCTCAACCACCCACAATAATCTTCCTACATCTGAATTTCTTTAGAAACTAATGATTTACTGATATGTACTGATTTCTTACAGGTTTTTTGTCTTGTTGCTCTAAACAGACTATAAACTTTTCAAGAACAGAACTTTATGCATTTTTGTATCCAGCTCAATGCTAAGCATACTGGTACATAACAAGGGTTCAAGAAAGAAGAAACATTTATTCTTTTATCTTTAAAGTACTGACAGCGTGTACCTAAATAAAATTTCAAAAGGCAAAGTCAATTCATTTTTGTTTGACATTATTGAAATAACAGTATCAAAGCAAGTGCAATTCTGCTGTGGGTTAGGAGGTCTTCCATTTTACTGACATTCTCCATTTTTACTTAACCCACTTAAACAACCTTTGGCTATTTTACCCTGTGGTATGTGGTAAAGCAAGGCAACAGCTCTAACATTTCATTGTTGAATGATTCAAAATTGAAAATGAGAAAGTTCTTTTAATAGCAATACTGAAAAAAATGCACACAAGTGATTACTACTTAAAAAAGTGACTTTTTCTTGACCAGTGATAGAAAGTATTATCATTTTTGTGTGTAGAGAACTGTCTTAAATCTTTAAACTTGTACTATTTTTTTCAGTTTCAAGTGTATGTTTTACTTCATTTATACTGAAAATATAACTGACTTTGAGAAGTCAAACTAAAATATCAGGCTTATGTTGTGAATCACTGCAGACAATCTTAAGTGTTTCATATGAGCTTAGTGTTCAATTCAGTGCAAGCACAGCCTAAACCAAGATCTAATTTATCTTGTAGTAATTGTGATTATTTTGTGCTCTGGAGAGTTCTGATAGAGAGATTCATGCATCTACAGAAATGCATTCTAATATAAATATCTTTCTATAATAATTTCTTCATTCATTCTCCAAATATTTGTTGAGTATCTCCTATACACATTCCAGACACTGTTCTAGACTCCAAGTATACAGTCTTATACAAAAGACCTCACTCAGATTGCTTTCTTTTTGAAGAAACAGGGAGTTCAAAATATAAAATAAATATAAAATATAATATTGGATGGTGGTCAAGGTTTTAAAAAAAATAAAGCAGCAAATAGGAACAGTGAAAAAGATGACCAGGAAAGGCCTATTTGAGGAGTGACATTTGGAGAGGGCATACCATGTGGAGTCTGAAAGAACATCCTAGATAGAAGAGACAGCAAATGCAAATCCTTGAGATAAGAGCAGCTATACAAATATCTAACCTTTAAGTATTGCCCACTAAGTGCTAAGCACTCTTTTCAGTAATCACTTAGAATAACTTATTTAATCCTCACAATAATCCTAAGAGGTAATTACTAGAATTATAATCCCCATTTTATAAATGGAGGAACTGAGGCACAGAGAGCTTATTTAACTTCTCAAGGTTAAATCCTAGGAGGAGGCAGAACCAGAGTTTGAACCCAAGCATTGGTCTGGCTCCCGAGTCTGTGCTCTAACCACTGTGCACACTGCTTCTCTGAACAAAAAGGCTGCTGGGGCTGGGCACTGAGCAATGTCTCCTTACAAAAGTGGTAGCAAGAACCTCTAGAGCCCCGAAGAGTATCACCATCAAGATATAAGAATATTAGGTTTTTTAAAAGTAGGGTTTATCAGCTTGAACCTGACAAACCTTAAGCATTAAGTATTGATATAGTATTTAACAGAACTGTATCTGGAAAAGAGTTTCCTTTAGAAGATGAACACAAATGGATTTGTATCCAGACAATGGACAACTCCACTGTATTACAGCCAAGAACACACTGTAGATTTACTCCTTTGATTACATCTGAAATAATGAAGTACAGAGGAAACGTTGGTGCCTCTTCTCATAAGAGTTACATCTGACTTTCCCAGATGGTGAACAGGAAATTGCTGATACACAGTGAACTGGGGATAAAGCAACCATACAAAGCTCAGACTGTTGCTGAGCAAACATTAATAAAAATGCTTGGGGTTACTACTGGCTCGAAATATAGCTTGTTTGTTCTCTTGTGAAGGAAAAAAAAAACACCCAGAAATTAAGTTTTAAGGATCTCAATAAAGAGTTGAAGCCAAACAGTGAACCCTTTCAGCACTCTGAATCACATGTGAAACTGTCATGGAGGCTGCTTTCTAGGGTGCCTCCCATTTATGGGTCTACAAGCACAAGTTTGTTAAAATCCTGACATCCATAATTTTATAACTGCATAAAGGAAACAGGACAGAGATTGTTTGCTAATGTGGAGGGCATTATTTTTAAAAGGCTGCTCTATTTTCTAATACTGAAACTCAATTCAGATTAAATTATCCTGATGGTTAATTTGATGGGTGCAGCAAACCACCATGGCACGTGTACACCTATGTAACAAACCTGCAGGTTGTGCACATGTATCCCAGAACTTAAAGTATAATAAAAAAAAAAGAGAGAGACTTGTGCAATTTGAAATAACCTTTAATATTTAAAGATAGCTGTCTGCAATGTGATTGGCTAAAACCTTGAACATATCCTGCTTAGGCAATATAACATTTGTTTGAACATCCAAGGTAGGCATGTCTCCTTATGTCCAAGGGACAACTCTGGCCTAGCTGTAAATGATATAAAACAGTTTACTTGGTGGCTGTAAGAAAGCTGTTGTTTTTAATATATCAACTGTACTGTGATATTTATTATAATTCATTACCATTGCTGGTGACTCCCACCATTATGACACCTTGATTGTTTTTATTATTTAAGATAAAGATAATTTTCTGTAGCAAACCACAATCTTTTCATCATGTATTAACTACTCTACTGATTTCAGAGAAGTTCAGGCAGGGCTTGGGGAGATTTTTGAACTGAATCACTATGACTTCCTTGGTCAGTGGTGAATGGATTAATTAGATCACAGTAAATCAATAAAACTAAGAGCCTCAAGTTTAAAACATCTGTAAAACAGTTAAATAACTTCCACATTTCTTCACACTCAAAAATACTTCCTAGTGGAGGGCTAATTTTAGCCACATCCCCTAAGTTCTCCTCAAATATAATACTTTCCTTAAATATAGATAAGGAAAAACTAACATAATATGCATGTGTTTAATGTCTGTGTTGAGTTTGTTCTTAAAGCATCATGAAAATGGCCAACCAATTGAGTCTCAAGATGATATGAAGGTAGAGATTATATTGACCAATTGAAATTAATATTGATGTTAAGCTAGGCCTTGGAAAACTCTCATCTAGCTTCAGGAAATTGAAATTCTTTCAAGTAGGTTTTGGTTCAGTTTCTGCCATAAAGAGGTTATTTCAAATTGCGCAAGTCTCTCTCTCTCTCTTTTTTTTTTTTTAATTATACTTTAGGTTCTGGGGTACATGTGCAGAACCTGCGGTTTTGTTACATAGGTATACATGTGCCATGGTGGTTTACTGCACCCATCAACCCGTCATC
This sequence comes from Homo sapiens, assembly GCF_000001405.40. Classification (NCBI taxonomy): domain Eukaryota; kingdom Metazoa; phylum Chordata; class Mammalia; order Primates; family Hominidae; genus Homo; species Homo sapiens. The sequence goes on along the minus strand of NC_000005.10, from coordinate 91,041,535 downwards.
TACATTAGGTATTTCTCCTAATGCTATCCCTCCCCTAGCTCCCCACCCCTCGATGGGCCCCAGTGTGTGATGTTCCCCTCCCTGTGTCCATGTGTTCTCATTGTTCAACTCCCACTTATGAGTGAGAACATGTGGTGTTTGGTTTTCTGTTCCTGTATTAGTTTGCTGAGAATGATAGTTTCCAGCTTCATCCATGTCCCTGCAAAGGACATGAACTCATCCTTTTTTATGGCTGCATAGTATTCCATGGTGTATATGTGCCACATTTCTTTATCCAGTCTATCACTGATGGACATTTGGGTTGGTTCCAAGTCTTTGCTATTGTGAATAGTGCTGCAATAAACATATGTGTGCATGTGTCTTTATAGTAGAATGATTTATAATCCTTTAGGTATATACCCAATAATGGGATTGCTGGGTCAAACGGTATTTCTAGTTCTAGATCCTTGAGGAATTGCCACACTGTCTTCCACAATGGTTGAACTAATTTACACTCCCACCAACAGTGTAATTGGGCAAGTCTCTTAACATAGTTAGGTTTCAATCACATCATCACTTAAATAATGAGATAACTAGAGAAGAAGAGAAGATTGGGTAGAAGATGGTCCTTAAGTTTCTTTACTGAACCTAAATTCTATTGCTCAATTCCATGATGACCTGGATGCAATATTGAGTCTATTCATAAAGGTGTTATGACCGTTGTCCTTTGTATTCAGTATAACTTATAATATTAACAAACCTCATCTTCCATAATTACTCTTCAAATGAATGCTTAGTTGATAATAGATGGAGATAATGGATCAGATGATCCAAAATTGCAGATAACTGGAAATTCTATCAGTATCTTGTTGTCATCATCTTTTACTTAGCACATCTAGCTTCTATTCACTGAAAACACAGCAGCTAGAAAGTTGGCAGTCTATGTATGATGCCATGTATGTATGATGATACCACCTAATATAAACGTAATATTTGTTAAGCAGATCCATAAAGCAGATTCCAAACATATATAATTAACAACTAAGTGAAATGCAAATTAACATCAACACATACTTAGCAAATATTTTAGAGACCATTATGCTCCAGCCTATCAGATGTGAATTCACCCAACACAGGATTCCTGTCCTCATGAAGCATATAGTCGTCTAACTGGTCACTTTACCTTTGAGCAGTACAGTGCCCCACAGCCCAAACATATGAGAAGGAACTCTATTTTAAAAGATCTCAGAGAAGGCTTGAAATTCATTCTAACAGTTATTAATTCCAAGTTAAAAATATTTATCTCTCATATAAATATTTCGTGCACCTGCTTGAACTTCTTTTATTCTGTTTTATTTTGAGTATGGATGCAAAGAGAAAAATAGCTGCATTTTTTTCTGAATTGAAACCATATATGTAAAAGCATTATATTTCTCTTTTGCTATTACAATAATTTTCTACATTTTATCCTCCTCAAAGGGCTTTATTTTGCATGGACAAAACACTACATATATATTTATTGATTTTTAAATTTTATTTTCTACCCATTACTCATCTTCATAGGTCTCTTCTGGCTCTTTCCAATTGTTTTCATTTTTCTTTAGCTGAGGAGTTCCACCTCAGATACAAAGATCTAATTTAAGAGTAGTAAAATAGCCAAATTAAACCACCACTCCCATATTCTAGACATACTTTTTATTCATCCTTGTACATCTTTGTTTTCAAAACTTGACACCTGCTGATTCACAGGCAACATACTACAGTCCTTCCATCTTTTAATGTATATTACTGCATCATTATCTTTCCTTCATCTTATATCAATGTACCTTGTTTTAACCTTCCACGTCTGCAATTCTACACTGGCCTGTACTGAAATCATTCTGTGATGTTTCAGCTCTTTCCCAATTTACTTATCGGAAGTGGACATTTATTATTTGTTTGTTTGCATGCCCATCCATCTTTATTTCCCCATGTTCTGGGATAAAATCCCCTCTTCTTGTGGAGAACAGATTAGAACCAGAACCAAATATGATTCCAGTTAGCCTGGCCAAGGCAAGCAAGTGACCCAACTTGGACAATCAGAGCTTTGGTTCAGAGGTGAATACATGACTCAAACAGTCTTCCCTGTTTTCATGGTCAGGAAGCAAGACACTTTTCCACTGGGAAATCAGATGGACCGTGTAGGCCTGGAGCTACCAGTGACTTCCTTTTGTACTTCATGAAGAAAGCCTAACCGATAACGAAGGTAACAAAGGACTCCAGAAAGGAAGTCATGGAGCAGGACAACAGCGTGAAAACATCTTGGGTATCTATGGCTGCCTGAGTCCTACCCTGATCTGAAAGTTTTTACTTATATGAGCTACACATTTTCTTATGCTAGCTTGAGTTGGATTTTTGTCAGCTGCGTTTTAAATACTCCAAGGAAATGCTTTCAGTAGTTTCTTAATCCTAAGGAATAACTTATATATTGGAAGCACCAGGTTCAATATTTGATATGGTTGAATATCAACTATATATTCAGAATATCTGTGGGTAGTAAGAGCATACTTTTCTCAGAATGAGAAAAGGACATACTCCTCATTAGAATCAACATGGGGAGCATTAATGATGGCATCACACCCCAGTGTAAATTATACAGCTTAAAAGGGATCATACTGGTAGGAAAATTTGAGGTGCAATTTTTAACCAACTGATAGCACAATGGTATTCTTTCTTCAATGAATTCAAGTAAAAACTACCTGTATATTGAGGTGAGTGTGACATCTCAATTCCCTACAGCTCATCTTTTATCTGTACCAAAGTTAGTTCTTAGGGCTCTGGAGAGAATCAGGTTCCCTGTGTGTATATATTTAAGATGCTTGCTGTCACTGAAATAGAAGTGAATTTATGAGATAAATCCCCAAGAGGCTAGTTAATTCTTTCTAGGCACTCTGCCTGCACAGTTGCCCATGCCAGAAATCTGAGAATCATCCACGACCTTCTTTTTCTCCCTCTAGATGAAATCAATCACCCAGGTCTGACAACTACACTTTATAAACATATTTTTTGAATCCATTCATTTCTCTTCATCTACACTGCCACTGTCTGTAGCCAGAGCACTATCAACTCTTGCTGGGCTTGTAGCAACAAGCTCTTAACTCTAAGGTCTGCATTCACCCTTCCCCTACAACAAATCCCTCATACAACAATGGAGGGGCATTTTAAAATGCTAATATAATGAGGTGATTCTCTTTCTTAACCCTTCACTGCCTTTGCATTGCCATCAGAATCAAGTCCAAAACCCAATCTGGCTCCTGCTTATCTTACACTGCTCTAGTAATCCTCGCTTTCTTGTAGTTTCTCTAATAATACAGGGTTCCTTCATTCAATAGGGTCTTCCTTCTACCCAGAATATTGTTTTCCCTACTCTTCACCTGACAATTCCTACCACAGGTGAAGTATCTGAAATGCTTGGGACCCAAAATGTTTTAGACCTTGGATTTTTTTCAGATTTTGGAATATCTGCATACATATAATGAGATATCATAGGGATGGAACCTAAGTCTAAACACAAAATTCATTTATGTTTCATGTATACCTTATACACATACAATAATTTTTGGACAATAATTTTAATAATTGTGTGCATGAAACAAAGTTTGACTGCATTTTGACTGTGGCCTATCACATGAGGTCAAGTGTGGAATTTTCCACTTGTGATGTCATGTTGGTGGTCAAAAAGCTTTGGATTTTGTAGTATTTGGGTTTTAGGATTAGAGATGCTCAACTTTACTCTGTCTGTTAGGCCTTGTTTTCAAATGTTACTTCCTCAGGGACACTTTCTTTGATATCATAAACTAGATCAAGTCCCTCGAATATATAATTTCATAAATCTTCATTTCTTCTGGTGAAACTTATCTAAATTGCAAATAATCTTTTTATGGCTTATCTGTTTAAAGCCTGTCACTATCACCAGACTGTTAGCTCCTTGAAGGCAAACATTACATATACCTTGTTCTTTTCTTATTCCTGATTACAGTGAAGAGATTATTAGTTATCTTTCCATCCACATAACTAACTTTATCCCCCCTCTCCTAACTAATATATGATAATATTTTCCCTTCCTGACTTGATGGGACAAACATTGGAAGACAACTCTTTTTCTTTGTTTCTGCATGGCTTGCAAGCAAAGGCACTGACAGCTTTCATTCTGGACTATTTTTTTTTAAGAATATATGATCCACTTTGGAGGACAGACACAGTTGCTTTCCTCTACAGCAGACAGCAGATTTGCTTACTGTCTAGTACAAAAAAGACGTGTCCTTCTACTGAAAAGATAAGGCATGTTTGCTTGTACCTGTTATAAAAGATTGGGCTTTCCTAAACTTGGATATCCTCAGCTGTGATGCAAGTCCACTGCATGCACAGCAATCACCTGGGCTCCTTTGTGTTGCCTGCCTGGGTCTTTGGGGCAAGGAGAACTGATACGAACATGGAGCAGTGCTGCTTGCTATGCCATGAATGATAAAATTGCTTTGTCTCTGACCCAGAATGTTCATATCTGTCAGTATCCATGAAACTGTGGCAGGCTAACTTATTAGCTAGCAAGTAGGGTAGTATTTCAGATCCATCAGAGTCCCTGGCAACAAAAAGGTCATCTAAGTTGTATAATCTTTAACATTTAAAAATATTTTATTTTTATTTTCTTGCATTTAATTTCCTGCCAGAAACTCTTAAGCCAGGGATTCTTAATCTGAGGTATAAGAATGTGCTTCACGGGCATTGTGAATCCCCTGGGTAATCACTACTTTAACATAGTTCCTTTTAAAAACAATTAATAATATATATAGTTTTTGAGACAGGGTCTCGCTCTGTCGTCCATGTTTGAGTGCAGTTGAACAATCATAGGTCACTTCAGACTCCAACTCCTGGGCTCAAGTGATCCTGCCTCAGCCTCTCTAGCAACTAGGACTACAGGCGCTCACCCGCAGGCCTGGCCGTTTTTTTTTTTTTTTTAAGACGGAGTCTCGCTTTGTCGCCCAGGCTAGAGTGCAGTGGCGCGATCTCAGCTCACTGCAAGCTCCGCCTCCCGGGTTCACGCCATTCTCCTGCCTCAGCCTCCCAAGTAGCTGGGACTACAGGTGCCCGCCACCACGCCCGGCTAATTTTTTTTTGTATTTTTAGTAGAGACAGGGTTTCACCGTGTTAGCCAGGATGGTCTCGATCTCCTGACCTAGTGATCCGCCCACCAGGCTCTTGCTTTGTTGCCCAGGTTGGTCTAGAACTTCTGGCTTCAAGCAATCCTCCTGCCTCAACCTTCCAAAGTGTTGGGATTACAGGTGTGAACCACCATACCCAGCTTTAACATAGCTCTTGAAATGAGTTAAGTTACTGTTACCAGATTTTCTAAGGAGCCAGAAAAAAATACCAAGAGCTGTTTAAGGATACATGCCTTACCTCCTTATGTGAAGTATATTGTGAATTCATTTAGTGTATATTAGAATACATTTAAACATAATGATTTCTTCATTAAGTATATTTTTAACATCACATATCTACAATACTTAATCTAAAACCCTCATCTGTCAAGCTTCCTTTATCTCATATTTTTGTTCTTGAGATTCTGTGTGTAAGTAAGGAAATCTTAGCTGACACATGTATATAGTGCCTACCAGGTGCTAGGCATTGTTGTAAGATATATATATATATATATATAATATATATATATATATACACACTCATTTATTACTTACAACATCCATATGAGATAGAGATTATTATTGTTATTATTATTATTCGATGTTATAGATGAGGAAACCAAAGAACAGAGGGGTTAAATAACTTGTCTAAGGTCACACCAGCTAGTAAGTGATAGAGGAAGATTTGAAACTAGGCAGGCAGATACATGATTTCATCTATATCATTCATATCCAAGCTACATTGGTTTCTCAATTCAAGATATTTTTAGATTCCTTTTGCTCTAACTAAATTAGCCTAGTAAATATTATAAATATAAACTAATAGTTTGCCATTCACAAGAATTACATTCTTGAAATTTTCATTATCTAATAAAACCTAAGTTAGTAATATCAAAGCATTTCAGAAAATTGGGGTTAAGCAAAGAGTTGAAAAATCATTCTAAAAAATATATTGGGGAAGAGGAAAATGTTATCTTAAAATCTTATAAACAGAATTCTTCTTGGGGAAATAATTTGTTCAGCAAAACTCCTTAATAGTCCATTGGGAAGTAAGTGAATGGGCCTCAAGACAAAGACAAGGTGACACCAAGGGAAGATGGATTTGCTTTTCAACAGAAAGTGAGGAAAATTTGGTTTCTTTCCAGAGGCAGCTCAAGAGGGAGGCAGTGAGAATTAAGGACATAAAAAAGGGTTGATGGCATACAACATATGGTGGCAGGCTGGATGGTGGAAGAAGTATAGGGCTGGAAGGAGAAACAGAGCCATTGCAAAAGTCCCTGTGTTACAGATGACAGAGGAAGCTTTAAAAATAAGGATGTTAGTCTGGATGCAGCGGCTCACATCTGAAATCCCAGTACTTTGGGAGGATTGCTTGAGGCCAGGAGTTGGAGAATAGCCTGGTCAAAAGAGTAAGACCCTGTCTCTACAAAAAAATAACAAAATTAGCATGCCTGTAGTCCTACCTACTGGGAAGGCTGAAGGGGGAGGACCGCTTGCACCTGGGAGTTTGAGGCTGCAGTGCGCTATGATCATGCTACTGCACTCCAGCCTTGGCAACATAACAGGGGGATAAAGAGGATGTCCACCAAAACACCCATTATGCTGTTTTGTCTGCTTGTCACTCTGACTTGTACTTTTAGAATTTGGCAGGATGCAAAAAAACAAAAGGAGTCTGTCCTTCATGTCTGTGTGGATAAGAGACAGAGAGAAGAAAACACCTGAAAGAAGCTAGAATCAAGAGTGGAGAGAGATAATACAGGGAAAGCAGAAATTCGAAGCACAAGTTTCCATGGAGATACTGGTGAGGACACTGTACGCCCTGACTTTCTTGTGATAAGGAATTAGGCCAAGCTCTCAAAACATTTATATGGAAGGATGACTTTAGGAGGATGTAGTACTTAAGAATAAAACTTCTAAAAACACATTCTTTTCTAAAATAAAACAGAATTATTAATGTTAATAATCTACCATGACATATTACCCTTCTTGAATCTCTCTTCAAATTTTAAGGAAACTTTGTTCAGTCTAACCAGTGAGGCAGATTTTTCCATGAGTTCTGTGTTATGTAGACTTTAACCTGCTTAAAGTTTGTAAACCAAACCTTATTAAAATTAAATGTAATGCATTTGTAGTTAGACTAACCATAGCTGGTTTTCACAAGCCTCAGCAAAATGCTTAGGTAACCTCCCCGCCTATACTAGATTTGGTCTTCCAGCTATATTTTGGAAGATTTGGAGGACAGAAAGCAATCACATTAAATACAAACTTTAAATTTTTTAAAATTTAGTATCTATAGAAAAAATCGGGTTATCACAAAACTGTAGTTGGTTAGGAATTTCTGCATGCTTCATTTCTCTTACATAAAGAAATCAAAATATTTGGTGACTTTAAATAAGAGAAAAAGAAATGTTAAATGAACAATGTCTCTGAATAATGCAGTATTCAGAATATAAAAAATCACTAAGATTTGAATATCTGTTAAATGTAAAAATGTGAAAGATGAACTTCAAGTCAATATGGTTGACAGTACTGATGTGTAAGAATCCCCCATCCCTGCTCAAAACAAATAAACTGCTTAAAAAATAAATAAGAATAATACAATTTGGAATTTATAGTGTAACTCAAAATTTGGAATCATAAATCCTCATGTGCCAAAAATAAAGCCACAACAAAATGTCACACTGGGTAATAGGACTGAAGTCCTGCGGCTCACAGAGAATCAGAACTGGGAAGGGCAAAGTTTAATGCCTGTGAGGAGGTGTCAGGGCCCTGTTTGCACATTGCCAGGACTGAATTACATGCAGAGACCTAGGAGCCATGAATGGCTGCCAAAATCATGAACAGGGAATCAGAAAAATCTTTGCTCACTGCCCTGGGAGACTGGCAAATAGTTAACAGTCAGAAACTTGAACTGCAAACCTTGTCCCATGTACATGTGACATCCAAATTCACACTATTCACAGAGATCAGGAACATGAAGCTGAGAAAGTAACATAAAACTGGTCTGGAATCTTTAAATCATGTAGGACCCCGTCAAAGGGCACAAGGAATTCCTATAGAAAACTCTAGCCATGCTTATAATAAAAAAATTATAAGCCACACAAGGAAATAAAGGTCCTTGTATCATTCAAGAACAAGTTAAAGACATTATTAACTTAAAATGTTTTTAAGTATATGTATTTTAAAAACCATACAAATTAGTAAACAAAAAGTGGAGTGTTTAATCACATCAATGGAAGGAAAGTAAAAAAGGAAGTTAACAAAAAGCTCAGTTCATAGAAAACACAAAGTAAGATAGTAGAAATAACTCAAAGTTTATTAGCAATCAAAATAACTGTAAATGTATAAAACCCACTAACTAACAGGGCTCTAGATTTGATATAAACAAATCCAGATCTGTGCTATATAAGATTTACCTAAAATAACGAATGACGCTTGAAGTCTGAAGTAAATGGCCAGGAAATGCCACAGCAGAACAGAAAGCTGGGGTACTAATACTAATAGGAAATCATATACAAAGTAAGTCTTTAAAACATTCATAGAGATTTAAAAAGGCTCAAAAAATGATTTCCCCTGGAAGATATAACAATGTGGATCTATATGCATCTAAGAGAAAACAGCCTCAAAATATATAATTCAAACACTAATATAAAGTAACATTTACAAATCCAAAACCATAATGGGAGATTTTGTTTCTTTCAGAAACTGACAGATTAAGTTGAGAAAAACAAAAACTTAGTAAGGCAAAGAAAGAATAAATTATATAATTAAGAGACTTAGTAAAATATATATATAATTATAATTAGCAGAACAAAACAGATAAGACAAGGTGGTTAATGACTCAACTATAGAAAGTAGGAAGACAATACTAATGATATAAGCCAATATTGGTGAAATAAAGACAAATGAAGGTAGCAGAGATAGACGACTCTAAATTCACCATTACATGTCAGTTGTTACCACCTTAATCCAAACGCCTATCATTTTTTGCCTTTACATCACAATAGCATCATAACTTTTCTACTCTGCTTCCGTTTATATTTAAAACTATAAATCAGATTATGTCATTCCTCCCACAGCCTTCTTAAACTCAGACTCACTATCCTTATCTATTCTGACTTCTCTCTTCTCCCTCTCATTCACTCTATTGGAGCCACACTGGCCTCTTTGCAATCCCCAGACATGCCCAGCTTGCTCCCGCCTTAGGGCCTTTGCACTGGCTGTTCCCTCCACCAGGAATATTACTTCCGGGATGCTCACATGGCTAACTTTCCTGCCTCCCTTAAATCTTTGCTCAAATCTCATCTTCTCAATAATATTTCTGCCCACCTTCTTTAAAATTGCAGCCCGCATGCTGCTCCCAACATGTGGCACTTCTGATTCTCCTCACTCTGCTTTATTTTTTCATAGCATTTATTATCTTGTTAATATATCACGTAATTAATTATTTTTTCTTTTTTGAACAACTTATCTCTGCCTCATAAAATCCGCAAGCGCAGGGATCTAGGATTAGTTTACTCTTTACTTTTTAAAAAGAAACCCAATTAGTTAGAACAGTCTGGTATATAGCAGTTAATAAAATTTATTGATCACATAAATGAAATATAAGTGTTTAAAGAGCTAATTCTTTGAAAAGATACTAACAATCTTTGGCATTATTGATCATAAGAAGAAGGAAGGCACAAAAACAATGAGACATAACCTCAGGTATCAGAAAATAATATGACTCATCTTATGCTAACATATTTGAATACTTAGATTATAAACTATTTTCTAAAAAGAACTCTCAGGAGTGGGGTGTGACCTGCCACAGTCACAAGGTTCTTAATCACTAGTAGCTGGTGCTCCAGACCTTTCTCCCAGCCTGGTGACCCAGGGGATTTACTTTATGGTGGCTTTCTCTGAAATGCCAAAGCCACCAGATTATTCAGAGTTGAGTGACTCTTTAATGCTGGCCATGGGAACAGGAAGGTTTTCGGGACCATGGCACAGAGCATGCAGAATGATGAACTTCCGTCAGCGGATGAGATAGATTGGAGTGGGATTGTATCTGTTAGCAAGTGCAGCAGCATTTTACTATGTTTGAAATCAATGAGACTTACAACAGGCTGGCCTTGGAACACATTCAACAGCAACCTGAGGAGCCCCTTGAAGGAACCACATGGACACACTCCTGGAAATCTCGATTACTCTTCTTGCCTTTTTGGTTGTGGACAATTATTTTTCTAATACCTTACTTACAGATGTTTCTGTTCTTTTACTTGTGTACAAGAGCTGATCCCAAAACACTGAGCTACTGTATCATCCCTATATGATTGGCAGTTATTTGCAATCGCCACCAGGCATTTGTCAAGGTTTCTAATCAGATCAGCAGACTACAACTGATTGACATATAAAATCAGTCGACGTTTTTTCCTTTGATTACAAAACTGCCAGTACTATATGGACTCTGATCACAAGACTGCAGTTTCTTCACAGATCTCAGGAAATTGTGGTGGGGCAGAGGCTTTTCAAAAACATGTAATTAGGGGGTATCTTTATCTGAATAATAATGAATTTTTAGGTAAAGCCTGAGACAGAGTACTACAAAATCATGTTGATGACTTCAGACTTTAGAAGTTAATCTTGTCTGTTATTTGCATTCTTAACTTGACTAAGTACCTGAATTCCTATTCTACTGTGCAACATAGTGATGATTCAGAAATTTTTCCTTTGGGGAAAAAATAAATATGAACATTTCCATTGTGTTAAGTATAAAAAGGTCTACACATGATCATAAAATTTAAATTTTATACAAGATGAAACATAAAAAGAACTCTCAAAAGTGACTCAATAAAAATAGAAAACATGGCTAGACCAAAAATTATTGAAGAAATTAGAGTCAAAATTCACCCTACACCTCTAAAATCAATAAAGTTTTACGAGCAAAAGTTAAACAAATCTTTACACACAAAGAACTCCATCTTAAAAAAACTGTACCATTTCTCTCCACTTCATTTTTTATGTTATCATAATTTAGATACCAAAATACCAAAAACATATGAGAAAGAATCATTATAAACCTGCTTTACTTAGAATATACATGCAAAAACTGAATTAAGTATAATAATTTGAATCCAAGAGTGGACTAAAATAAAGGGTTTATCTAAGCATTTCAAAGACTTTAATATTTGAATATCTATCAATATAATCTCATCATTAGCAGATTAAAGGAGAAATATCATACAACAATTAAAAGAGTATGGTGTTGGTGCAGGGATAATCAAATGGAACAGAAGAGAGAGCTTACCCACATGTGAATAGTAATTTTAGTATATGACAAGTAAATGGGGAAAGATATTACTTAATAAATGCTCTTGAGACAATTGGTTATTATTTTTAAAAAGTAGATCCCTCTTTGACACCATTCACAAAATACATTCCAGATGAATAGAATATCTAAGTGTAAAAAATAAAACTTTAAATAGTTTAGAAAACACTGTAAGAGAGTATGACATTGAAATACTGTAGGTGATTTTTTTAAAATCAAGAGTTAAGGAAAATATTGGTTAATATGACTGTATCAAACTTGAATACTTCATTTGATATATGGAATTTAAAAGACAAGGAAAACTAGAAGCAGATATTTGCAATGTATTTAATTGACAAATGATTATATTCATGAAATAAATAAAATTTCTACAAATCAATAAGAAAAAATAAACAACCGATTACAAAAAATTGTTGGACAACTATTTGAAAGAGCAAGACACCATGTGTTGGTGAAGCTGTGGGGATATGTTTCAACATGGCTGGTTATGTTTAAATTGTTGCAACCATTTTTCAGAGTAATTTGTCAATGTCTACTAATATTTAAGATATATCTACATGAGGTCAAGCAATTTCATTTCTAGTTACATGTTCCAGAGAAACTTTGCACATATGTATATGGAAATGTGTTCATTGAACTACTGTTTATAACAATGAAAAATTCAGGAAAATCTAAATTTCTATTAATAACTGATAGAGAAATAAATTGTATCATATTCATACCTTGACATGAAAGTAATAGTTTAAGTGAGTCAACTAAAGTTATGCATATCATTTGGAATCACATCTAAAACATTATATTGATTAAACAGGCAAATTGCTGAAGGATAGGTACATCTGCATAAATTAATTTTTTTTTGAGACGGAGTCTCGCTCCATCAATTAATTTTTTATGTAGTTCATGAAGAATATAAAAAGATAGATGGAAAAAATATACACCAACTTTCATAATATGAAGGAGTAGAATGTGGAGTGGAATTGTACATTTGATACATTTCTTTTTAAAAACCCTAAAGAAAAAAGTTCTAATGTTTTGGCCAGGTGTAGTGACTCATGCCTGTAATTCTACCACTTTTGGAAGCCCAGGTGGAAGGACCACTTAACTTGGGAGTTCAAGCTAGCCTGGTCAACATAGCAAAATCTGTCTCCATGTAAAATAAAAAAAACTTAGCCACATGGTGAGGTGCACCTGTAGTCCTAGCTATGCAAGAGGCTGATGCAAGAGGACTCCCTGACCTCAGGAGTTCAAGGCTGCACTGAGACATGATTGCACTACTGCACTCCAGCCTTGGCGACAGAACAAAGCAAGACTCCTAAAAAAAAAAAAAAAAAAAAAAACAGAGTCTAGTGTTTTCACTTGGACTTTGGCTCAGACATGTTGGGTGTCATGATAAATCTGCCTGGAACAGATTGTGTTTAAAGAGGCTGGTCCTTGATGGTAGAGATGTCTTAAACTGGAGGAGGGCAAGATAGTGCAGCATGACTAGGATAGATCTAGTAAATTACATAAGTCTGGTCATGTGTAAATGGGCGTCATTACTGAGAAAATATGCTTAGGGCAGGGTGTGGATTGGGCCGGACAAAAAAGAGCAAAATGAAAAGATATCAAGACCAACTTTAAGGATATCAAAGTCGGCCTGAAGTGTTTTGTAAATATAGCCAGGAGTAAATAAGCAATCAGTCAAGAAAGAACTGTGAGGCAGATATTGGTAAATGCAATTTTCTTTCACAAACCAGGACCATAATCCAGGGCACCTTTGCTCCTACGGGGTCAGGTCCTCTCTCTGGGTTTATGGGGATAGCTGGATATGAGGGAGAAGAGGGAATAGTGGAATTGGTCCATTGTTTCAGGGATTTTGGTAGGAATTCTTTCCTAAACCATGACTCAGACGACCCCAAAGGAGGATTCAGAAGCAGAAGCTCTATTCTTTGCTCATAAATCTATCTTATCTACTTCTTTTATAAGAAACAACAGCAGAGAAAAGTTGAAGTTCAGCCATTCATTGATTTAAAGAATTAAAAAAAAAAAAAAAGAAAGAAAAAAAAAGCTGGATCTCAGTAGTGAGTGGGTCACTTGTGTCTTCCAGCATACAAAGCCTGCTATTTAAGAAATCCTGATTTGGAAAAAAATTCCCTTAGCAACAAAAGAAAGTCTGCTGGCTTGGTAAAGCTTAAAAACCAGCAGGCTCTTTGCAAAGTTCATCTCAGATTCAGTATTTATACTACCAACAATTATTGTCAATAAATTAGACTTAACTATTGTACAACACAGGAAAAAGCAATGCTCCTTGTTTATCTTTGGCCGCTGTTTACTTTTAGCTCTGCTGTGTGAAAGAGAACTCAAACAATGCTAAGCTTTCCCTTAATGAGATCCTGATTAGATAGTCTGGACCAATGTATAAAGCATAGTACACTAAAGCAGGAGAACAAAACTGAACTCTTCATCACCCCCTCCCCTGAAAGCAAAATTGTCAGTTCATTCCAGTTTGCCTTCAGCACAGAGCAGAGCCATCTCCTCAGTGACTGCCCTCCTTCCAGAGTGCCTGTCCTAACTAGCCCAGTAGCCTTTTTGACTTTCCTTCTTATGCTGTTTCCATATCTTTCAATGTTCTGGGCTGGCCTTGCCATCTTGCCAACCAAGGAAATACACTCACTGTATCTCACCTTCTCAGTATTGCAAATGAACAGAAATCACCACTGTAGGCATTGTAAAGAGATTGAGGGATTTAATCTACAAGTTTTTAACCTGTAGGATGAGGAGTCCAGGGACTCCTTCTGTTAGATTATCAAAGAGGTTAGCAACCATTGTTTAGTCCATTATTTGTTTTATAGATTAGAAGATGAAGAACTGAGAGATTGCTCCTCTCCTCTAGTTAGACAGTGTGTGTGTGTGTGTGTGTGTGTGTGTGTGTGTGTGTGTGTGTGTTTTGAGACTGTGTTTTGCTCTGTTGCCCAGGCTAGAGTGCAGTGGCACAATCTTGGTTCACTGCAACCTCTGCCTCCTGGGTTCAAGAGATTCTCCTGCCTCAGCCTCCTGAGTAGCTGGGACTACAGGCATGCACCACCACACCTGGCTAATTTTTGTATTTTTGGTAGAGATGGAGTTTTTCCATGTTAGCCCGGTTGGTCTCGAACTCCTGGCCTCAAGTGATCTGCCTGCCTCGGCTTCCCAAAGTGCTGGGATTACAGGTGTGAGCCACTGCACCAACCTAGTTAGACAGCAAGGACTAATTTCTGGTTCTGTGGGTCTCGGATCCTATTCTCGTTGCAGTATAAAAGCTGAGGTTAGCTTATCTTTACGAAGACATTAATTCTTACTTATTTCTTACACATTTTAACTGAGGCCCTCAGTGTTACCAACTTTTGTTACCTGCCAGGTCTTTTTGGCACTCCTCCAAAATCCACTCACAGCACAAATGGCTCTGTCGCCTCTGAGTTCAGGAATGCTCATGTTCAAAGTGTCATGAAGCCTCCCTAAGAGCTTCCACTTTCCCTCCATAACTGAAATCCAAGGAGGTACCAATCCAAAGTCATGTCTACTTAATAGTGTGTACTTAATTCAATATCAAGAATAGAGGTTTAATCTTGAAATTGTTCACTTTTCAGGACTGTGTTGGAATGTAGGGAAAGGGAATTGTACTGAGATAGAAGAAAAATATTATTTCATAATTAAATCGCAGGACTTTAGAATGGAGGCTTAATTAATATTTACAAAGCAATAAAGCAGTGAAATGATCTTTGGCTTATTTTTTTGAAAGGCATTGTTTTATGCCTTGCTCAAATGAAATATTTCATATTTCCTTTCTTGGCATCATGCTATTCAGCTTTAGAGCATTTGCAAATATTTAATCTTGTTTGTCAGGCACAGAAGTTTCATAAAGCTTAACAGAACCATGGCCTAATGGTTCAAAGCACTGACCTTGGAGCAGGTTCAATACCAGCTAAGCTGTGTATTGCTGGCTGTGGGACTTTGTATTAATTGTATGTAATTTTTTTGTACCTCAGTTTTCTCATTTTTAAAATGGGGATGGTGATAATAAGAGTACTATCAATTTCACTGTAGCACTGAGTAGTAAGCACTTAAGTATTACCGTCATTATTAGACGGCATTTTCTTGGTTATTATCTCAGCAATAAACTGTGCCTAACTCTTCAAGTCTGTCACTCTTGCCTTGTTGAGAACTGAGATGCTTTCACGTGTTGAAGCTCACCTGCCAAGCTTATTCTTAACAGTATATTCATAGTTTCTGGATTGATCACAGTGAAACAACAGTAAAACAGCTTTGTTTCACCTCCCTGTTTATCAGTGAAGGTAACTAGAATAAATGCAATGGAAATGAAAATGTGTGGGTTTTGCGGCCCTTTTCACTGTTGCTGATTGGTGATGCCCCTGGTTCCCAGGCTGCCATTCTGAATGTGCAGCAGAAGGGTGGGGAGACGGGTACTCTACCGGCTATGTCTTTTGCCTGTGGCAGTCTCTTGGGAGATCAGCTGAAACAAATTGTTTTATCTGACAGCATGCCCTTCCTTTATGTCTCACAAACAGAAAAAATGATCTTTTCTATTAAAAAGTAATTATATCTGTTATTTAACCTCTATGTCCACAAAGGTCATTGATTTTTATACTAAATCCCATATGCTTTTTGGGTAGTAGTTATGCATCTATTTTGATAATTTGTATTAAAATGCTCAACTATCTGGCTTAGATAAGACATGGCCTAAAAAAAAAAAAATCTTCCTTTTGCCCTTAGGCAATATTATTGCTTCTGTAACATGTTAGCTCCTGACTTTGCCCCTTGACTACTTGTGTGATTTTTATGCAAGTTATATTCTGCATGGGGGAGGAGGTGGGAAACTGTGAATAAGAGAAAGAGTAAGCAGAAAACAGAACAGAAAAGCACGGAAATGTTAGAGAGAAGGAGAATTATGCAGAAGAGGAGTTATACCGTAATTAATATGTGGCAGGTCTTTTGTGATGATGGATTCAGAGTGGTCTCAAGGTTGCCAGTGTTGGTCAGAGAAGCTTGCTATAGGTAATCAACTTTCCTAGTCTAAAGAGAGCTCAAAAAGCTGCCGTTTATAACCAATGGAAACTCTAAAGCCTTTTACCTTGGCACAATTCCCAGGGAAGTCGATGGGGAGACCCACTGGCTATGAACACCATTCTGCGCAATTTGATGCTTTTCATTTGGTAGAATTTTGTTGCCAAGGCTATTGCATCAAGTTACCGAAATCTTAGTGGATATAAATTGTCTCATGTGTCACTTAGCCTGGCAAGAAATTTAAAGGGCATGCCTTCTACTGAAAAGAAAGATTTAACTTTAACCCATTAAAGCAATAAGCCGCATTCTAAACCCTATGGAGAACGCTCATGCTGTAGTTTGTATTCTGAGAGAACAAAGTAACTTTTTTTTAATAACAAAAAAAATTTTTATGGAACCCTGGATTGTTCATTATGAAGTATGCCTACGATCAGGGGCATTTTTGAGGGATTAGGAATTTTACTTTGTATTTTTAAATCATTTTGTGTAGTTCAGTTTTGTAAAATGTGTGTGCAACTAAGCACTGCTTTTAACTGAATCCCAGAAGAGAAACAAATCAATGCTGACTTACAGAGGATGTAAACAAGGGTTTAATGTTTTCAAATCCTAAATGTTGGCAGAGTAAAGACAGTAGTTAATAGAGCAATACTTTAGGGTTTATTAACCTACTAAAATGATTCAGGCATACAGAGGCTGCTTGTGTTTCTAAAACAGGATATTATTAACATGCTTCCTTTCTTCCCTTAGGCCGAAAATGCCCAAACCTTCAATTTCATTGTCATTCTCCTCTGCCTCAAAGTCATCCAACACTAGACAGGGTGGCCATACAATGGAAGAAATGGCTAAGATCACCAAGAATCAACTGAGATAAACAGATGTTACAGGTGTGAGTGTTTAGAGAGGAGGAACTCAATCCTGCCGCACATTAGAATCAGCTGGGGAGATTTCAGAACCTACTCATGCTTGGCCCCGAGGCCCTAGGTGCAGAAATTGGTTTAGGATTGGGCCTATGAATTAGTACTACTTTTAAAAAGTTTTCCAAGTGATTCCACTGTGTACTCAAGTTTGAGACATAGTGGTTATTTAAGATGAAAAACACGAAAAGATGAACTTGAGAGAACTGAGGTTCAGTTACACGTAGGTGACAAGTTACTATATATTAGTTATTACATTTAGGTCCTAAAAATAAACAAAAATAATATTTTAGAAGCGTTTTAGTGATACTCCCTGTTTTTCATCTATCTCTTGTCAGTATAGCCACTCGAATTTTCGAAAAAAGAAATGTAACTCCAACAGCCTTGCTCATGGCTTCAGGAGAAAGCACTGCTAGGACCCTGAGTTCCCTGCCCATCAAGCCAGCCCTGGAGCTTGGGTGGCCCAGGATCTTTTTGCCATTCTGAAATAGAAACCATGGATGGGGATATGGTGTATTTCCAAACCTGATACTAGAGAGAATTTCCAAATCTCTTTCACCCAGTATTCTGGCAACTAAACAATTCAGGAAAAGAAACCCTAACTCAAAAACCAAACAAAAGAAAAAGAGAGCACATATATACCTTTTCATTTGAATATACAGCAACAACTTTATCTCCAGTATCAGGTATTTGCTTTCCTTTCCATTCCCACTTTATCACCTCACCTTCCTCACTTCCTTATACTGTAACAAGGACCTCCTTGCTTTTCACCTGGGCTCTGGTATCTTACCCCTAACTCACCTTGTGAATAGCTGCAGATTAATCTTCTTACTCCAAGTACATAGCACTTGTATAAAACTCATTGTTTAGCTACACATTATGGTGTTTTGAATCACAAGAGTGTTTTTAATATATAAGCACTAGCTTTATTAACTGTAAAAATTCAATATACACTTGTTTATAAAGAAAGGTTTCTGTTTAAGCATCAAGTTTCCATTAAGATAATTAGTTTTTATCTGTGGTATCTTCAATGGGGAAAAATCAATCATTTCTGTTTTAACCCACACACAAAAATAAGTAAGTCCTGAGACAACTGTGGGCTTCATAGTTATCGAAAGATCCATAGGATCCCAAATGTCCTACCCCAAGGCCCTAGGACTTCACACCTAAATTTACTTATTTTTAGCTCTTGTGTCTCCTTTAAATATGACATTTTAAAATAGCAACACAGAAAGCTGCAGGCTAAAACTGTAACTTGTAAACCTGTTGGAACAAATTCATCCCTCACATTAAGGGAAACTAAATTACATATTCATCTCCCCAAATTGTTTCCCCACAAGTAATCAAGCTTATCTGTGACCCAATTTTAGTTGTTCATGAATGGGGGTGGGGTTCCACAAATGCACGCAGTGGTAACACTTGAAAGATTTATGAGCCTGTAAATGGGTGTTAGCCATTTCAAGTAAATACAGGCCAAACCGAACTCTCAGCTGTCTGCATTTAGCCTTGATTACAGGAGTTACATAAATAAGACTACAAATGTATCTAGAACTTAGAAAATTGCCTAGATGCTTTTCTTTCCATAAACCTTAAAGCACAGGGAGTAGGTAACCTACTGAGCCTCTGAATCAAATGTTTTACTGAAATATTTTTTCCTGCCTATTTTTATGGCAGCAAAAAGCCATAGAGAATTTTTGGAGTTCATACTAAACTCTCCCTGATGATAAATTTAGTGGTCTCACCATTTGGGCTCCACTGACACGATGAGTAGTTGGATGGACCTAAGCCTAAGTCCGGATTTAGCACAAATACTAGGTTTACTCAGTTATAAATTCTACTCATGAAGATCTGTCATCATAGATTCTAGATTACATTGATAAATACACTGGATAGAATCTGCTACAATCGAATCCGGCAGATAAAGCTAGAAAAAAGATAATGATTATGCTATTTTAACTAGTTCAAAATGAAATTGTTTGGAGGACTGTGATTAGTAACTATATCAGGTATTCCACTGTGTTTTTTCAATTTCAAAAAGTTTTCAAGTTGCATGCGCTATCATTTGTTTGTATGATTTTAGAATCTGTGTCACTATATTGATACTCTCGATTGCCGCTTTTCTTGACTGAAGACTACGCTAATATGGTGCTGACCCATGCTTACAGGTAGGCAATCAGTTACAAGCTGACAGTCATTGGCTGTTTCTCGGATGTATATCTTTGCTCACAGGAAGCAGCTAGATCTGAATTCCAAATGTTACAGCTGTTCTAGATGCAGACATTATGATACCTCCTATCTAGGCACTACTCTTCTTTTGAAATAAAATTCATATCTTCCTAGGTATTTCCTCAAAAGCCAGGACAAGGATCACTGTTTGTCTGTGCCACACCAGAAACAATAATTTAGGGGTGCAATCACACTGTATCTACCTGCTGCTATCCTTTCAGGACAGCCAGATACCTCTATTTGCACTTCCTTGGTAAAGATTCACATGAAAGCTGATGAGATGGGACAGGACTATTTCACACAGGAAATGTGGAAGATAAGCAGTCTCTAACCTGGTTCACTGTGTGGGCTTAATTAGGTCTCTTATTCTTTTATGGGCACAGAAATTATTAGTCTCAGCTTTGATTTCCCCACCTAATATAAATAAAACTGAGCTCATTAAACCATTTGATCTGCTTCCAGCCTCTCAAATTGGATTTTCTGTACTTAACTTTGTAAATACAACATCGTGAGGAAATTGGGAGAAAAATAATACCACCAAGGGAAAGACAGTAGGCTAGGCCCCGTATAGAATTCAAGTCATATCTTACTTGCTGGTAAGTGAAACTGACAACCTAATGCCATTTTACATTATAGCTCTTCAAAAATATCATTTGTGACAGTTGTTATTGACATTCTAGAAATAATACAAAAATGAGGTTAGATAAAATATTTTCCTTTAGCAATTCAAAGTTCCAACAATAAGTTAACTGACTTTAAATAACTGCTCTTAGGATCCAAAGCATTGATTTGTGTCTGTTTCTGATATGGAAAGATTTGCTTTAAATTCCTACTGAAATTTGAAAACATATAAAAAGGCCTTAAGAGAAAAAGTAAACTCTCATTTACATATTAGCAAACTGGGAATGAATAAGCTTGAAAGTACTCAAACTTAAACATATTTCAAATGAAATGACATTCAACGAAAATACTTCTTTTATTTGAATTGTGTACAGGTAGCACAAGAACTAACTTGTACTCAAAGTCAGTACCCCTTAAATAATATTTCAAAGATTTAGATGTCGAAGCAGTGGTGTTCAGTAGGCTTAATATCCTTTAAAATGTCTTCTGCTGGTTCATTCCTCTTCCAGTGTCTTCCTAGTGTCTCAATTTCTATCAAGCTCGCATGCCTTCCAACTGAGATGCCTGCACATTCTTCAGCCTTAAAGCCATCTTGATGGATGTGAACAATGGCAGTGGGTCTTTCACACATGCTTAGCTCTGTCTCATAGTCTGCAAATGCTGGAATGGATTCCAGGCAATGGCGTGATTGAAAGAACACAGACAGTCCAGAGTCAAAGACCTGACTCTGTCATTTCCTAGTGATGTAACCTGGTGCAAGTCATTAAGGTCCCTAAGTTCTACTCTTGACCTGCAAATTTAAGATAATAGGACCTCATCTGTTATGAGATTCAAGTGAGATAATATACGTGAAAGTACTTTCTAAAATGAAAAGTCATATGTAATGGAAGCTATCTGGCAAATTCTTTTTTCTGTGATCAGCTGATTAAATAATATAGGCCAGTGAGTGTGTCAGCACTAAGAAAGTTACATAGTTTAGAGGGTTGAGAAATGGAACCGGACACATGTTAGATTCCTAGCCCTACTCTTTGGGATCAAGGCCAGCTTACAAAAGCATACACCAGTGGTAGCCTGACAAGAACAATTGCTGGGACTTACTCAGAAATAATGTAAACCAGTTAACTTTATACGGATAGGAGCATCACTTGCCATCCATGGGGAAGAAATCATAGCCAATATGCCGTAACTATAAGCCTTAAAAATTAAAGTTAGAAACACTATATTTCTTCTAAAACTTTCTTAAACATGACATACTTTAATCACTAAGGCTTTGACAGGCCCAATTATTGGGTGAAAATTTTAACATTCTAGCTGCTCAAACAATTATACAGGGAGAAAGCATGAGACCTGGGGGTGGAAGACAGACAGAGAGTAGGAAATAGTTAAACAAATGTATGAAAAATGTTCTGCACCAGAATAATTAGATTTCGCTCTACATATATTTAAATAATCATAGTGAATCTGAAGAGCTAACGATGTGGAGAAATAGAAAATAATCATTTTTTAAGGGTCATGTGCTCAGATAGCAGTATTTTCACTAACAACCAGTTTGTTTGAATGACATCTATCACCGAAATCCCAGGAATTTAAGGATTAAAAAATAATTACAAAACAGTTTCCAAGTCATCAGACTTTTATGAAAAAAGAGGGATCAAGTGGCATCATATCCATTTTTTTCCCACAGAAGAGAAATAACCAAGTAAATTAATGTACAGCAATGTTCAAAGCTATTACATCTGTTGCTGTTAGCCAAGGGCAAGAAGAGCTGTCTTAATGTTGGTCTCACTTTGCTCTAAAGTATAACAGACTCATCAAATAGTATAAGTCTTAAGGTAAGAAAAAGTGGTTAAAGGTGTTCTGGCTAAAATGATCATCCATACCAGATTAAAGGAGACAACAATCACAAAGGTGAATGCACAAAAAGCCCACTGCTACTTTCCTTACTACTTACTAATTATGGTGTACCTGTGTAACAGACATAGATGCTAGTTGCCAGTACATTTATTCCCTGTTCTTCTGGTAACAGCAGTTTAGAATTTCCTTTGAAATTCATGTGATTTCATCATAACTGACCTCATCTTCCCTGCTTTTGCTCTAGCCATGGGCATATGACCTGGATAATCAATGTTATCTGCTCTCCTAGCCACAATGATAAGTTCAGGCGTGGATATTGAATCCATGCAGCCAACAGGACTCCTATTTAGAACTTCTGTTGGAACTGTTGAAAAGAGAAACTATCTTTCTTCTGGACTGGTAGGCTGAAAGGATGAGAACCTGAAGCCACCAGCCATTATGTTGCCACCCTGAGGGAGGCATCTTACAGTGATGAAATGACCGATTTCTATAACACCGGCTCAACACCTAGATGGTG